>NC_000021.9:36124433-36434387 GCF_000001405.40 Homo sapiens | reverse complement strand
CGTCCCATGAAACAACAGAATCGCATCCTCTCTAAGGTTGGCCCTGGTAACAGTAGCCCCTGGCCCAGGCTTCCTCCTCTGCAAAGGAGGGATTGGCTGGAGCTGAAGGCCCTGGTAACGCTCAACATTCTATGGCTCCAAACACTTTCTCTTTCATCTTCTGGTGGCAAGAAAGAAGCAAGGGCTGGCCGGGTGGTGGCTCATGCCTGTAATCCTGGCACTTTGGGAGGCCGAGGCAGGCAGATCACGAGGTCAGGAGTTTGAGACCAGCCTGACCAACATGGTAAAACCCCGTCTCTACTAAAAATACAAAAATTAGCCAGGCGTGGTGTTGTGTGCCTGTAATACCAGCTACTCAGGAGGCTGAGGCTGGAGAATCGCTTGAACCCCAGAGGTGGAAGTTACAGTGAGCCGAGATTACACCACTGCACTCCAGCCTGGGTGACAGATCGAGACTCCGTCTCAAAAAAAAAAAAGAAGCAAGGGCTGCATGTGAAAGCAGCAGCGTCCTCGAGGCCCTTTCTGACACCCTACGACTCTCCCCTTGGGTGGGAGATTGTCAAGCACAGAACCACTGGGTCCAGGCAGATAGAGGCACAGGCTGATCTTTGGAATAACCATATCTGCCTCTGTGGCTGGGCCTTCCTGTGTCCCCAAATCACCAGGTCTGGACAGAAATCTCAGGTATCTCTCCTCATTGTTTTATTCACATATAACCTTCATCTTTGGACACTTTGAAGGGGAGCTCCCCTAAGCCAACCACTCCCCCCACTGGCAATACTCAGCCTCCTGTGGGGCCACACAACCACGCCCAAGTGCCACGGATGGGTGGGTGTGTGCTGGCTTCATGGGTGTGGGAGGGGGTGGGAGGTTAGATGGTAGGCAGACGGTGCACAGTGTGTGGACATTGGTTGGAATGGTGGGTGGGTGGGTGGATGGGTAGGTGTCAGGTGGATTGTGGGGGTGGTAGTGAATGGCAGTGGGGGGGGATGAGTAACTACAAGAAAGAAGCCAGGAGCTGTAAAAACCCATTTTCACAACAGCTTAAGGGAGAAATGACCACCATTGACAATGATTCCAACCCATGCCCTGGTTAAAGTACAATTTGAGAGCCAAACGTTGCTCATTGGTTTAATATTTTCCAGCTTGCGAGTTTGCTCTTCACAGAATGTGGATCTTCAGACAAGTTTGATCAGTTCCCAGCTGTCATCTGTACAGCCACACGACAGTGCCTTTCTTACCATTATGAGTAACTCATCCCTTCAACAGCTATTGATTTGTCATCTAACTTTGTCAGGCACTGGGCAACATGCTGGTTCCATTCCGTTTCAAATAAAAAATAAATAGTCTAGAGTAAGCAGACAAAAAGCAGGTAAGCAATGAACTGATCATCCTAAACTGTGATCCATGCTATGAAAAAAAATAGGCAAGGAGTAGTGAGAGGGTGACAGAGTAGGACTCCCCTAGACAGGCATGTTGGCAGAGGCATCCTGAGAAGGAGACGCTGGAGGTGAAACCCGCAGGCCAGGAAAGAGCCAGAAGGGAGAAAAGCAAGAGAACAGCCATCCAGGCTCCAGGGCAGCCTGTGCAAAGCCCCACACGGGCAAGAGCTGATACGCTCAAGGACAGACTAGGGCCAGTGTGGCTGAGAGCAATGGCCAGGCTGACCTCCCCTCCTGGTGTACTTAAGACAGTCCCAGTGGATGTCTGTTGTCCTCGTGTATCTTTCAAAAATATCCCCATGTGCACACTATATTTCATGGTCTCCCTTGATCATGAGAGGGGAATAGTAAGAAGTGAAGTGGGTGGGGAGCGGGGGAGCCACCATGACGACTGTGTCAGGAATTCAGGTTTATTCTAAGCCCACTGAGAAGCAATGGGATGGGGCTGCTGTAACGTTCCTAATGAACCGGCTACACTGAATGAAAGCGGTGGGGAAGCCCAAGGCCAGGGCTTTCCATCCACTCACACATCCAAACAGAGTGACTGAGCAAACCAGACAGGGCGCTGTGCACTGGGGACTTAAATACAAATAAGAGGAAGAGGGGCCAGGTGTGGTGGCTCACACCTGTAGTCCCAGCACTTTGGGAGGCTGAGGCAGGCGGATCATGAGGTCAGGAGATCGAGACCATCCTGGCTAACACAGTGAACCCCCGTCTCTACTAAAAATACAAAAAATTAGCTGGGCGTGGTGGCGGGTGCCTGTAGTCCCAGCTATTCAGGAGGCTGGGGCAGGAGAGTCACTTGAACCTGGGAGGTGGAGGTTGCATCGAGCCGAGATCACACCACTGCACTCCAGCCTGGGCGACTGAGCGAGACTATCACAAAAAAATAAAAAAAAAATAAGAAATAAGAGAAGACGTACAGATGGCCAGTGAAGATGCTCAGCACTGCACTCACTAGGGAAATGCAAGTCAAGACACAGTGAGATCCCACCCCATGCTTACTAGGACAGCGATTTTTAAAATTTTTTTTAAGGAAGGCTGGGCATGGTAGCTTACGTCTGTAATCCCAGCACTTTGGGAGGCTGACGCGAGTGGATCACTTGAGGTCAAGAGTTCAACATCAGCCGGGCCAACATGGCAAAACCCCAATTCTACTAAATAGACAAAAATCAGCCGGGCGTGGTGGCAGGCGCCTGTAATCCCAGCTACTTGGGAGGGTGAGGCAGGAGAATCACTTGAACCTGGGAGGCAGAGGATGCAGTGAGCCAAGATCGCACCACTGCACTCCAGCCTGGGCGACAGAGCAAGATGCCGACTCAAAATATAAATAAATAAATAAATGGAAAATAGCAGGTTTTGACGGGGATGTGGAGAAATTGGTGGCCTCTTACATTGTTGGTGGGAATGAAAGTGGTGCAGCTGTGGAGGGAAGTGATTTGGCAGTTCCTCAAAATCCTAAACAGAATTGGTTTCTTAGGACTGCCGTAACAAAGCACCACAAACTTAGTGGCTTAGACAAAGAAACATGCTGTCTCCCAGTTCTGCAGGTGGGAAGTCCAAAATCAAGGTCTTGGCAGGCACAATGGATCATGCCTGTAATCCCACCACTTTGGGAGGCCAAGGCAGGCAGATCACTTGAGGTCAGGAGTTGGAGACCAGCCTGGCCAACATGGTGAAACCCTGTCTCTACTAAAAATACAAAAAACTACCCAGGTGTGGTGGCAGGTGCCTGTAATCCCAGCTACTCAGAAGGCTGAGGCAGGAGAATTGCTTGAACCTGGAGGGTGGAGGTTGCAGTGAGATGAGATCACACCATTGCACTCCAGCATGGGCAACAGAGCCAGACTCCGTCTTGAGAAACAAAACAAAACAAAACCGATATCAAGGTCTTGGCTGAGTTGGCTCCTTCCACAAGGGAAGGATCTGTTCCAGGCTCTCCCAGCTTTTGGCGTACCTGGCTTGTTGGTGCCACCTTCTCCCTGGGTGTCCACAACATCCTCCCTCCATACATGTCTACGTGTGTCCACATCTCCCTGTTTTAGAAGGACACAAGTCATACTGCTTTAGGGTGTGACATTTTAAGTTGATTACATCTGTAAAGACCCTCCTTATTTCCAAATAACATTACATGCTGAGGTACTGGTGGTTAGGACTTCAAGTATCTTTTTGGGAGTACATAATTCAACCCTTTACAGCATTTGATCCAGCAACACAGTGAAACCCCATCTCTACAAAAAATACAAAAATTAGCCAGGTGTAGTGGCACATGCCTGTAGTCCCAGCTATTTGTGGGGCTGAGGTGGGAGGATTGCTTGAGCCCGGGCTGTCGAGGCTGCAGCGAGCCGAGATGGTACCACTGCACTGGAGCCTGGGCGAAAGAGTGAGACTATGTCTCAAAGAAAAAAAAAAAAAAGTACTCGCCCAGAGAAACCGACTCCCCCGCCGCAGGCTTGTGTTACACTGTGGGCATCTCAACCCAGGCTCCATTTCCCATTCTCTCATTTAGCACAGTATAAAAACCCTACGTTACCTTGGAAAATGAAACTCCAGCTGCACAATTCCCTGCCTCTGAGCAGGGAAGCCTGAGGGCCAGTCTGAAGGCGGAGGCGAAAGCTTCTGAGCCTGTGACTCAGGAGTGCCCAGACGTGGTTTCTGGTCCCACCCAGCTGAGCTCCGTTAGTCACCCCGCAGGGTCACGAGCTTCACGCAGCCTCTAGGCGGCCAGATTGTGTTTCTTCCACCTGCTTTATCAGCCAGGAAACAGGAGCCCCTGACTAATCTGAAGCCCTGGCCTCAGAAGAAAACAACGCTAATGACTCAGAGGCCAGAGCTGAGACCAGACAGACCCGGTGTAGCCACTCGGGCCAGGCTGCTCTGCGAAGCTGCTGTTTCCTCTGCTGCCGAAGCGGTTTCTTCCACCCAGGGCGGTGCGGTGGTTTGGCGACTTAGAGGTTTGGAGGTCCCTTCTTCCTAAGAGTTAACTGTCCTGAAAAAGCCCAAAACAAGAGCGGCATGATCTTAAATCCTGGGGAGAGGACACAGGCTGCCTGGAGGGGCCGAGGGCACACCTAGAGCTGGGGTTTTGTTCTCACTCTGTTGCCCAGGCTGCAGCACAGTGGTGCGATCTCGGCTCACTGCAGCCTCAACCTCGCTGGGCTCAGATGATCCTCCCACCTTAGCCTCCTGAGAAGCTGGGACTACAGGCACGTGCCACCACATCTGGCTAATTTTTTGTAATTTGTAGAGACAGGGTTTCACCATGTTGTCCAGGCTGGTCTTGAACTCCTGGGCTCAAGCAGTCTGCCTGCCCTGGCCCCCCAAAGTGCTGGGATTACAGGCGTGCGCCACCGCGCCTGACCAAAGAGCTGGGTTTTGATTCCACATGTGGAGGAGGTGCCTGCCTAGGGCTGACTGGGAAAAGTGTCTAGGGCTGAGCTCACAAAGTGATGAGCTCCCCGTTGCCAGAGGGCTTCAAGCTGAGGCTGAGTGAGACGAAGCACGATGGAGTGAACGGTATCCCTGTGTTGGAAGGAGGGTGGGTTATGTGAAAAGTGTCCCTTGTGGAAAAGAGGAAAATAGCCCAGCCCTGGGCTCCACTTCCTTGAAAGCGAATTTGGTGTCTGCTCCTTGGACAGATCAACACAAGCACCTACCCTTCCCAGGCCGCCGTCCCTTCTTCACCCAGAAGGGGAGTTCAGGGAAACTGGGCAGACATGGGCAATCCCACTGGGTTGGCTGCTTCTGGCTGTAAAATTCAAATCTCTAAGGCCTCTCCAATAACACAGTCCTAAAATTTCACATCATCAGCAAAGTCATGACTGCCATCTTGAGCTCCAAAACACCCCTCAAATGCGCCTATCCCTCCACCCTGCAAGCCAGCATCTGGCCCAGGTCCGTCCCCGCTGTCTGGACTATTGCAGTCACTGCCTGGCTAGGATTCTGTCCACAGTTCATTGCCCACATGGCATCCAGAGAGCTCTTTCTAAAATGCAGATGAGGAGTCCCCTGTGTGCTGTGAATACACTCGACTCCCGTCTGTCCTCAGCACACACTCTCTGCCTGCTGCCGCACAAAGCTCCAGCCACACGAGTGTCTGTCTGTCTGTTCCTCAAATAGGCCAGGTCTTCCCATTTCAAGGCCTTCTGGCTATTTCCTGTGCCTGAAATGCCCGCCTCCACTTCTCTTTGTATTTCAAGCCTCTACTGGCTTAAATGTCATCCCTCAAGTCAGCCTTATATAAACATGCTTTTAAAAATAGGTCCGGCTGGGCACGGTGGCTCACACCTGTAATCCGAACAGTTTGAGAGGCCAAGGTGGGCAGGTCACCTGAGGTCAGGAGTTCGAGACCAGCCTAGCCAACATGGTGATCTCTACTAAAAATACAAAAATTAGCTGGGTGTGGTGGGATGCGTCTGTAATCCCAGCTATTTGGGGGTGGGGGGGGGTGAGGCATGAGAATCCCTTGAACCCAGGAGGTGGAGGTTGCAGTGAGCTGAGATTATGCCACTGCACTCCAGCCTGGGCAACAGAGCAAGACTCCATCTCAAAAAAATTAAAAAATAAAAATAGCCCAGGCGTGGTGGCTCACACCTGTAATCTCAGCACTTTGGGAGGCCGAGGCGGGTGGGTCACTTGAGGTCAGGAGTTCGAGACCAGCCTGGCCAACATGGTGAAACCCCGTCTCTACTAAAAATACAAAAATTAGCTGAGCGTGGTGGTGCACGCCTGTAATCCCAGCTACTCAGGAGGCTGAGGCAGGAGAATTGCTTGAACCCGGGAGGTGGAGGTTGCAGTGAGCCAAGATCGCACCTGTGCACTCCAGCCTGGCGACAGAGCAAGACTCTGTCTCAAAAAAATAAATAAATAAAATAAAATAAATAAAATAAAAATAGGTCCACTCTCCTGTGACTCCCCTACCCCTGTTGTCCATTGCGGCCTTCTGGGACCACCTGCTGCATGGGGTGGGGACCACAGTCAAGCCCAGAAATCCTTTTCCCTTTCACTGAAGCCTCCACCTCAAAATCCCTCATCTTCCCTTCTACTCTAGGGCTCTCTCACAAGCTGTCTCCATGGTCCCCTGTGGGTTGGAGTGACCCAGTCCAACCTCTCATGGTAGAGCTGAGCTCAGAAAAGATAAGCCAGATGCCTGCCACCTTCACCGGACTGTCAGGTGGCAAGTCTTTTCATTCTTTTTTTTTTTTTTGAGATGGGGTCTTGCTATGTTGCCCAGGCTGATCTCAAACTCCTGGGACCAAGTGATCCTCCCACTTCACCCTCCCAAAGTGCATCTTTTCACCCTTTTACTAGTGAAAGAAAAATCCATCCTCGAGGAGGGATGGAGTGAGTTTGGTCCAGCTTCACTTGAGCTCCTGGAGCTTCTCCTATGCCCTGGGAAACCCAGGTTCTGGCTCGCTATGTTCCCACGTTCCCCAGGTAAAGATGGGATTCCAGCCAGGTATCAGAGTGGGTGGGACCACAGGCTTTGGAGCCAGCTAGCTCCCAGTCAGTTACTACCTGCAAGTTTAAGACTATGAGCAAGTTTCTTATGCTCCCTGTGCCTCGGTTTCCTCATACCTCCAAGAACTGTGTGAGGATCTGGGAGCTAATGCTGGTGCCGTGCGGCTAACTTCAGCAGCCCCTCTGGCTGCCCACACGCCATCGCCTCCTCTCCTCCAGCCACCACCAGCCAAGGCAAAGGAACCTTCAGAGGGGCCATGCCTAGCCAGATGAGGACAGTTCCAAGGACATGCTGCATTTCTGCAATTACAGTGGTTTCTTCCTGGCTTGGGATTAGCCACTATATGTTGTGAAACTGCTGTCCATCTTCCAGCCAGCCCTCTTCACAGGCCTATCTCATGGTATAGTGTAGAGGGTTGAATCCTGTCCCTCCAAATTTTGTGTCCACCCGAAACCTAAGAATGTGACCTAATTTGGAAATCACATCTTTGCAAATATAATTCGTGTATTCGTCCATTTTCATACTGCTATGAAGAAATACCTAAGACTGAGTAATTTATAAAGAAAAAGAGGTTTAATTAACTCACAGTTCCACATGGGTGGGGAGGCCTCACAATCATGGCAGAAGGCAAAGGAGAAGCAAAGTCACGTCTTACATGGCAGTAGGTAAGACAGCATGTGCAGGGGAACTGCCCTTTATAAAACCATCAGATCTCATGAGACTTATTCACTATCATGACAACAGCACAGGAACAACCTGCCACCATGATTCAATTACCTCCCACCAGGTCCCTCCCATGACACGTGGGAATTATCTTGAGGCCGGGCACAGAGGCTCACAACTGTAATCCCAGCAATTTGAGAGGGCAAAGCAGGTGGATCACCTGAGGTCAGGAGTTCAAGACCAGCCTGGTCAACATGGTGTAACCCCATCTCTACCAAAAATATAAAAAATTAGCCAGGTGTGGTGGTGAACACCTGTAATCCCAGCTACTCGGGAGGCTGAGGCAGAAGAATCACTTGAACCCAGGAGGCGGAGGTTGCAGTGAGCCAAGATCATGCCACTGCACTCCAGGCTGGGTGACAGAGCAAGGCTCCATCTCAAAAAAAATAAAGAAAAAAGAATCTTGAGATATCATCCTGAATTAGGGTGGACTCTAAAGCCAATGGCAAGTGTACTTAGAAGAGAAGGGAAAGAAAAAGATGGGAAGACAGGAGAAGGCCACGTGAAGATGGAGGCAGAGGTTGGAGTGACGTGGCTGCAAGCCAGGGAAGACCAGAAGCCGGCAGGAGCTGGAGGAGGCAAGGAAGGATTCTCCCCTGCAGCCTTTGGAAGGTGTGGGGCCCTGCCGACCCCTTGACTTAGGACTTCTGGCCTCCAGAACTGACAGAATACATTTCTGTTGTTTCAAGCCACTCTTGACGAAGTATTATGGCAGCCCTAGAAACTAATACACATGAGCTCCAGTATTCCATTTCACACTGGCTTGGTGGATAGAATCTTGCTCTGTTTTTTGTTTGTTTGTTTTTAAGACAGAGTCTTACTCTGTTGCCCAGGCTGGATTGTAGTGGCACGATCTCGGCTCACTGCAACCTCTGCCTCCTGGGTTCAAGTGATTCTCCTGCCTCAGCCTCCCAAGTAGCTGGGATTACAGGCGGGTGCCATCACACCTGGCTAACTTTTTTGTATTTTTAGTACAAATGGGGTTTCACCATGTTGCCCAGGATGGTCTTGAACTCCTGACCTCAAATGATCCACCCACCTGCCTTGGCCTCCCAAAGTGCTGAGATTATAGGCATGAGCCAGGCTTGCTGTGTTTTTTAAATGCTTGTTTCTACATAGTGGCTGTTTTAAAGGCCTTTTTGCAACTGTGTGCATGAGAGCCTCACTCAGCATTGTCAGCTGTAGAAGCCGTGCCACACATAGCAGCCTCGTCCGCCTTACATCACTGGACGTTTCTGCAGCTGCCTCTGGTTCACGGCTCCCACCCTGCCTGAGTCAGCTCCCCTGGAGGCTGCTCTGGCCTGGGCTTCTCTGGTGGGTGTCAAAGCCAGCCGTGGTGGGTCGGGGGATGGTGTAATGACTGCAGCTTGAGAATGTGCATCTCACTCATCCCTCAGGGTGGTCCAGGGCCACCAGCCCACCATAGGCAGCTGCTCCTTTGTTGGTGAACAGTACGAATCCCACCGTCCCCCAAAGGGGACTTTCTTCCCAACATCTGCTTCTCAATAGCAAGAAACCCAAGAGCAAAGGGCTTTTTTTTTTTTTTAAAGAAATGGAGTCTCACTATGTTGCCCAAGTTTGAGCGCAGTGGCATGACCATAGCTCACTGCAGCCTTGAACTCCTGGGCTCAGCCTCCTGAGTAGCTGGGACCACAGGCTCTCGTCACTGCGTCCATGGAGGGCTTTTGAGATGTTAATTTGATAGCTTTTGACAGGGCAAGGTCTACTAGGAAGAGCAATATGAGCTGGGGCCCAAAAGCATTGGTTTGGACTGAAACCCCTGTAGCATGTGTGCCCATGAGGGGGTCAGTGGCGACAGTGACGGGGTCTGGAAAGGAGTAGCCCTGGCTGACGGGTTCTGAGGCTCACCACAAGGGACACCAACACCAGGCACTCCACACAGGGTCTCTCATTTAATCTGCACTGCAAGGCCTCGAGCCCAGGGCTCTCTGTCGTGTCATTTTACAGATGAAAAAAGCAAGGCTCAGCGAGGTTAAGCAACACACCCTTGGTCACACAGCAATTGGCAGAGCCAGGATCCAAGCCCGGGCACACTGGCTGGGAGTCTGTAGCCTTTAAACCATGTGATGGCTGAGAACCTGTGTTGTGCTGGATTCAGCTACGTATTAACTCACAAATTCTTTGGGTTGTTCCTGCTCACAGGGAAGGAACCAGCTTAACCCTGTTTGAATAGTTCCTGAATTGTTATGAGAGGTTATCAGAGTATGATATTTGATTGATATCCTCAGAGTATTCTCATTTTGTAGATGAGAAAATTTGGAGGGAGAGAGGGTATTGTACTAAATGTCTGGGAGGCCAGGTTAGCCACGGATTAAGGATCCAGACCCACGGCTGTTTGGAGTCTAGACTGTTGGTCAGCCCACCAGGCCACACACGTTCTCAATTCCCAATTCCTAGTGCTGGCCTGGGTGCAGGTTGATTTTGTGTGTCAACTTGGAGAGTGTTTTGGAGAAATTAACACTTAGATTCATGAACTCTGAGGAAGCAGATTGCCCTTTATAATGTGGGTGGGCCTCACTCAATCTGTTGAAGCACTGACTAGAACAAAAGTTGACCTTCCCTGAGCAAGAGGGGACTCTCCAGCAGATGGCCTTGGCCTTCCTCTGCACTGCTGGCTCTCAGGGGTCTCCAGGCTGCCAGTCCACGCTGTTGATTTGGATTTGTCAGCCCCAACAATCGCATGGGCCTGTTCCTTAGAGTAAATCTCTCTACACACATCCTGTAGAACCGTGACTGATAGTGGTTAAGTATCTCTCCAGAAATCTACATTTCTCTTGTGAGAAAACAGAACTCTCAACTTAAGAGGAAGCTAGGCCGGGTGCGGTGGCTCACGCCTGTAATCCTGGCACTTTGGGAGGCCGAGGTGGGCAGATCACGAGGTCAGGAGTTGGAGACCAGCCTGGCCAATGTGGTGAAAGGCTGTCTCTACTAAAAACACAAAAATTAGCCAGGCATGGTGGCATGCGTCTGTAATCCCAGCTACTCGGGAGGCTGAGGCAGGAGAATTGCTTGAACCCAGCAGGTGGAGGTTACAGTGAGCTGAGATCGAGCCACCGCACTCCAGCCTGGGCAACAGAGCAAGACTCCGTCTCAAAAAAAAAAAAAGAGGAAGCTACCTGTCTCAGGTAATCCTTTCAAACACCGTCAGGCATATGCTGCATCCCCATTTTACAGAGAGGAAAATGGAGGCCAAGGTCGGTGAAGTGAAATGTGCAAAGACCCACGGCAATTTATTGCTTAAGACAGAACTAAGCCCCTCTTCTAGCTCCAAAGTCCATGGTTTTCCACTCTCACCTCCCACACCCCCTTTCTCACCATCCCACACACTCCGGCAGCCCCAACTTGGGGGAGAAGCTGACAGTCACTTGGCTCGCTGGCCTAAGGTCCCCTGCCACCAACAAGGACAACTCCCTTGCCAGCCTTCCACCCACCCGCCTGGTTTAAGGTCTAACGCTAATATTAGGTGCTGCCTGGCCTCTAAAACTGGAAGGGCCTTGAATGGCTTAACTGCAAGCTCCCCTCCCCACTCTCCAGCCGGGCCTTATCATGGCCCCAGGCGCATCTCCTGTTTATCCCTGAGCAGCAGGCTTCACTTCCCAACCACCCCAGGAATTAGTCACATGAGCCCATCACATCCTCCTGTGGGAACCAGGGGGACCCCGTCCTCTTGTTACTGCAAAGCCGGCTGCCCACCACCCCTGCGGTTCACTCTGCCCTCGAGTGCTGCCCCGTGTGGCCCTGCCTGGACGGAGTACTCCCCCTCCCAAGCTGTGAGTGATGCGACTAGCAAACAGCTGTGCACCTCAGGTGTCCCGTGTTGGATGCTGTGTTTGACCATCCCGAAACCCCAGTGTGGGAATCCCTCCCTCACCAACAGGGTGGAAAGGAGGCGATCAAAACGCACCTCTGGTGCAGGGGCCGTGGGGAGAGAGCTGCTGCTAGGGGGTGGGCAGGCCACCTGGCCAGCCAGGCAATGTGGCGGGGCAGTGGCCCAGTGACATCAAGGATTAGGAGACAGGCCACGTCTAAGGCGGCCTTGAATATCGAGGATTCTGTGGAAATCAAAAGGACAAACAACTCAAATGCCTCTGGTGTCAACGACAACCAGCAGACATGTCAGTCCTGGAGGCATGGTCGGACTCTGGATGGGACAGTCACGGGAACAGCTGCCTATCTGATAAGGGGCCGCCAGGGAATTCACAGCAGTTTCCAACAGCAGAGCCCCACAGAGAGCAGGGACAAGAGACCTGGGCCCGGGAAGGAGACAGGGACAGGACTCTTTGGGGCAAGTAGGAGAGAAGGATTAGCAATACCGCCCCCTAGTGGCTTCCGCAAGTGCCCGGCCTGTTAGGAACCCGAGTTCCTTGCTTTGGGGGTGGCGGCAGTCACAGGGCATTTACTCCTTCCTGTAACTGTCACGTGAAAGCAGAATGACACCGGCATGGGGGGTGACTTTTCCCCAACACTCAGCCTCTTGGGTCGTGGAATATGGATGCTTGTCATGAAATGGCTGAGCTCCAAGTATTCCATTCCCCTTCAAATTTTCCAGACTTCCCAATCTCCCCCATCGGGGGTTCCCTACGCTGAGGGCCTGGAGTCTCCTGAGCTTTGGAAATTGCATGTGTCCGGCTCACTTGCAGAGGCTGACTCCGGATCTGGACAAAGCCCAGGCTTGAGGTGATGTTCTTTTGTTTTGCTTTTGAGCACAGCCAGCTCCACAGACTCAGAGGGCCGGAGGAGACAAGGAGGAACTCGAGGGAAGAGAAGACCTGGAGCAGGAGGGGCTGACACCAGCCCTCACTTCATCCCAGACTATACAGACTCACCAAGGGCTCTGACCAGGAACAGAGACCAGAGTGATTTCAAAGAAAGAATCTGTGATGACACTTGAAATGGCTTTTATAGATAATATTTGATGACGGAAGGAGACATCAGGTTGTTCTGGGTATTAAGAAAACAGAGGCTGGCCGGGTACGGTGGTTCACGCCTGTAATCCCAGCACTTTGGGAGGCCAAGGCGGGTGGATCACAAGGTAAGGAGTTCGAGACCAGCCTGACCAACATGGTGAAACCCCGTCTCTACTAAAAATACAAAAATTAGCCAGGCACGGTGGCAGGCGCCAGGTACTTGGGAGGCTGAGGCAGGAGAACCACCTGAACTCGGAGGGCGGAGGTTGCAGTGAGCCGAGATCACGCCACTGCACTCCAGCCTGGGCAACAGAGCGGGACTCCATCTCAAAAAAAAAAAAAAAAAAAAAAAAATACCAGCACTTGGGAGGCTAAGGTGGGAGGATCGCTTGAAGCCAGGAGTTCAAAACCAGCCTGGGTAACATAGTGAGACCCCAGGAATGAGATCTACAAAAGAAAAAATTTAAAAATGAGCATGGTGGTGCATGCCTATAGTCCCAGATACTCGGGAGACTGAGGCAGGAGGATTGTTTGACCCTGGAGGCTGCAGTAAGCCAAGATGGTACCACTGCACTCCAGCCTGGGCAACAATGAACCCCTATCTCAAAAGAAGAAAAAAGGGCCAGTCTATTACCCCCTCTGTATAATCATTGCTACAAATTTGTTACAGACTCTTTGAAAGGGGCAACACCTGTTGCTTCACGCCATCACTCAGAACTGAAACTTGAGGGAAAAACAGCCCTCTCTGCAGGGGACCCACATCAGTGGAAATATTTTCCCCTCCATGCTGACCTTGTCTACGCTAAGGCAGGACATAAGGTACAGGGGCCAGCAGAAGAAAGTGCCCTCCACAACCACCACCTCTCACAACTGAGTGCTTAAAACCACCACAGAATTTGCTAAAAGCAGGACATGGAAGGTAACAGCTAGATGACACGTGGTTCTGCCTTCGATCTGGGACAAAAGGGCCAGGCCAGAGACGGAGGACCACCCAACTGCATCCCCAGAGGCTGCGCACAGGCAGGCGTGGGGTCGACTCCCAAGGGGAGGGTGACAGGGAGGCCGGGTGACGAACAGGGCAACTCCAGACAAAATGGGGATTCATGCCAAGTGGGGAAGCAGTGGGGGACCCCAAAACACCCAGCCTGCCCAGAGAACACACCGGGTACCCTAGATGACAAGGATATCCTGCTCCTAGAAAAATCTAGAACGCCCCATCCGATCACTTTCCGTTCTCTCTTGCGTTGCCTCTCGACCTTCTCGGCTCGGCCCTTCTCACTCCAGGCTACAACCCAGTCTCCAACCCAGCTCTCCCAGGGCGCCTCACCACTCTGTTTTCCCTGTATTTACTTATGTTGGTCTCCCCAAGCCAGGATGTAGGCCCCAAGAGGGTGGTGGCTTTTGTCTGGTTTGTTCCTGAGGTGTCCTCTGGTACCCAGAGGATATTTGATAGACATTTCTTGAATGAATGAATGAATGAATGAATGAATGAATGAACAAAGGCATGGCCATGCACATACTGCTTTCATCATCCTCTCCCACCCCTGTCTGCTCAACAGTGTTCCACTCTGGGTCTGGCCATCGGGGCGGAAGCCGGTATCTAAGGCCACTCTGTTCCCAAGACCGGACAGGGGCGCGGATCACTTAGAGGAGGTGGGGCGGAGACATGGGACCTTCAGGCCTAAGGAAGCAGGACTGCTGAGTGGATTCAGTGGGGACAGTGACCCCCAGTGGCCACTGAGAATTTGTGCATGAAAACAAGTGTGTTACTTCAATATGCCAGGCAAGGGAAGTACAATCTGGCTCAGCTTCCAGCTGCATTAACTCAGTCTCTCGTTTCTCTGTGGGTGACCCCCCCCTACATTTTCTCTTACCCCTCTCCCCTACCAAAGCAAACAAAGTCCAAGGTTTTCTAGCTGTAGAGACTTTTTCTGATGAAGAAACAGGCACAGACCCATGAAGTAATTTGTCCAAGTCTGTCTGTCCTACACACACACCCAAGGTTGAACTGTAGCTTAATAACCAGGGAGGCTGCAGAAGTCCTGGGAGACCCCAGACCAGGGAAGAAGGGGCTGGAGCAGCTCATCCTCCACCTCCTCCCTCTCCCCATTTGATGTTTCCAGAGCCAAGGACTTGGAACCTATGTTGTTTAAGTGAACGCTGACAACTATTTAGGTAAGGAGGGCCAAGGGCATCGTTACACAGATGTGCTTTCAGCAAAGACGACGGAAGTGGATATAAGGGAGGAAACTGGAGTAAACGAGGACCCCAGGAGACTTTCTCCCCTGCCCCGTGGCACATCCTCCTGCCCCTCTCTGCTAGAGGGCCCTGGCCCTGTGGGCACTTGCTGAGGATGGCTGGGCCCGTTATCCACGATAACCCGAGGAGGCACCGCATACCCCTGTCCACCGTACGGGCCACTGCATAAAATGAAGGCTTCACCCTCTGCTGCCCACGCTGAGCCTCCAACTTTCTTCCTTCAAACGCCGACCTATCCTCACAATCCCAGATTCCAGGGAAGTCAGGTCAAGTTCTCCCAAGCAGTCTCCCCAAGCCTGAGACTGATTTTCTTCTAGGCACCCCCAGCAGCAGGAACTAATATTCAACAGTAGAGTTGCTAGAGACATCTGGAAATACTGCTCAAAACAGAAACAACGACCCCTCCAAGTACAGATCCAGAACCATGAGAAGGATCTTCAACCCAGCAGCCACTGTAAGGTGGAAGCCTGCCCAACCTTCAGGCTGGGCTCCCTTTGCAAAAGCTTTCCCAATACACTGCCCAGATGGTTGCAGGCAGTTTTAGACTATGACACTGAAGTGACTTCACTTGGTCTTTTATTGCCAATTTTGATTTATATTTAAGGATGATGGCTGAGAACAGGCAGGCCATCAGGGGTCCCCCACCCCAACTCCCACAATCAATGCACAAGAAACAGATTTGTAAAACCTAATACTGTTCTTCTTTTTCTCTTTTTTTTTTTTTTTGAGACAGAGTCTCGCTCTGTCGCCCAGGCTGGAGTACAGTGGCACCATCTCAGCTCACTACAAACTCCGCCTCCCGGGTTCAAGCGATTCTTGTGCCTCAGCCTCCCGAGTAGCTGGGATTACAAGTGTGTGCCACCGCGCCTGGCTAGTTTTTGTATTTTTAGTAGAGATGGGGTTCCACCATGTTGGCCAGGCTGGTCTCAAACTCCCAACCTCAAGTGATCCACCCACCTTGGCCTCCCAAAGTGCTGGGATTACAGGTGTGAGCCACCACACCCAGAAAAACCTAATACTGTTCCTCCCCAGGTATGGCCAGGAAGCAGGCTGCTCAATAAGGACAGGGGACCCATGGTCATTCATCTGTCTGCACAGGATCAACAACTGCAAACCGCACCTCACGCCAGCCACATGACACTGAAAGCTGTCTCTTTTCAGAAGAGCTGATGGCACCTCCTGCATACTGTCCTTCAGTCCGCGGCCCCAGCAAAGGAGGATGTCAATCAGTGACGGGGCAGAGATAATCAAGAAAATGCTTTCGGCTGGGCGCGGTGGCTCACGCCTGTAATCCCAGCACTTTGGGAGGCTGAGGTGGGCAGATCACGAGGTCAGGCGTTGGAGACCAGCCTGACCAACATGGTGAAACACCATCTCTACTAAAAATACAAAAATTAGCCGGGCGTGGTGGCGGGTGCCTGTAATCCCAGCTACTGGAGAGGCTGAGGCAGGAGAATCCCTTGAACCTAGGAGGTGAGGTTGCAGTGAGTGGAGATTGCGCCACTGCACTCCAGCCTGGGTGACAGAGCGAGACTCTGTCTCGGAAAAAAAAAAAAATGCTTTCAGTGGAAATGCATTTAACCAGAACAGACCGTATCCAGGGAAAGTTTTTTCCCTTAGATTTCTCAATCTTGGCTGCGCATCAGAATTACTCCAGGAGCTTTAAGAAATCCTAATATTCAGAACATACCCCAGACCGATTAGGCCAAATCCTCCGAAGCGGGAACCCAGGCACTGGTATGTCAGCTCTTAGGTGATTTCAGTATGCAGCTACAGTTGAGAACCACCCGTCAAAACAGATACCATTTGACCAGGCATGGTGTCTCACGCCTGTAATCCCAACACTTTGGGAGGCTGGGGAGGGAGGATTACTTGAGCCCCAGGAGTTCGAGACCAGCCTGGGCAACATGGAAAAACCCCGTCTCCCCTAAAAATATAATAATTAGGCCAGGTGCAGTAGCTCACACCTGTAATCCCAACACTTTGGGAGGCCGAGGCAGGCAGATCATCTGAGGTCAGGAGTTAGAGACCAGCTTGGCCAACATGGCAAAACCCCATCTCTACTAAAAATATAAAAATTAGCCGGATGTGGTGGCACACACCTGTAATCCTAGCTACTCAAGAGGCAGAGGCAGGAGAATCGTTTGAACCCAGGAGGCGGAGGTTATAGTGAGCCGAGATTGTGCCACTGTACTCCAGCCTGGGCGACAGAGTGAGACTCCATCTCAAAAAAAAAAGAAAAAAAATATATATATACACACATACTTGTGTGTGTGTGTATATATATATATATGTATCATATATATGTGTGTGTGTGGGTGCATGTGTGTGTGAAATTAGCATGGCATGGTGGCACATGCCTGTAGTCCCAGCTACTCGGGAAGCTGAGGTGGAAGGATCGCTCGAGCCCAGGAGGTCGAGGCTGCAGTGAGCTGAGATAGCGCCACTGCACTCCAGCCTGGGCAACAGAGCAAGACCCTGTCTCAAAAAACAAAAAAGATACTTTTTTTGCTTTGAAAAACCAATCTAAAAAACTAACCTATTTAGATACCAAATTGCATATGAAATAAAATCTCAATTCTCTTTTTAGAATAAATAGATCCACAAAAATGCTAAGGAAATATACTACAACATTAACGAGGGTTACTTCTGGTGGGAAGATGATGGGTGATACCCATCTTTTTCACTTCACTTAGTTACTAAAAGAATAAGCATCGTCACCTTTAAAATCAGAAAACAAACACAACTACCTTCCAAAGTTTAATCAATCAACTCCTTAGAAGTGAAATCTAACAATCACTTCAAATACTCTAAAATTCGACAGAGTAAAATCTCAAATTACTTTCTCATCTTCCTAATTCTTATTGAAAAGGAGTCCCTCCATGAAGTGTGTGCACTTTCACGAGGATGCCAGGGAGGACTCACTGATTTTCACACTGGATAACGTTGAACCGCTCCAGTTTCAGAAACTCATCAAAAAGAGGATTTACTACGTTAAAACGTTCATGTCCCAAGTTAAAAATGGATACTGAATACAACAGCATCCATATTTCTGGAGAAAAATCAGTACACATGTCACTTCTGTTATAGAAATCCATTTACAGTGTGTCCCGCTCCATGGAAGCCCTGGTCTCAGGCACCTCCAGCTTTACCGTCTCCCTGCACACACCGGGAGCCTGGTAGGCTTCGAGCAGAAGCCGAGGTCCCATCAAGGGTCCAGACTTTCCGTGCCTCCTTTGTTTTCATCGAGTCTGGGCCGCTTTAGCTCTGGGGGACTGCCCTGAGCGTCTCCAGGCGTCTCTGCAACATTAACAAACATAAGGTTGGCAAGTAAATGAAGAATTCTGGAAGTCAAGGGCTGACATTTACAGAATACAGAGCCAAGACACGGAACTGAGCTGCCTGGCAAGATCCTATACTGATATAATGGAAGTTCTATAGAGTGGCTCTCAACCAGGGGCGATTTTGCCTCTCAAGGGACAGTGGGCAATGTCTAGTGGCATTTTTGAATGTCATGGGCAAGCTGGGCGCGGTGGCTCACGCCTGTAATCGCAGCACTTTGGGAGGCTGAGGCGGGTGGATCATTTGAGGCCAGGAGTTCAAGACCAGCCTGGCCAACGTGGTGAAACCCCCGACTCTACTAAAAATACAAAAATTACCCGGGTGTGATGGCGCACGCCTGTAGTCCCGGCTACTCGGGAGGCCGAGGCAGGAGAATTGCTTGAACGTGGGAGGTGGAGGCTGCAGTGAGCCGAAATCGTGCCACTGCATTCCAGCCTGGGCGACAGAGCAAGACTGCATCTCAAAAAAAAGAAAAAAAAAAAAAGAATGTCATGGGCAAGAAGTAGCAGCCGGGGATGCTGTTAAACATCGCATAATACACAGGACAGTCCTCCACAACAAAGAATTGCCTGGCCCACAAGGTCAGCAGTCATCAGGTGGAGAAACCTGAGCTAGACAATCTCCTGCTGAACCCACTCCCTGGCTCACCAGGATGCTCTCACTGGCCAGGTGCCCCCTGCTGAGGCGTAAACAGGCAGCCGGCGGGTTTAAACAATGGTTCCAATAAGATGCATCCCTGCTGTCTCAGAACTGACTTAAAATTAGGCGGCATTAATTTCCAAAAGAACAAAAGAAAAGATACTCTACCTTTCATTATATTAAACCAGTAACAATATTACTTACCTGACTGAATTTCTTCTGTAGAAGGGGTGGAAATCACACTGGTTGGTACAGAACTTGGTGGAGTGTCCGTCTTTAAGGGTGTTAAGTTTATTCTCCTTGATTTAAAAAAAAAAAAGTAGAGGGGTGATGGCTCATTAGTATCACAGGAATTGTTTATGTATGATACCAACCTTCAAAACTACCAAAGGAAATACTTAAATTTTCAGCTGAACTTCTGGTTCAAGGCATTAAATAGTAAGATGTGCCCACTTGTTTAATAACTGAGGATTACATTCATGTATTAAGTTAAACCATCACATTTATAACAGTCAACTTAAACCATAACCAGTCATCGAAAAGTTTCAAAACCTGTGTTCTGTTCATTACCGACGGTCTTGTGAACACTCTGCTGGCTGCTGTAAAAGGCAGTCAGATATGGTTTCTATATATAGAAAGCGTCGAAACACAGGTAATACTTTTTTAAAATCCAGAGCGTTGGGCCGGGCAAGATGGTTCGCACCTGTAATCCCAGCACTTTGGCGGGCTGAGGCGGGCAGATCACTTGAGGTCAGGAGTTTTCGACCAGCTTGACCAACATGGCAAAACCTCGTCTCTACTAAAAATGCAAAAAGTCAGCCAGGCATGGTGGCGCATGCCTGTAATCCCAGCTACCTGAGAGGCTGAGGTAGGAGAATCACTTGAACCCAGAAGGCGGAGGTTGCAGTGAGCAGAGAGCATGCCATCGCACTCCAGCCCGGGCAACAGAGCAAGACCCTGTCTCAAATGAATAAATAAATAAATAAAAACCCAGAGTCTTAATTTTCAACAACTATTCTTGTTTGCAAAAGATTACATCTTCAAGAAGCTTGGTAAATAATTCAGAAGAAATCAAGAGGGGAAAAATAATTTAATACCAAAAATAGTTCAAGGAATACCTTCCGTCACATAAAAACAAACAGAAAAATTGTAAAATACATTGCTAATCTGCAGAAAGAAATGAGAGATTTTAAGAGGGCGTTAAAGCCAGCAACCCATACACATATTATGAACTTGCCAAAGAAGACCTATTGGCGCAGGAGAGGCTGAGAGGCACAGGGCGCTTCTGTCCAGCTCACCATCCCCACCACTCCCCTCTGCATCCCCCTTCCCAGCTCTCCTCGTGACTCAGTTTATGGGAAGGTTGGGAGGCAGAGGGCTTGGTGGAGAAGGAACTATACAGGATCAGAGGGGTAACTGGACATCAGCTGCAGGGGAAGAATGGAAACAGGAGGCTGTGCTGCCTGACGGCAGAAGGATGTGCTAAGTGGCTCTGTATCCAGTAGAAGTGGCAGACACAGGCGTGCGTGCCAGCCACACTGATGTAAGCAGGGAAGAAACGACTCTGCACCTCCTGGGGATTATTTGTTATCAGATCAGGACCTCCGTTTCTCACCGACCAGGCTGCTGGAGACATCAAACGCAGTCTCAGGAAGACACTCCTGGAATTGCCTACATCCTGGGCAGAACAGCATAAATAAAAAATGGGACCTGCTTCCTGTCCTTGGGGGCTCACAACCAGCAGGGGAACTGGAGCATCAAAGCACCTGCTATGGAATCTGATGTGTGGTGACAAGGGAAAGGCTGAAGGGCCACAAAGACTGCAAACAGAGAGGGTACATTGAAATGGGTCTTTCAGGAGACTCCTGGCATCACCAAGAGGAAGAGGTGTCCAGGGCTTCCCCAGAGAAGGGAAGGACAGAGGCCTCAAAGGGCAGAGAGTGCTCTGGGAAGATGACATTCAGGACTAGGCCGGAGATGAAGGCCACAGACTCAGGAGAGAGAGTGGCCACAGTCCTGGATGACAGGCTGCAGCCAAATCACAGTCTGTGTGTGTGCATAGGAGCCTGGGCTTTATCTGACAGGCAGAAACTGGAGGAACAAACAGAGGCCTATATGCAAGAAATGACACTCTCGGATTTGAAGTTAAGAATCTCTCTGGCAACCTACTGGCATGAAGCATTCACCGCCTGAAATTTCACCTGCAGCAGGGTGGGAGCGTTCTGTCTGCATTTTGTGTTTCATTTTGCAATGACATCTTGTTCCAACAAGTTCTTACCGGGGTGTTGTCTTGCTCCAGGCTTGCAGTGTGTTCAGAGTGACCCTCCGGGATGGGTGGGCTTTTGTGTTTTGACTACTGGGCTGCAGGGTCTTCTCCTCCGAAGGCCCCGGCAAGGGGCTTTTGACAGCAGGAGTGATGGAGGGAGGGTCCCTGATGACTGTTGGGGCTGGGGCCTGTCTGGCCTGAGGGGGAGTCGTGCCGGGGCTGCTGGGGTCTTGGGTTCTGCTGGCAGGGGTTCCCTCTACCGGTCTGGGTCCTGGCGAAGACCCTCGATGTGTCTGACTCTTGGTTTTCTTTGCTGTATCAGGAGTTCTCATGTTCAAAACTGGCTTCTCTTTCAAAGGAATTCCAAGTTCATCTTTCTCAAATGTCACAAATGAGCAGTAACCGTCCGTGGAAGAAATGGCCAGGAAGGCACCATCGCTGGACCTTCGTCCCCAAAACAGGGAAAAGTTACAGACCTTACCAACACTCTCACATCTACTTAGAAGAGGGAAGTTCGAGCAAAATCACAAGCTTGTTTGAAGGCAAAAACCAGGGAAAAGATACAACTGGAAAAGAGTGTGTGATAGCGACTCACTCATGCAGTTTCATCGCGATTTGCTAAGTCGCTGCAACCTATCTGTGCTACTAGCAATTTTCACTTGAATAGGCCGGGTGCGGTGGCTCACGCCTGTAATCCCAGCACTTTGGGAGGCCAAGGCAGGTGTATCATTTGAGGTCAGGAGTTCAAGACCAGCCTGGCCAACATGGTGAAACCCTGTCTCTACTACAAATACAAAAAAATTAGCCAGCCATGGTGGTGGGCGCCTGTAATCCCAGCTATTCGGGAGGCTGAGGCAGGAGAATTGCTTGAACCCAGGAGGCGGAGGTTGTAGTGAGCCACGATCGTTCCACTGCACTCCAGCCTGGATGACAGTGAGACTCTGTTTCAAAAAAAAAACCTCACACTGGGCCAAGCAGGCCACGGGGGCTGAATTGGGGACCAAAAGGTGGCAGAAGGACAGTGCTGAGTGACATCCTCTACACAGGCCCAGCTTGGGGCACTTCCCTGTCCTGGGCAGCAGGGGCATGCAGGGAAGGGCTTCCTCCCAGAGGGCCTCAGAAGTCCCCAAATGGCCAGGGAGTCTACAAGGCCTCCCCTCAGTTTATCAAAGTCCAGTTAACCCCACAAGGCAATCTGAATGCCATCAAAACCCACCAGTGTGAAAATAAGAAGCAAGTATTGTGGCAAACTAGAAACGGCTTTCCTTTTAATGTTGATTCCTTTAAAAAACAAAATTGGGGCCGGGCGTGGTGGCTCACGCCTGTAATCCCAGCACTTTGGGAGGCTGGGGCAGGAGGATCGTTGAGCCCAGGAGTTTGATACCAGCCTGGCCAACAGGGCGAAACCCCATCTCTACTAAAACCACAAGAATTAGCCAGGCGTAGTGGTGCGCACCTGTAATCCCAGCTACTTGGGAAGCTGAGGCATGAAAATCACTTGAACCTGGGAGGTGGAGGTTGCAGTGAAACGAGATCACACCACTGCACTCCAGCCCGGGTGACAGAGTGATACTTGGTCTCAAAAAAATAAATAAGAAACAAAATTGGTGAATATGTCCCCCAAAGCCATCTTTAGTAATGAAATGCTCCCTAACCCCGGGGTGTCTTCCAGGATACAGCCACGGTCTCCTTCACTCACTCTCCCTCATTAGCAGCCACTCACCATGAAATGTCACTGAGGGTGTGGTAATGTATATTAGACACGTAACCAAAAGGGAAGGACTGCTGGGTGTCATACAGAAGCACGGAATCCTCCGAGGCCACAGCAAACACCAGGCGGTAGGGCAGACTCATCAGCTCCACACCTGGGGGTTGGGGACAGAGACAAAGTAAAACCACAGAAACAAGGCTTCTGACCAGGTGCAATGGCTCACGCCTAGAATCCCAGCACTTTGGGAGGCCGAGCCGGGTGGATCACTTGAGCTCAGGAGTTTGAGACCTGCCTAAGCAACATGGCAAAACCCCGTCTCTATCAAAAATACAAAAATTAGCCAGGCGTGGGGGTGTGTGCCTGTAGTACCAACTACTCAGGAGGCTGAGACAGGAGAATCGCTTGAACCCAGGAGGCGGAGGTTGCAGTGAGCTCAGATTGCACCACTGTACTCCAGCCTTAGTGGCAGAGGAAGACTCTGTCACAAAAAAAAAAAAAAAGAATATTTATAAGAATAAAAATACATCCAGCATCCACTAAAGTAAAAGTCAGTGTCTAGTATCTAATCAAAAAGTACCAGGCAAACAAAAACAGGAAGATATGACCCACAATGAGGAGAAAAAAATCAAAACCAACCTGTATACAAGGACATTAAAAGAGCTATTATAACTGCACTCTATATGCTTAAGAAGCAAGAGGAAACTGAGGCGGGCAGATCACCTGAGGTCAGGAGTTCGAAACCAGACTGGCCAACATGGCAAAACCCTGCCTCTACTAAAAATAAAAAAAGTAGCTGGGTGTGGTGGCGCACACCTGTAATCCTGGCTACTTGGGAGGCTGAGGTGGGAGATTCACTTGAACCTGGGAGACGAAGGCTGCAACGAGCCGAGATTATACCACTGCACCCCAGCCTGGGCAACAGAGCAAGAAAAAAAAAAAAAAGAAAGCAGCAAGAGGAAAAATGGAGCATGGAGAGGCACAGAATATATAAGGAAAACCCAAAGTGAATCTCTAGAGATGAGAACCACAACAAAGAAAAACACACTGGATGGGACCAAGGGCAGAGCATGCAGAAGAAAGGGTTAGCAAACTCAAAACACAGCTATAGAGACTTCCAAAATCAAACACTGGAAGAAGAAAAAAACAAAAAAAGTAAGTAGTATCAAAGGCCAGGAACTAATTTCAAAGGACCTAATATAATACATGTGTAATGGGAGTATTTGAATAAGAGAAGGGAATAACAGAAATAACATTTGAAGGAAAAATGGCTGAAACTTCCCAAATGTAATAAAAACTATAAACGGATAGATCTACGAAGTTCAATGAACCCCAAGCACAAGAAAACAAAGAAAATGGCTGGGCATGATGGCTCACGCCTATAATCCCAGTACTTTGGGAGGCCAAGGTGGGTGGATCACCTGAGGTCAGGAGTTCGAGACCAGCCTGGCCAACATGGCAAAATCCCATCTCTACTAAAAATACAAAAATTAGCTGGGTGTGGTGGCATGCGCCTGTAATCCCAGCTACTCTGGAGGATAGGAGGGAGAATCCCTTGAACCTGGGAGGCAGGGTTTGCAGTGAGCCAAGATTGCACCACTGCACTCCAGCCTGGGCGACAGAGCAAGACCCCATCTCAAAAAAAAAAAAAAGAAAAAGAAAATTGATAATGAGAGACATAGACAAACAAAAGGAGTACGTCCATTCCTTTTAAAGTGCCTTAAGCAAGAAAATATATCCTGAAGAAAGAAAAAAAAAAAAAAACTGACATGTATTTTGATAACCCCAGTCTTTGCTCCAGCTTTTAAAAATAACTAAACCAGGCCGGGCACAGGGGCTCACACCTGTAATCCCAGCATTTTGGGAGGCCGAGGCAGGTGGATCACTTGAGTCCAGGAGTTCAAGACCAGCCTTGGCAACATGGTGAAACGCTGTCGCTACCAAAAATACAAAAATTAACCAGGCTGATAACCTGGTCTCAAAATAAATAAATAAATAGATTTAAATGTAAAAATAAAATATTTTTAAAATAACTGAACTGAACCAAACCCAGATACCCACCTTTCCCCATAAGACAGAATCCAAATCTCCACCCCACTCTGGTGACCTGTTTCGGAGAGAAAACATAACACACCCCTGAGGCTCTGAGGATACCTGTTTCCACCACTGGCCTCAGTTCAAAGTAGACCGGACAGCAGCGAACAGCAAGAGTGGCTTTTCCAGGACATGGAAGATGAGCGATGGGCCTAATGGATTAATTGCAGTGTTAGGAAAAGGCACTGTGACTAAGCAAAAGCAAAAATAAAAGGTAAACATTTTGGCAGGGCGCGGTGGCTCACACCTATAAACCCAGCACTTTGGGAGGAGGAGGCAGGCGGATCACCTGAGGTCAGGAGTTCAAGACCAGCCTGGCCAACATGACGAAACCCCATCTCTACTAAAAAAAAAAAAAAAAAAAAAATACAAGCCGGGTGCAATGACTCATGCCTGTATTCCCAGCACTTTGGGAGGCCGAGGCAAGCGGACCACTTGAGGTCAGCAGTTTGAAACCAACCTGGCCAACATGGTGCAACCCCATCTCTACTAAAAATACAAAAATTAACTAGGAGTGGTGGCGGGCACCTGTAATCCCACCTACTCAAGAGGCTGAGGCAGGAGAATCACTTGAACCCGGGAGGCAGAGGTTGCAGTGAGCAGAGATCGCACCATTGCACTCCAGCCTGGGCAACAAGAGCGAAACTCCGTCTAAAAAAAATGTAAACATTTCAAACATTTCCTTGACTGCATACCTTTTAAGATTCTTCCTGGAGAAAACATAAGTGGTATTCATTACATTTTCACCAGATTCCACACATCCAGCTGGGGAACAGGGAAGGGAGGGAGAGGAAAGAAAAGTCACTGTTTCAGCAAACTGTTCACCAACAGAAACTCAAGAGCCTTCAGGTCCGGTTTGCAAAATACTTCCCCCTGCAGTTATATTCTCTGGACAATGTTGTGACAGAGCACAAAAACATATATTCCGGCACTGTCTGTTCTCAGCCCTTACTCCAGTTCTACCTACCTGTCATCTCCACCTACCTGTGGGCAATCCCCGGGGACCTGGTTCTGATCTTGGGCGAGGAGAACATAGTGAGCCTTTGCCATAGGGCACCGTTGAGCCTCCAGGCAATTCCTCGATTGAAGCACCGTGACTAGATTCAGCTGCCCAGGCTCCTTTCTCCCTAGGACCCTCATCTCTATTTCCTGGATTCCAGCCTTGGATGCCATCCAAAGGCTGAGACTCGCCTTTCCCCAACTTCCCTATCCAGCCATGAGGCTGCCAGGAGACCTTGCCCTCTGCTGAAACCTCCAGCCTCCTTCAGAACCTGACTTCACTCTGGGGAACAGTCCCCATCTGAGAGCTCTTCTACACTCACCCCCTGCTGTACTTAAAACAGTTCAGCCCTGTCAGAGTGACCATCATACACTGCTGCTCTTGGAAACATCTCCCTGTTTTATGCTATTTCTTGATACATATACACACACGTAACTTTACATATGACTGTTTCATATCCACCAGGGAGGGCAGTAGACAGTATCAATAGTCTTTTTTATTATTATTATTAATACATTCTACATAGCTGCCCTCTTTTTTTTTTCTTTGAGATGGAGTCTTGCTCTGTCACCCAGGCTGGAGTGCGATGGCGTGATCTTGGCTCACTGCAACCTCCACCTCCCAGATTCAAGCAATTCCCCTGCCTCAGCCTCCTGAGTAGCCGGGATTACAGGCACCTGCCACGATGCCCGGCTAATTTTTGTATTTTTAGTAGAGAGGGGGTTTCACCATGTTGGCCAGGGTGGTCTCGAACTCCTGACCTCAAGTGATCTGCCCTCCTCCGCCTCCCAAAGTGCTGGGATTACAGGCGTGAGTCACTGCACCCAGGCCCCTCTTTTCATCCCACTCCATTCTTCCATCCCCAAGAAATCCATTTTAACATTCAACAAACCATTATGTCATCTGTATATTTCCTCCATGCTCACATAATCATTACAATCAGTTATAACTCAATCACATGTATACCTCTATGATATTTTTTATTGAGTCCATTTGTTTTACAAAACTGACACTTCTCCTTATTTTGCTTGTTTCAATCAACTACTCATGAAAGTTAACTTGCATAGCACTGATGCATTATTTTTTTGTAGCTGCATAATATTTACTGCAAGATTCATTCACCCAGCCTCTGTTAATGAGTATTTTTTTGGCTTTTGGTTTTTTACCACTATAAACAATGCTTGCAATAAGCATCCTTGAACATATACTTTTTTTTTTTTTTTTTAGACAGAGTCTCACTCTGTTGCCCAGGCTAGAGTGCAGTGGTGCGATCTTGGCTCACTGCAACCTCTGCCTCCTGGGTTGGAGCGATTCTCCTGCCTCAGGCTCTTGAGTAGCTGGGATTACAGGTGTGCATCACCATGCCCGGCTAATTTTTGTATTTTTAGTAGAGACAGGGTTTTGCCATGTTGGCCAGGCTGGTCTTGAACTCCAGACCTCAGGTGATCCACCCACCTTGGCCTCCCAGAGTGCTGGGATTACAGGCTTGAGCCACCATGCCCAGCCAGTTTCCAGTCTTAATTGGGTCTTCTCCATTCCTAGAATGTCCTCCTATATTTCCTTACAAGAGTTTTCTATTTTTACCTTTTGTGTTTAAGTACTGAATTCACCTGGAATTTATTTTTTACATCTAGGCAAGGGGTCCAATTTTACCTTCTTCCACATAGCTGGCTACCCCAGCACTACTCATTCAATAATAGAGTCCTCCCTTTGCAAGATCCATCTCTTGTACAACATGGTGATTATGGTTCATAACAATGTATTATATTCCTGAAAAATGCTAAGAGATATAAAGCGTTCAAACCACAGAAATCCTAATTATGTGAGACCATGCTATGCTAATTAGCTAGATTTAGTCATTCCACAACATATATATACTTCAAAACATCATGTCATACACAACTACATACAATTTCATCTGTCAATTAAAAAAAAAAGGAGGCCAGGTGCAGTGGCTCACGCCTGTAATCCCAGCACTTTGGGAGGCTGAGGCGGGTGGATCACCTGAGATCAGAAGTTTGAGACCACCCTGGCCAACATGGTAAAACCTCATCTCTACTAAAAATACAAAAATTAGCTGGGCATGGTGGCCGGCGCCTGTAATCCCAGCTACTTGGGAGGCTGAGGCAGAAGAATCACTTGAACTCAGGAGATGGAGGTTGCAGTGAGCCAAGATCACGCCAATGCTCTCAAGCCTGGGCGACAAGGGTGAAACCCTCTCAAAAAAAAGAGGAATAGGTCTTTGTCCAATCTCAACACTTCCCAACCTTCTTAATGACATACTCTTGTCCTATCTGCCTTCAGTGTCTAATTCTCTTGAGAATTATTTAAGTAACATACAATTAATTACAAATAAATAATAGATTTTTTTCCACTGGAACAGCACCTGAGGTCATATATTAAATCGCCTTATATCCTGAGATCTTTTTCTGGATTCTGTGTTCTGGTCCACTAATCTATTTGTTTGGTCCTATAGCAACACCATATTGATTGGCTAAAAGTAGTGTTATAGGATCTTCTGATATGTGGTGAGGCAAATGCCCTCCCAAGTATCACTGTTTTTTTTTTAATACTTCTTTGGCTATTCTTCAGCATTTATTCTACTAAACAAAGCTGAGATTTCATCCAATTAAAAAAAAACTTTAATGCAATTCTAATTGGAAATGAAATTAGTATGTTAATTGTTAGAACACGACATATCTTTCCATTTGTTCAGAACTTGCTTTATAACCTTCAGTAAGACCTTCTAGACTTCTCCATAAAGGTCCTGCCCCTTTCTCATTAAATTTACTTCTGCCTGGGTGTGGTGGCTCACACCTGTAATCCCAGCTCTTTGGGAGGCCGAGGCGGAAGGGGTGCTTGAGCCCAGGAGTTTAAGACCAGCCTGGGCAACATAGCAAGACCATGTCTCTACAAAAAAATAAGAAAATTAGCCAGGCATGGTGCTACACGCCTGTGGTCCCAGCTAGTAGGGAGGCTGAGGTGGGAGGATTCCCTGAACTCAGGAGATCAAGGCTGATGCAGTGGGCCATGATCACACCACTGTACTCCAGCCTGGGTGACAGAGTGAGACCCTGTCTCAAAAAATAAATAAATAAATAAATTTACTCTATGTATTTTGCAGGTTTTGCACTACTCTGAATGAAATATTTCTCCTCCTTCCATTTCTAAGTACTCACTGCCAATATAGACGAAAGATAGGAATTTTTATATATTTTATAATATCCAGCCATCTTATCAAATTATTTTAAAAATTCTAATACTATTTTTAAAATCTCTTGGATTTTCTAGAAATACAATCCTATTGCAGTTTTTTATCTGTTCTTTTCCAATCTTTGTAATTTCATTTTCCTGTTTTTCCCACACTTACTAACACCACAAAGAACAATAACGTTGATAACAGACATCCATTTGCTACTTGATTTTAATTGAAAATATTTTTAGAGTGGCCAAATAGTAAAGGATTTGCTACTGGGGCTGGGCGCAGTGGCTCACACCTGTAACCTGTAATCCCAACACTTTGGGAGGCCAAGGTGGGCAGATCACCTGAGGTCAGGAGTTTGGGACCAGCCTGGCCAACATGGCGAAACCCCATCTCTACTAAAAATACAAAAATTATCTGGTTGTGGTGGCAGGCGCCTGTAATCTCAGCTACTCAGGAGGCTGAGGCAGGAGAATCGCTTGAACCCAGGAGGTGGAGGCTACAGTGAGCCAAGATGGTGCCACTGCACTCCAGCCTGGGTGACAGAGCGAGACTCTGCTTTTTAAAAAAAAAAAAAAAAAAAAAAAAAAAGGCCAGCGCAATGGCTCACACCTATAATCCCAGCACTTTGGGAGGCCAAGGTGGGCAGATCACCTGAGGTCCGGAGTTCGAGACCAGACTGACCAACATGGAGAAACCCCGTCTCTACTAAAAATACAAAATTAGCTGGGCGTGGTGGCGCATGCCTGTAATCCCAGCTACTCCGGAGGCTGAGGCAGGAGAATGGCTTGAACCCGGGAGGCGGAGGTTGCTGTGAGCCGAGATCGTGCCATTGCACTCCAGCCTGGGTAACAAGAGCGAAACTCCATCTCAAAATAAATAAATTAATAAATAAATAAAATAAATAATTTAAAAAAAAAAAAAGGGCCGGGCGTGGTGGCTCAAGCCTGTAATCCCAGCACTTTCGGAGGCCAAGGCAGGCGGATCACAAGGTCAGGAGTTTGAGACCAGCCTGACCAACATGGTGAAACCCCGTCTCTACTAAAAATACAAAAATTAGCTGGGAGTGGTGGCGCACACCTGTAATCCCAGCTACTCAGGAGGCTGAGGCAGGAGAATCGCTTGAAACTGGGAGGCGGAGGCTGCAGTGGTGAGCCAAGATCGTGCCACTGCACTCCAGCTGGGCAACAGGGCAAAACTCAGTCTCAAAAAAAAAAAAAAAAAAAAGGATTTATTACTGGGTTTAGTGAATAACTTTTAATAACTAACTTTAGTAAATATAACCTAAACAACTACTTATTCTTAGTCCTGAGACTTCTTGGGCCAAAGTGTCATTCGCACATGTTCCGCAGTGTTCTTTAAAGCCCCACCCACACAGCTGCATGTGTGATTCACGCCCTTCTCAGGCCCTCCCTGGCTCAGCTGGGATGGGACTCAGTGGCAAACCAAGACAGTGCCCTCCCGTTTGGCCCAACCCTGGGCTATGTTGTCATCTCTATGCACAGGATGGTCCTGGAGCCACGGCAATGAGCAGACATTCTCCTCTGAGAACACTGTGGCCACAATAATGCCTAGCCTTATCTTGCTGGGCTGAGCCCCTTGCCTTCCTAGGGACATAGGGACAATAAACCTATCTAGTCCTTGCTACTTGGCTGACCTTTTGATTTTGACCACTGCTGCTTCCACAAGTTTGTCCATGAGTCTAATCCTGTCACAAATGCGCTTTATTGAGGAGAATAAAAACAATAAAGGAGCTTTATCTTTGGCTTTAGCGCTATGGCTTCCATACACATGTTAATGAATGAAAAAGCATTCATTGAAAGGGTTTAAATAGTAAAGTTTCTTTTTTTTTTTTTTTTTTTTTTTTTAGATAAGATATCACTCTGTCGCCCAGGCTGGAGTACAGTGGTGTGATCTCGGCTCACTGCACCCTCTGCCTCCTGGGTTCAAGCGATTCTCCTGCCGCAGTCTCCCAAGTGGCTGGGATTACAGGGTATGCGCCACCACATCATTAATTTTTGTATTTTTAATAGAGAGGGTGTTTCACCATGTTGGCCAGGCTGGTCATGAACTCTTGACCTCAAGTGATCCGCCCGCCTCAGCCTCCCAAAGTGCTGGGATTACAGGTGTGATCCACTGTGCCCAGCCAAAAGTTAAATTTATCTAAGAGAAAATGCCTATCATTTTAAACTCATTACTCCCAAACTTTTCTGCACATTACAATCACTTGGAAATCTTCTTAAAATTCCAAAAGCCAGGCCACCCAGACCAATTACATACACTACAATCTCTAGGGATGGGACATAGGCACCAATGTGTTTTTTGAAGCTCTCCTGGAGGTTCCAATGGGCAGGTAAGTCGGGGACCCCCACTCTAATCAGCATTCACTGAGCTGATAAGCTGCAGCGTAAAACGGGAGCAGACATCCCCACTCGGCCATCATTCCTTTAAGTCCAAAGCTACGAAACACACCTGGCGTGAGAAGCAAAGATCCGTCGGGAGTGAAACTCAGTCTACGGAAGAAAGACTTCATGCTGTCGTCGTGAAACATCCGGTAGCTTCTTGCCTGTCGCACACAAAATTTATTTTTATTATTTTTTTTGTTTGTTTTCTACACACAAAGCTTAAACATTTTTCCAAATCTTTACACTCACAAATAAACGCTTCCCAACTGCTATATGTGCCTATGGTTTTCTTTACATAGTGTCATTTATTGTTGACATAATCATAAATGAAACTGAAACACATTACAAATCAAATAATTGTACAACACTGCAAGGGTAAACATTCATGAAAACTGACCACACATTTTTGTTAGGTAAAGCTATATGTATATATGTGTGTTTTATGTGGTTCTAAAATTATTTTTAAAAACTCTTAAGAACACAAACCACAGGGTCAATAGTGGCATGTCTGGGGCCTGAGACTGGCAGACAGTGGGAAGATGACCAGGAGACCTCTGCTTTCTATCTGTGTGGATTCATTAGAATTTCCAACTGAATGCACTCTTTAGATACAGAGTCTCGCTCTGTCACCCAGGCTAGAGTGCAGTGGCGCAATCATAGGTCGCTGTAACCTAGAACTTCTGGGCTCAAAGCAATCCTCCCGTCTCAGCCTCCTGGGACTACAGGCACATGCCACCACATCCAGCTATTAACAAATGCACCCTTTAAAAAAAGAAAATAGTGGATTATTAAACTGGTAATCATTAATCTTTTAAAACAACATTTCTTTAACACCTGTCTGGGACAGTTTTTACTACTATTTATAAACATCAAGCATTTGCCAGACATGGTGGCTCACACCTGTAATCCCAGCACTTTGGGAGGCCAAGGCGGGCGGATCACTTGAGTCCAGGAGTACGAGACCAGCCTGGCCAACATAGCAAAACCCCATCTCTACTAAAAATACAAAAATTATCTAAGTGTGGTGGCACACGCCTGTAATCCCAGCTTCTCGGGAGGCTGAGGCAGGAGAACCGCTTGAACCCAGGAAGCAAAGGTTGCAGTGAGCCAAGATCGTGCCACTGCACTCCAGCCTGGGTGACAGAGCCAGACACTGTCTCAACAAACAAACAAGCATTTAATTCTTAAGAACACAAGGAAGCCGGCATTACTATTCATATATATATATATGTAATAGATATATTTTTATATATATAAAATATATAATATAAAAATATATATTATATATAATATAAAAATATATATTATGTATAATATAAAATATATATTATGTATAATATAAAAATATATATTATGTATAATATAAAAATATATATTATGTATAATATAAAAATATATATTATGTATAATATAAAAATATATATTATGTATAATATAAAAATATATATTATGTATAATATAAAAATATATATTATGTATAATATAAAAATATATATTATGTATAATATAAAAATATATATTATGTATAATATAAAAATATATATTATGTATAATATAAAAATATATTATATATAATATAAATATATAACATATTAAAGTATATATTATATATAATATATACAAAAACATATATATACACATATTTTTTTTTGAGCCAGAGTTTCGCTCTTGTTGCCCAGGCTGGAGTGCAATGGCGCAATCTCGGCTCACCGCAAACTCCACCTCCCAGGTTCCAGTGATCCTCGTGCCTCAGCCACCGGAGTAGCTGGGACTACAGGCATGCGCCACTATGCCCAGCAAATTTCTGTATTTCTAGTAGAGACAGGGTTTCACCATGTTAGCCAGGCTAGTCTCGAACTCCTGACCTCAGGTGATCTGCCCACCTCTGCCTTCCAAAGTGCTGGGATTACAGGCTGAGCCACCGCACCCGGGAAGCATTACTATTCTTACTTCACAGGTGTGACCTCTCAGTGCCTGTCAGCGCCCAGCCCACACTGCCTTACCCTGGTTCCTTGGATGCATTTGCACCATGTCCCCGTGTGAAGCCAGTAACCAGCTTGCTCCCCGCACCTCGCTGCCTGCCTCGGTAGCCTTGATTCCTTTACAAAAAGGGTCCTATTTTCATTTGCCAATTATTTGAAAGTCAAAATCCTTCCTATTCCTAAATACCAGTGTTTTGGCTGGGTCTCTGCTGTCTGCTAGCAAAACTCTCTACCTACCTGCCAAGATAGTAAACTGCCTGCTGCCAGACAGATCCAACGCTCGACCTGCCTGTCTTCTGTTGCCTCGTGTAGGGATCTTCCCAGATCAGTAGTGACCAGCCCTTGCTATACCTGAGAATCATGGAGGCCCTGCTTACCTCCAGCCAAGTGAATCACGCCACTCAGGTTGGGGCCAAGGCATCCATATTTTTATTTTTATTTTATTTTTATTTATTTATTTATTTTGAGACTGAGTTTCGCTCTTGTCACCCAGGCTGGAGTGCAATGGTGTGATTTCAGCTCACTGCAACCTCCACCTCCCAGGTTCAAGCAATTCTCCTGCCTCAGCCTCCTGAATAGCTGGGATCACATGCATGCACCCGGCTAATTTTATATTTTTTGTAGAGACAGGGTTTCACCATGTTGGCCAGGCCAGTCCCAAACTCCTGACCTCAGGTGATCCACCTGCCTCAGCCTCCCAAAGTGCTAGGATTACAGGCATGAGCCATCATGCCCAGCCTTATTTCATTTTATTTTTGAAATCGAGTCTCGCTCTGTCGCCCAGGCTAGAGTGCAGTGGCATGATCTCCGCTCACGGCTAAGACCTCCGCCTCCCAGGTTCAGGTGATTCTCATGCCTCAGCCTCCCGAGTAGCTGGGATTACAGGCATGCACCACCACAGCTGGCTAATTTTTGCAATTCATTGAGATGGGGTTTGGCCATGTTGGCCAGGCTGGTCTCAAACTCCTGACCTCAAGTGATCCGCCCACCTCAGTCTCCCAAAGTGCTGGGATTCCAGTCATGAGCCACGGCGCCCGGCCAGCACCCATATTTGTAATTCTTCCCAGGTGATTCCACCGTGCAACCAGGGTTGAAAACCACTGTCCTGTCCTCCATCAGTGGCTCTACCCTGGTCTCCAGATGTCCCCATTTCCATACAGACTAGCCCACCACAGTAACTGAGCCTTGACTGTCCAAAAGGAAGCCTTATTGTAGTTCTGGAATCGGCTCTTTGTGGCCAGTGATTTGGCTGCAAGGGTATGGGAGGAGCTCATGACTTCCTAAGTCTCAGTTAAAGCGCTGCTGAAAAAGAATGGCAAAATATTTTATACCTCTCCTTCAGCCCCTATTCCAGACAGCATCTTCGAAACATTGAAAGCCACACGCTTCTTCTGTATACTGTATACTCGCAGCACCCTGAAGAAAGAACATGTCTGATTTACCACTTCTAGTAAATGAATTATGCTTCACACAGAAACAACTTATTACCAACAGCCTATTACCACCGCAACAGTTTTCAGCCTGCAAAAGCTTTTACCAATGATATTCACAACTGGGTAATTAAGAAGGAAGCAAGTATTAACAACCTAAAGGATATTACAGGCCGGGCGCGGTAGCTCACGCCTGTAATCCCGACACTTTGGGAGGCAGAGGCGGGTGAATCACTTGAGGTCAGGAGTTCGAGACCAGCCTGGCCAACATGGTGAAACCCCATCTCTACCAAAAATACAAAAAATTAGCCGGGCGTGGTGGTGGGCGCCTGTAATCCCTGCTACTCGGGAGGCTGAGGCAGAAGAATCACTTGAACCCGGGAGGCAGAGGTTGCAGTGCTGAGATTGTGGCACTGCACTCCAGCCTGGGCAACAGAGCGAGATTCTGTCTCAAAAAAAAAAAAAAAAAATTGGTAAGTCACATTACTCCCACTAGCTAATCAGATTGTTTTACTGATGACTGTCTGAATAAAACACACTTGTCAGAAAATAAATGGCATTTAGAATACAACAGAAGATTCTATGAAAAATAAACACTAACTCCTCCCTACCACTTTTATTCCAAGGCCATCTTATATTCAATTTGTTTTATTTAAAAGTAGTCAGATAAATATTCAAAAGGACTATTAAGTAATATAGGAGGCACTCCTCATTTTTTCTAACTCTTTGTTCCAACAATACAATTAAATGCAATTATGCCAGTAAACACGACAACAAGACTTCTTTTCAGAAAGCACAAAAATAGTTTATTTTTATATCCATTTAAATGGAGTCATTAAAATAACTGGGCTGGGCGAGGTGGCTCACGCCTGTAATCCCAGCACTTTGGGAGGCCAACGCAGGCAGGTCACCTGAGGTCAGGAGTTTGAGACCAGCATCGTCAATACGGTGAAACTCTGTCTCTACTAAAAATACAAAAATTAGCCAGGCATGGTGGTACACACTTGCAATCCCAGCTACTCAGGAGGATGAGGCAGGAGAATCGCTTGAACCTAGGAGGTGGAGGTTACAGTATGCCGAGATCGCACCACTGCATTCCAGCCAGAGTGACAGAGTGAGATTCTGTCTCAAAAAACAATTTAAAAAAAATAAAAATAAAAATCACCGTAGCACACCTGTAATCTTAGCACTTTGGGTGGCCAAGGCAGACAGATGGCTTGAGCTCAACAGTTCGCGACCAGCCTGGGCAACATGGCAAAATCCCATCTTTACAAAAAAATATAAAAATTAGCCGGGTGTGGTGGTGCACACCCGTAGTCCCAATTACTTGGGGGGCTGAAGCATGAGGATTGCTCGAGCCCAGGAGGTCAAAGCTGCAGTGAGCTGTGATTGCACCACTGCACTCCAGCCTGGGTGACAGAGTAAGCCCCTCTCTCAAAAAAAAAAAAAAATAGTAATAATAATAAAGATTTACTAAGTTCAGGGCGGGGCATGGTGGCTCATGCCTGTAATCCCAGCACATTGGCCAAGGCAGGCAGATCATTTGAGGTTAGGAGTTTGAGAACAGCTTGACCAACGTGGTGAAACCCTGTCTCTACTAAAAACACAAAAATTAACCGGGCATGGTGGCATGTGCCTGTAATCCCAGCTAATAGGGAAGCTGAGACAGGAGAATCGCTTGAAACCAGGAGGCAGAGGTTGCAGTGAGCTGAGATTGTGAGATTGCGCCACAACACCTGCCTGGGTGACAGAGTGAGACTGTGTCTAAAAAAAAAAAAAAAAAAAAAGATTTACTAAGTACAAACTTCGTGTAAGGCACTTGTCCTAATTAATTTCCAATTTCTGATTATGTTGTAAGAATGAGTATGAAAACAAGAACAAAAGAATCAAAGTTAGACTATGATAAATCTTGGCTAAGTTACGATAAATACCTCTCTTCAGAAAATTCCAAGTAAATACAAAGAAATTCCAAGTAAATGCCAAAGCTGAATTTACCTGTCACAGCTCAGAGTAGCAACATATTGACCCAAAGGGTCCCAGGTTACTCCTTGGACATAACTTTTATGTTCATTAAAAATTGATATCTTTTGTCCTACAAAAAAAACACACACACACGCACCAAAACAGCATTACCAAAACCTGTTTGAGCCCAAATAGTATAAACTATGACTTAAATATTATTCCCTTTACCACGCATCACTCAGCAGGCAGTAAGTGAGAGACTCTGTACTAAAACCCTGTGTCAGGCTCTGGGGTCACAAAGATGACTTCATGCAGTCCCCACCCTCAGGGAGCCCACAGATCAGACAGACCCATCAACAAGCAAGGATCACACATGTGGACCGGGGGAGGGGAGCTGACAGCACAGGGCGGAGGGTCTGAGAAGATCTAAGTTCAGTTCCCCAGGTCAGGCAGGATGAAGAGGGGATGAAGGGTGGAAGAAGGTATTGTCAGGGAATCCCTGGGTTAAAACAGCTTAGCGAAGTGAATATGGAGCAGGGAGAGGTAGCTGAGAACTGCTAATGGGTACAGAGGAGGGCCAAGAACAGAAGATAAGGAGGAAAGGAGAAGTATTACAGAGACCTTGTGTGTAAGGAAAAGGCTGTGAATTCAAGCTGAGAAGCTGTCTGCATTTTAAAGGTGAAACAGGTTTAGAAGATGACAAAGAGGGTCACTAGTTAGGAGGTGACCGAGTAGACCAGGAGAGAGATGAGGAGGGCCCAGAGCAGACAATGCGAACAGGGATGGAAAAGGGACTTCGGGGAAAATATTTAGCACACAGAGATCGCCTGCATAAAAAGACAAGAGAGTTATGAAGCCTTGGCCATTCCTTTTTTTTTTTCTTTTTTTTTTGAGACAGGGTGTGGTTCTGTTGCCCAGGCTGGAGTGCAGTGGCGCCGTCAGAGCTCACTGCAGCCTCAACTTCCCAGGCTCAAGAGACTTAGCAGCCCTAGTAGCTGGGACTATAGGCATGTACTACCACACCCAGCTAATTTTTGTATTTTTTTGGTAGAGAGAGGGTTTTGCCATGTTGCCCATGCTGGTCTTGAATTCCTAGGCTTGAGCAATCCTCCCAAAGTGCTGGGATTACAGGCCTGAGCCACTGTGCCTGACAAGTCATTCTTTTTTTTTTTTTTTTTTTTTTTTTGAGGTTTTTGGTGAGGTTCAGTAACAACCCATCACACTTATGATAAAACCTAAAATCCTGGCCAGTCGCAATGGCTCATGCCTGTAATCCCAGCACTTTGGGAGGCCGACGCAGGCAGATCGCTTCAAGTCAGGAGTTTGGGACCAGCCTGGCCAACATGGGCAAACCCCATCTCTTCTAAAAATACAAAAATTAGCTGGGAGTGGTGGCGGGCGCCTGTAATCCCAGCTACCTTGAGGGCTGAGGCAGGAGAATTGTTGAACCCGGGAGGCAGAGGTTGCAGTGAGCTGAGATCGCACCACTGCACTCCATCCTGGGGAACTGAGGGAGACTCCATCTAAAATAAAAAAAAAAACCACACAAAACAAGACAGAACGGAGGATGGAGGATGGCTTGGCTGGACAGCATGGTACTAAAAAGAGCAAAAATTTTTATAGACTGGATGAGAACTGGGCTGACACAGTGCTGCGGTGGCAGCCAACAACAACTGCCCTACCCAGGTACTTGAGTTGTAGAATTGGCAGGAAGAGGTTTGGGAGAAAACAAAGTTTGAGTAAAGGATGGCAGGGGATAAAAATGATTAGGAGTTAGCCATACTTGCTTTTGGCATTTCACAGCTATTTTCACACCACTATAACTTTTCACATGTCCACTGTCTCCCCAACTAGAGAACAGAATGTCCCTGGCTTTCCTTGATCTTCTAAAATGGAAACCTGATCCCACCTACCCCATCAACTAGCATGCAATGCCCTATAAATTATAAGTGACTTGTTAATCTTCCCGAGATCCTAACCTCCATAAAGGCAGGGCCCGGGCCTGTCATCTTATCTGCTGGCCCCACCATGTGGGATTTGCCTGGCTTCAGCATCAGTAACTTGCAGCACCAGTGCTAAGCCTCTTACCCTCTGACAATCCATAGCATATGGGACTAACCCCTATCCTGTTGAGCCAACCACCTACTTTAGTTCACTAAAACAATTTTTTGTGTTGCTTTTAAAGTTAAAGCAAGTAGGCCGGGTGTGGTGGCTCATGCCTGTAATCCCAGCACTTTGGGAGGCCGAGGCGGGTGGATCACCTGAGGTCAAGAGATAGAGACCAGACTGGCCAACGGTGAAACCCCGTCTCTGTTAATGATACAAAAATTAGCCAGGTGTGGTGGCAGACACCTGTAGTCCAGCTACTCAGGATGCTGAGGCAGGAGAATCGCTTGAACCCGGGAGGTGGAGATTTCAGTGAGCTAAGATTGTGACATTGCACTCCAACCTGGACAAGAGCGAAACTCCGTCTCCAAAAAAATAAAAATAAAAAATAAAGTTAAGGTAAGTTAGGGCCAGGGGCAGTGGTTCATGCCTGTAATCCCAGCACTTTGGGAGGCTGAGGCGGGCAGATCACCTGAGGTTAGGAGTTTGAGACCAGCCTGGCCAACATGATGAAACCCGTCTCTACTAAAAATACAAAAATTAACTGGGTGTGGTGGTGCATGCCTGTAGTCCCAGCTACTTGGGAGACTGAGGCAGGAGGATCGCTTGAATCTAGGAGGCAGAGGTTGCAGTGAACCAAGATCGCACCACTGCACTCCAGCCTGGGCGGCAGAGTGAGATCCTGTCTCAAAAAAAAAAAAAAAAAAAGTTAAAGCAAGTTAGACTTTTAGGCTTTTATAGATGCTTAGAATATTTCTTCCTGCTAATAACAAAAATATATCATTTACCTTTGCTGACATCCCATATGATGGCTGTGTTATCCACAGAGGCAGAAGCCATTAAATTCCCATCAGTTGCCCAGCAAATATCATACACATCTTCTAAGTGGCCCCTAGAATCCAAAAACAAAGAGGAAAAAAGCAATTACTCCCCAGGTATAGCAGCTTACCCCTGTAATCCCAGCACTTTGGGAGGCCAAGGTAGACAGACTGCCTGTGGTCAGGAGTTCAAGGCCAGCCTGGCTAACACAGTAAAATCCCATCTCTACTCAAAATACAAAAATCAGCCAGGTGCTGTGGCTCACGCCTGTAATCCCAGCACTTTGGGAGGCCGAGGCAGGCAGATCACAAGGTCGGGAGATCGAGACCATCCTGGCCAACATGGTGAAACCACGTCTCTACTAAAATACAAAAAATTAGCCAGGCGTGGTGGTGCACACCTGCAGACCCAGCTACTCAGGAGGGTGAGGGAGGGGAATCACTTGAACCTGGGAGGCAGAGATTGCAGTGAGCCAAGATCGCGCCACTACACTCCAGCCTGGCGACAGAGTGAGACTCCATCTCAAAAAAAAAAAAAAATTAGCCAAAAAAAAAATAGCCAGGTGTGGTGGCGCACACCTGTAGTCCCTGCTACTTGGGGGCTGAGGCAGGAGAATCCCCTGAACCCAGCAGGCAGAGATTGCAGTGAGCCAAGATCATGCCACTGCACTCCAGCCTGCGCAACAGAGTGAGACTCTGACTCTAAACAAAACAAAACAAAAAGCAATTATTAACTCAAAAACGGACAAGTTATCAAAAATATAAGGACAATCTCCAGAACTAAGCATTAAAATGAGATTCCAAAATTTCCACTGGCACTATATTAGCTATAGCTATAAAAAACTACTTTCAAGGATAGCTATATCTGACCGGTCGCAGTGGCTCACGCCTGTAATCCCAGCACTTTGGGAGGCCGAGGTGGGCGGATCACCTGAGGTTGGGAGTTTGAGACTAGCCTGACCAACATGGAGAAACCCCGTCTCTACTAAAAATACAAAAAAATTAGCTGGGCATAGTGGTGCAGGCCTGTAATCCCAGCTACTCGGGAGGCTGAGGTAGGAGAATCGCTTGAACCCAGGAGGCAGAGGTTGCGGTGAGCCGAGATCATGCCATTGCACTCCAGCCTGGGCAACAAGAGCAAAACTCCATCTAAAAAAAAAAAAAAAAAAAAAAAGGATAGCTGTATCTTTAAAATTGAATACTTTTTACTAAGAAAAATGTATAGCCGAAACTAAGAAAATCCATTTTAATTATGCTTTCATCCTTTAAAACTATTGTCTTAGGACTGTTTCATATAAATAAAACTTCTAAATTAGACCAGCCTGGGCAACATAGTGAGACCCTGTCTCCACAGAAATTTAAAAATCCTCTCCCTCTCCCTCTCCCTCCACCGTCTCCCTCTCCCTCTCCCGCTCTCTCCACAGTCTCCCTCTGATGCCAAGCCGAGGCTGGACGGTACTGCCGCCATCTCGGCTCACTGCAACCTCCCTGCCTGATTCTCCTGCCTCAGCCTGCCGAGTGCCTGGGATTGCAGGCGCACGCCGCCACGCCTGTCTGGTTTTCGTATTTTTTTGGTGGAGATGGGGTTTCGCTGTGTTGGCCGGGCTGGTCTCCAGCTCCTAATCGCGAGTGATCTGCCAGCCTCAGCCTCCCGAGGTGCCGGGATTGCAGACAGAGTCTCACTCACTCAGTGCTCAATGTTGCCCAGGCTGGAGGGCACTGGCGTGGTCTCCGCTCGCTACAACCTCCACCTCCCAGCCGCCTGCCTTGGCCTCCCAAAGTGCTGAGATTGCAGCCTCTGCCCGGCCGCCACCCCGTCTAGGAAGTGAGTAGCGTCTCTGCCCGGCCGCCCATCGTCTGAGATGTGGGGAGCGCCTCTGCCCCGCCGCCCTGTCTGGGAGGTGAGGAGCGTCTCTGCCCGGCCGCCCCGTCTGAGAAGTGAGGAGCCCCTCCGCCCGGCAGCCGCCCCGTCTGGGAAGAGAGGAGCCCCTCCGCCCAGCAGCCGCCCCGTCTGGGAAGAGAGGAGCATCTCTGCCCGGCAGCTGCCCCGTCCAGGAGGTGGGGGGCAGCCCCCGCCCGGCCAGCTGCCCCGTCCGGGAGGTGGGGGGCGCCTCTGCCCGGCCGCCCTGTCTGGGAAGTGAGGAGCCCCTCTACCCGGCCGCCACCCCGTCTGGGAGGTGTACCCAACAGCTCACTGAGAACGGGCCATGATGACGATGGCGGTTTTGTCGAATAGAAAAAGGGGAAATGTGGGGAAAAGATAGAGAAATCAGATTGTTGCTGTGTCTGTGTAGAAAGAGGTAGACATAGGAGACTCCATTTTGTTCTGTACTAAGAAAAATTCTTCTGCCTTGGGATGCTGCTAATCTATAACCTTACCCCCAACCCCCTGCTCTCTGAAACATGTGCTGTGTCAACTCAGGGTTAAATGGATTAAGGACGGTACAAGATGTGCTTTGTTAAACAGATGCTTGAAGGCAGCATGCTCCTTCAGAGTCATCACCACTCCCTAATCTCAAGTACCCAGGGACACAAACACTGCGGAAGGCCACTGGGTCCTCTGCCTAGGAAAACCAGAGACCCTTGTTCACTTGTTTATCTGCTGACCTTCCCTCCACTATTGTCCTATGACCCTGCCAAATCCCCCTCTCCGAGAAACACCCAAGAATGATCAATAAATACTAAAAAAAAAAAAAAAAAAAAAAAAAAAAAATTTAAAAATCAGCAGGGCATGGTAGCATGCACCTGTAGTCCCAGCTATTTGGGAGGTGAGAGGATCACTTGAGCCCGGGAAGTCAAGGCTGCAGGGTACTGTGATCACAGTACAGCACTCCAGCCTGGGCGACAATGAGACCCTATCTCAAAAGAAAAGAAAAAAAAAGTCAAAAGGTATATTCCATTTAATGCACTCATCGTAAACAGAGATCACTGCCATGGTCCCTCCCAAGTTACCGCAGAGTCTTCACAACCGTCCAGTTCTCCTTGTTCAGCTGGGCCTCGTCCTCATCCTGAAAAGCGATCTGCTCCGGCTCCTTGTTATCATTCACCTTCCACAATAGGATGACAGCATCTGCAGGGTGATTCAGTAACAGTGATCCACGCTTCACCCACACTCCTTCATATTAGGATTTTTATTTTCATTTTTTTTTTTTTTTTTGAGACGGAGTCTCACCCTGTCGCCCAGGCTGGAGTGCAGTGGCGCAATCTTGGCTCACTGCAACCTCTGCCTCCCAGGACCATCCTGGCTAACTGTCTCTACTAAAAATACAAAAAAATTAGCTGCATGTCAGGATTTTTAGGGTATTAAAACAACATTTATGTTGTTCAGTGGACACTATGGCCAGGATGATTTACTTCCAAGCATTTCAACAGGGAAAGTAGGCAAATTGCCTTCTGAGCTAAAACTCCAAAATCAAATTCATAACAGATCAGAGCTATACAAAATCACCTTAAACAGAAGGGTCCCTAGGCCAGCAAATGCCACTGCAAAATGACTGGCTACATTAATAAATCTGAAGGCATAACCTATAAATAGCTGAATAGAAAAACAAAACAGCAAAGAACCCTCAGTGCAAGGGTTGGCAAATGTTCCTAGCTCAGAAACCTTCAGCAAGTCACTTAGCATCTTGATGTCTCAGTTTCCTCACCTGTAAATGGGGATAATAGGCAGGGTGGGGTGGCTCACGCCTGTAATGCCAGCACTTTGGGAGGCTGAGATGGAAGGGTTGTTTTAGCCCAGGAGCTCAAGACCAGCCTGGGCAAGAGAGCAAGACCTTGTCTCTACTAAAAATCAAAAAAATTAGCCAGGTGTGGTGGCACACACCTCTGGTCCCACTACGCAGGAGGCTGAGGTGGGAGGATCACTTGAGCCCGGGAGGTGGAGGCTGCAGTGAGTCCTGATCTTGCCACTGCACTCTAGCCTCAGTGACAGAGCAAGACCCTGTCTCAAAAATGAGGATAACAATATATCTACCTCACAGGCTGTTGTGAGGATTAAATTGGCCAATGTATATAACACACTTACAACACAATGGCTGGCAGATAGTAAGCCCCATGTAAGTGTCAGCTATTAATACCATTATAGATATCAGGTACTTTAGCCTGAGGTCACCCATTGTCTAAGTCCAATAACTCCCCACATTCTGACTCTACGATTACCACGTAACCTTCTGACCATCCCTTAGCTTCCCTTTTAGGAATGTGCACAGCAGGACAGTGAATGAATGAGGTTGTGAGGACATACGCATTCCCATTCTTTGTTTTTCTTTCTTTTTTTTTTTTTTTTTTGAGATGGTGTTTCACTCTTATTGCCCAGGCTGGAGTGCAATGGTGCAATCTTGGCTCACCACAACCTTCGCCTCCCGGGTTCAGGCGATTCTCCTGCCTCAGCCTCCCGAATAGCTGGGACTACAGGTATGCACCACCACACCCAGCTAATTTTGTATTTTTAGTAGAGACGAGGTTTCTCCATGTTGGTCAGGCTGGTCTCGAACCCCTGACCTCAGGTGATCTGCCCACCTCAGCCTCCCAAAGTGCTGGGATTACAGGCGTGAGCCACCGCACCCAGCCTGCATTCCCATGCTAAGTTAACCGGAATCCTATTCGCACACATTAGTCTGGGAGCTTGGTTAACATGCCATTGGCCCTGATGGATGAACACTCTCCACGTGCTGACAACAGCAGGTTTCTGGGCCTCCAAGACCAAGGGACTTTGGAAAATGGGGGCTGCCATGTGCAACCTCAGGGCAGACAGCAGGTAGCCACCCCCAGGTGGCGCTCCTGCTCCCCACTTTTCCCTCTACAAATCAGCGTGCGCGCGCACACACACACACACACACACACACACACACACACACACACATCCCTTCATGCACTCTGGGTATCATGGCACTGAACTCAACCAGGTCTCTTTTCCTCCTCCTGCAAAAAAAAACTTTAGATTTCTGTTTTATTTTGTAATAGTTTCTAGATTGTTTTAAAGTATGGTAAAAAGGTTTACTTTTTTTTTTTTTTTTTGAGACAGACTCTCACTCTGTTGCCCAGGCTGGAGTGCAATGGCCCAATCTTGGCTCAGTGCAACTTCCACCTCCCAGGTTACAGCGATTCTCCACCTCAGCCTCCTGAGTAGCTAGGATTATAGGAGCGCACCACCATGCCCAGCTAATTTTTGTATTTTTAGTAGAGATGAGGTCTCACTATATTGGCCAGGCTGATCTCAAACTCCTGACCCCAAATGATCCACCTGCCTCGGTCTCCCAAAGTGCTGGGATTACAACATGTGTGAGCGACCGCGCCCAGCCTGGTTTACTTTTTCCATATAGTTTTATCCCATTTAAGCACAGGCAGAAAACAAGAATCAATCTATTCCCACCAAACAAGCAAGCACAAATCACAAGGCCATTCATTAATGACACTCCCGGTATGCTCCCTCCCCAGCACCCTCCAGCAGCCCGGCACTGCAGACACCAGGACTCCAAAGCAGCATCAGTCACAGCAGGGAATGGGAGAAAACACACAGATGTCAAACCAGAGGAGCTGCCAAGCTGGGTACCGACGCGGGATCTTACCCCGACCGGCACTGCTGGAGCGTTTCAGAGGCTACTATGGGTATTACAACAAGTATGTCACTGTGAAGAAAGGGAGCATTGCGGGGGTTTCCACAGTGTTGGCAGCTTAGGTGCTTTTCAGCTACTGCCTTTCTTACAGGGAGATCAAACACGAGCAGCTACTCAGGGCCCACTGAAGAGGGGCCAGTGGGAGGGCACACTGCACTTCTGAGCATGGCACACCTCCATGAGGAACTTTGCCATTGCTGAATTCTTTCATATCCCAGTTTAGAATTCATGCCCAAATAGCCCGGGCGCGGTGGCTCACGCCTGTAATCCTAGCACTTTGGGAGGCCGAGGCAGGCAGATTGCCTGAGCTCAGGAGTTTGAGACCAGCCTGGCTGACAAGGCGAAACCCCATCTCTACTAAAAATACAAAAATTAGCCGGGGGTGGTGGCAGGCGCCTGTAATCCCAGCTACTTGTGAGGCTGAGGCAGGAGAATCGCTTGAACCTGGGAGGCAGAGGTTGCAGTGAGCCAAGATTGTGCCACTGCACTCCAGCCTAGATAACAGTGAGACTGTCTCAAAAAAAAAAAAAAAAAAAACTCCCAAAGCCAATTAATTACTAACACAGTCCTAAAGCCATTTAATTAATTACACAGAGACACAGAACTGACTCTGATCACCACAGATGTTAAACTAACAATCCAACAAAACCAGAACAGTCGCCTTGCTTGGGATGTGACAGAATGGTAAGTGCCTTTCCATCTCGTCTTAGAACAGCCTGGTGGGAGCTTGCGGGAAAGCAGCTGTTTTCAAACAGGTGTTCCTGGTTTCATCTTGCTGTCCTCCCTCCCTGACTCTACCACATTCCCTAGAACAGTATTTTACTGAACTACCTAAATGACAGATTGAGAGGGTCAGCCACACCTGAACTAAAAAGCATATCCAGGCCGGGCGCAGTGGCTCACGCCTGTAATCCCAACACTTTGGGAGGCCGAGGCAGGTGGATCACCTGAGGTCAGGAGTTCGAGATCAGCCTGACCAACATGATGAAACCCTGTCTCTACTAAAAACACACAAAAAAACTAGCCGGGCGTGGTGGCAGGCGCCTGTAATCCCAGCTACTCAGGAGGCTGAGGCAGGAGAATCGCTTGAACCCAGGAGGCGGAGGTTGCAGTGAGTCGAGTTTGCACCACTGCACTCCAGCCTGGGGAACAAGAGTGAAACTCTATCTCAAAAAAAAAAAAAAAGCATATCCAGCTCAAATCTCACTATCTGACACAAGACACACAGGTATCTATCTGGTTCCCGAAGAATCTCTGAAGGACAGCAATACTCACCATCTCCTCCCGATGCTAAAATTTCCCCAGTTGGAGAAAAACGCACAACATTGACGGCTTTGGTATGACGAGCAAGATTGGACAAAAATTCCACGATGGCTTTTCCATCTGGTCCCTTTTCTACCTTCCAGATCTGTCAATACCAACACATTCATTTGAAAAACATAGAATGGGCACATATTATACTGTCTGTATTAAAACAATACTATGGGCTGGGTGTGGTGGCTCACAACTGTAATCCCAGCAGTTTAGGAGGCCAAGGTGGGTAAATCACTTGAGGCCAGGAGTTCAAGACCAGCCTGGAAACACAGTGAGACCTAGTCTCTACAGAAAATTTAAAAAATTAGCCAAGTGTGATGGCACATGCCTGTAGTTCCAGTTATGCGGGAGGCTTAAGAGGGAGGATCACTTGAGCCCCGGGTCGGGGCTGCACTGAGCCAAGATCAGGCCACTGCACTCCAGCCTGGGCGACAGAGTAAGACCCTGTCTCAAAAAAAAAAAAAAAACAAAACTATGCTTATTTTCAGAAAGAAAACTTAGTTTTTCTTTTGAAACATAAAATCAAAGAACTCCCTATCTAAAACATAAATGTCTACTGTCCCCCTCCGCCTTCTTTCTAGAGCAACTTGTTACCCAGTAGGAACCAGGATCAGGATCCCAAAACAATGAACGTCCAGTTACAATAATCTAGGGAAAATGAATCAAATAAGAAAGCAGAGCCGGGCATGGTGGCTCAGGCCTGTAATCCCAGCACTTTGGGAGGCCAAGGTGGGTGGATCACCTGAGGTCAGGAGTTTGAGACCAGCCTGGCCAACATGGTAAAACCCCATCTCTACTAAAAATACAAAAATTAGCCAGGTGTGGTGATGAGCGGCTGTAGTCCCAGTTATTTGGGAGGCTGAGGCAGGAGAATAGCTTGAACCTGGGAGACAGAGGTTGCAGTAAGTCGAGATTGCACCACTGCACTCCCACCTGGGCAACAGAGCAAGACTCCGTCTCAAAAAAAAAAAAAAGAAAGCAGCTCTCTTTTGCTTTCATTGTTCACCGCAGGCCCTGGAAATTTAGCATTCTGGGCTAGATGACAAAGTAGTTTAGTTTGTTGACATACGTTAATTCATTCATTCATTTACTTAAGAGAAGGGTCTGGCTCTGTCACCCAGGCTGGAGTGCAGTGGAGTGATCGTTGCTTGCTTCAAACTCCTAGGCTCAAGCGATCCTCTCACTTCAACTTCCCAAGTAGCTGGGCCTACAGCTGCACACTGCCACGTCCCGCTACTTTTTCATGTCTGGCTGTTGCCCAGGCTGGTGTCGAACTCCTGGACTCAAGCGATCCTCTCACCTCAGCCTCCCAAAGCACTGGGATTACAGGCGTAAGCCACCGCGCCCAGCCGACACTGGTTTTAAGTAAAAGAATGAAAACTATTGCTTCAAGCAGTGTTCCCGGATGTCTATCTCTGCCCCAGTTTACCCTGACATTGGTGTCCACGCCGGCAGACGCCAGTCTGTGGATCCTCCCAGCCGTCCCATGCTGGAAGTCCAGGCTGTACACGGGCTCCTTGTTGTGCCAGGCTATTTCACAAGTGATGACTTTCATCCTCCTGAGTCTCGAAGGGGAAAAACGTTTCTCGGGCACCGTTCTACTTCTTCAAGACAGGAGAAAGCTGCAAAATGCTGGTGATGGATTAAACAACAGTGTTAACAGCAGCAAAGGGTTATTGAGCGCTGAATAGGGGCCAGGAGCCATTTAAAATGCACACTGCATTGGGAAAGGATGTTAACGTTGCCATCTGACAATAACACCTTGCTAGCTCCACCTAAAATGCTTCGCTGGGTCCTGACATCCACAAGTTTATGATACGCCGCTACATCCAGAAAAGCAAAACGAAACACCCAGGTAAAGGCTACCTAGGGGCCCCGGCCGTCTGCACGGCCTGTCCCCGCTTAGTAGGGGCTAGGGGCGCGCCCTGAGAGCCCGGGGAGGGGCCCGCCCCGGGAGGAGCCTCCCGGAAGAGGGGGCCAAACGGGGTAGGGGACCGGGGCGGCGGGGCGAGAGGAGAACCCCGCCTTTCCCAGGGACCGGGCGCTGGGCCCGGGAAGCTGGGACTGAGGCCGCCGGGAGGAGGCCGCGCGGGGCCGGGGGTGGACGGGGCCCCGCCGCCCCAACGCGCGCCGCTCCGGAGCTATCCCGGGGCCCAGGGGCCCGCCCTCGGCGAGGGCCTCTGGCCCGGACCGACGCGACCAAAAGAGCCGCGGAGCTGCCCGGGCCAGGGAAGCCGTACCTGGAGGGACCCGGACAGTCAGAGGCACCGTCACCTCCCGCGCAGCGCGCGCCGCTTCCCGCGCGCCGCAGGCCCCGCCCCCGCATGGGCGGGACCTCATAGACGCCCCGCCCCTCCAGCGGCCCTCAGGTCCCGCCCGACGTGGGCGGTACCCCAGGGAAGCCCCGCCCACTCATAGACGCCAAGGCGAGTCCTGCTCTGGCCCTGGGGTCGGAATCCCGGCCGGAATTTATGCCTGCCAGACCCACGACCGAAGGAAGAATGGATTCATTATTATTTATTATTATTATCCATTACTTATTCCTTGTTGATTCGCTCTTTTAGCAAAGGTTTACAGAGCCTGGGCTGTGTGTTAGACAGACCCTATGCTGGCGCTGGGCACTTGGAGGGCTAACACAACCGGTTCTCTTGCCCCTTCTGCAAACAAAAACTGAGATTTTTGGGTTTTCTGTATTGGCTTCTAGAACATTTTGGAGAGTTCAAAGCTATGAAATTGTTCAGTACCTAGCGCAAGGTTGCTTACATTTTATTATTATAGTAGATGCAGTTATAAACCCTTTTTAAGAACAGACTAACATTTTAAAGTGAGGCTGTAAATCAGTCGGTAGGCAGAGATAGATACCTCAGGCTTTTCGAAATGGGACGTTTCCAAATGAGACCTAATTTATCTGTGGGCTTCGCAGAAGGCCAGGAAACAAGTACCTCTGGATGCGCTGCTTTTACTGGATAAAAGAAACACACAGGGTTATCTGAGGAGCCAACTGCTCTAGGATTTTTGGAAAAAAAGAACAGACATGGATTCTTATATAAATACCGGCTGATGCTTTTAGCCAGCTTTATGAAAGGTACAGAAATTGCCTACAAATCCGTGTCTCATGTTGATGAGAATGGCTGTATGCTCCTTGAAGCCTGATTTCTACAGGAAGCTAGAATAACATAATCCGGATATGCAGTTTTTAGATTTTTCTCTTCAGGATTTACAGAGCTTGGACTGGGAATGACTATATACTTTAGATAATATGGCTGTTCTAAAAGTACAGATTCCTGGCCCTACTCAGCCCCATGATTCCGAATATCCAGCAGAGGCCCGTGCTCCAGGGGCTTGCATTTTCATAAACTCCCCGGTGGGTGTGATCATCAGTCTGTTTTGGAAAGCTCTGGATTCTTCGTGTCTCTCAAACATAAAATTTCTCCAAATTTCTCATAAATGCTGTTCATTCACAAATGAATAATCTGCCCACCTCTTGAAGTGTCACGACTCTGAACTGTGGATTTAAAAGATAAAAACACATGCTTTAAGTATTAAAAGTACATGAAGGAGTTGGCTTTCTTGGCGAACATTTTAGAGATCCGACTTCAGTGCCAACTTGATGAGCCAACACGGGCAGGGGATGCGGCTCTAGAGAGAGGCCCTGGGCTGTCAAATATTTTCTCAAAAAAAAAAAAAAAAGTATTTGTTCAAAACCTCAAAGTTTGCACCACAAATGTTGGACTAAAGAATTCCTGCCGGTCGCGGTAGCTCACGCCTGTAATCCCAGCACTTTAGGAGGCCGAGGTGGGCGGATCATGAGGTCAGGAGATCGAGGCCATCCTGGCTAACATGGTGAAACCCCATCTCTACAAAAATTACAAAAAATTAGTCGGGCGTGGCGGCGGGCGCCTGTAGTCCCAGCTACTCGGGAGGCTGAGGCAAGACAATGGCGTGAACCCGGGAAGCGGGGCTTGCAGTGAGCCGAGATCGTGCCACTGCACTCCAGCCTGGGCGAGAGAGCGAGACTCTGTCTCAAAAAAAAAAAAAAAAAAAAAAAAGGGAATTCCTATAACGCAATTCTAACTAGATTCCTCAACAACCACTGTTGTTCAGCTTGGGCCCCAAGCATCCATTTTGAGCAGAACTGCCTCAATTTAAGGGGACCAATGTTATTTGGTTCCTGAGAACTTTTTAATAATGAAAATTGATATAAAGGGACTAACTCTTAACTCAGCTTCGAAAAAAAACTTCTCAAGGCATTTTAATTTCCATTTGTAAGTGTGAACATTCTAAAATCAAAATCTGAGCCGGGCATGGTGGCTCACATCTATAATCCCAACGCTTTGGGAGGCCAAAGCAGGCAGATTGCTTGAGGCTAGGAGTTCCAGACCAGCCTGGCCAACATGGCAAAACCCCTTCTCTATAAAAATACAAAAACTATACAGAGTGGTAGTGTGTGCCTGTAATCCCAGCTACTCGGGATACTAGGGAGGCTGAGGCAAGAGAATCCATTGAACCCGGGACTTGGAGGTTGCAGTGAGCTGAGATGGCACCACTGCACTCCAGCCTGGGTGGCAGAGTGAGATTCTGTCTCAAAAAAAAAAAAAAAAAAAGCTTTGATAACAGACATACAAAATTCAGTACAGGGTTGGAAAAAAATGTTGAGCAAATATCAGAATAAGAAAACTAGGAGAAGCCAGGCGTAGTGGCTCACGCCTGTAATTGCAGCATCTGGGAGGCTGAAGCGGGCGGATCACTTGAGGTCAGGAATTTGAGACCAGCCTGGCCAACATGGTGAAACCCCATCTCTACTAAAAATAGAAAAAATAGGTCAGGCGCGGTGGCAGGCACCTGTAATCCCAGCTACTCAGGAGGCTGAGGCCAGAGAATCGTTTCAACCTGGGAGGCGGAGATTGCAGTGAGCCGAGATTGCGCCATTGCACTCCAGCCTGGGCAACAAGAGCAGAACTCCATCTCAAAAATAATAATAATAATAATAATAATAACAGCCAGGCATGGTGGTGGCGCCTGTAATCCCAGCTACTCGGAGGCTGAGGCACTAGAATCACTTGAACCCAGAGGGCAGTGAGCCAAGATCATGCCACTGCACTCCAGTCTGGGCGACAGAAACAGACTCAGTCTGAAAAAAAAAAAAAAAAAAAGAAAGAAAAAGAAAAATAGAAATGACGGAAATCAATACAGGAGATTGAGAACAACGGGACCTCTGGCACACTACTGGTGGAAGTGTAAACTGATGTAAATACTTTAGAAAACTGTTCAGCACTGTCTAATAAAGTTAATGATACGCCTACCCTATGACTCAGCAATTCCACTCCTTGGCATATATATCAGGAAAACAAAAGCAAACTCATACAAGAATCATTATCCATAATAGCCCCAAACTAGAAAGACACCAAATGTCCACCCACAGGAGAAAAGGTAATCAGACTGTGCCATATTCATACCACGGTATTCTACTCGGTAATCCAAAAGAAATACTGTGATAGTTAATTTTATGCCTCAGTTTGCCCGGGCTAAGACATACCCGATAGGTGGTCAACATTACTTCTGACTATGAGGGTGTTTCTGGAAGACTTTAGCATTTGAATCAGTAGACTGAGTACAGAAGATCCGCCCTCACCAACCTGGGCAGTATCTGGGGCATCATCCAACCTGTTGAGTCTGAAAAGAACAAAAAGTAGAGGAAGGGCAAATTCTGTCTCTTCTTGAGTTGGGACATCCTCTTCCACCCTCAGACATCAGAGCTCCTGGTTCTCAGGTCTTTTGACTCCAGGACTTATGCCACTGGTGTCCCTGGTTCTCAGGGCTTTGGAGTGGGACTAAGTTATACCACAGGCTTTCTTGGGTCTCCATCTTGCAGACAGCAGATCATGGGACTTCTCAGACTCCATAACCACTTAAGCCACTCCTCCTGATCAATCTCTTGCATCTATCATATTGGGCTCCGATTTTCTGGAGAACTCTACACTGACTGACACAGGCAGCAACATGGATGTGTGTGATGCACACAAGGAGTTATTATTTCAAGTGATTGGCAAACACAGAAATTTTATACTACCCCAAAGAAAGCTTACCTTCAGTCATACTATGGCTAGAAAATATTGGTATTGTTACATATATGCATACCTATGTATTTATGTATACATTAGGAAGAGCAAATACTTGTGTGGTTAGGAACCCAGATTTTCAGCAAAAGAGACTATATTATAGTCTCTTTTAGTTCAGTCTACTAAAAAGGCCTAGAAATGCCCAAACTAGGCCAGGCACAGTGGCTTATGCCGGTAATATCAACATTTTGGGAGGCTGAAGCAGGAGGATCACTTGAGCCCAGGAGTTCAAGACCAGCGTGGGCAACGTAGCAAGACTCCGTATCTAGAAAAAAAAAAAAAAAATCAGCCAGGCATGGTGGCATGCACCTATAGTCCCAGGTACTTGGGAGGCTGAGGAAGGCGAAGCACTTGAGCCCAGGAGTTTGAGGATGTAGTGAGCTATGATTATGCCATTGTACTCCAGCCTGGGCAACAGAGCAAGACCTGTCGCAAAAGAAAAAAAAAAAAAAAAAAAAAAAAGAAGAAGAAGAAAAAGAAATGGCCTAACTAGAAACAATGACTATATCTGTGCCTAGATTATTATCTTCAAATAGCATTTCCCACAAAATGAAGCAGAACTTTTGGAGAAATGGCTGTCACCAAGTCTAGACCAGGAAATTTATTAGATGTATTGAAATACCTTACATCTGAAATACCCTGGAGTATACAGAGTACAGAAAAACAAACAAACAAAAAAAACAAAACCCTAAGTTAGGGCTCATTCCTGTAATCCCCACACTTTAGGAGGTTAAGAGGTGGGGGAGTGCATCGCTTGAGCCCAGGAATTTTGAGACCAGCCTGGGCAACAAGTCAAAAATCTGTCTCCACAAAAAATACGAAAATTAGCTGGGCATAGTGGTGTGTGCCTGTGGTCCTGGCTACCCAGGAGGCTGAGGTGGGAGGATTACCTGAGCCCGGGAGATTGCGGCTGTAGTGAGCTGTGATCGCGCCACTGCTACTCGAGCCTGGGTGACAAAGCAAGAGCCTGTCTCAAAAAATATATATATATTTAAAGCCAGAAGCAGTGGTTCATGCCTGTAATCCCAACACTTTGGGAGGCCAATGTGAGCAGATCCCTTGAGCCCAGAAGTTCTTGAGACCAGCCTGGGGAAAAAAAACTAAAAAAACACAACCAAGCAAGGCAGGTTGGACAAGCTTGCTGGTACTTCAGTTGCCTCCATGAATATCACATTTTGAGAGAGATTCCCACCAAGGGAGTCACAAAACAAGAGACAATTGCCTAGAACAGAAAAAATTCTATACTCAAATTACCTTAATTCAGTCATGGTTCAGATCACAGTACAAACCAAGAGCCTCACTTCCAACAGGAACCCCATGGGAGATTAGGAAGACTTGACTCCTTTGTGAATATAAAACACCATTACATTTTGTTATGAAGATACAGCCAGCTGGGCGTGATGGCTCACGCCTGTAATCCCAGCATTTTGGGAGGCCGAGGCGGGCAGATGGCTTTAGGCCAGAAGTTGGAGCAGCCTGGGCAACATGGCAAACCCAGTCTCTACAAAATATTCAAAAATTAGCTGGGCGCAGTGGCATGTGCCTGTAGTTCCTACTACTCGTGGGGGCTGAGGTGGGAGGTCACTTGAGCCTGAGAGGTTGAGGCTGCAGTGAACTGTGATCATGCCACTGCACTCCAGCCTGGGCAACAGAATGATACTTTGTCTCAAAAAAAAAAAAAAAAAAAAAAAAAAAAAAAAAAAAAAACGAACTACAGCCAAATTCTAGATATTCACATATCAAGCACATACATAACCTAAATATTGTTAGCCAGGTTGGGATAAAAGTCCTTTATATTCAAATTTAAATTTATTCTGTCTTGTTACCAAGACATTGAGTCCTGATGACTCTCTAAGAAATTGTGGCTTTAAAAGGTTTCTTGTTAACTCTTAACCAGACTTTCTTCCTACAGGCTAGTATGTGAAAGTTAACTCTGTGATCAATAGACAATTCTAAAAAGCAACAGATTTATTTTTTCCTCTACGCCAATCAGATATTAATAGCATTCATCTTGTGAGCTGTGACCAACATTCAACAGACAAATATGCAGATAGGATTCTATTTAGATTTTCAAGCCACTTCAGTGAGTCCCTGTTTATGAGACACTGCACAAAATAGGACTTAACCAGTCAGGCGCGGTGGCTCAAATGCCTGTAATCCCAACAATTTGGGAGGCCCAGAAGGGTGGACTGCTTGAGTCCAGGAGCTTAAGACCAGCCTGGACATGGCGAAACCCCATCTCTACAAAAAATAGAAAAATTAGCTGGGCATGGTGGTGCACGCCTCTAGTGCCAGCTACTCGGGAGGCTGAGGCAGCTGGAGCATTTGGGCCTCGGAGGTTGAGGCTGCAGTAAGCCATGATCACACCACTGCACTCTAGCCTGGGCAACAGAATGAAACCCTGTCTCAAAAAAAAAAAAAAAAAAAAAAAAAAAAAGACAACCTACTGTGGATTTTCTGAAATAGGAAGAAATGGGTAGTGTGTCTGGGTAGTTTTTGGGTGGTGTGTGGCCAAATTAACACAAGCTTTCAGCTTCTTTACAGCAAGAAGACAAGAACACAGTGGAAAAGAATAGGCAAAGAACATGTATAAAACACAGAAAATTAAAATGGCCAATGTAAGGACTGAGACAAATGTCAGCTGTCATATTTTCACATATCAAATTAGCAAAAGTAAGTTTGAGAGACTTTGAGGAAAACACTCATATTTATTACTCATCCTAAGTATAAATTCCTGCAACCTTTTTTTGGATGGCAATATTTATTTAAATGTACATGGCATACATTCTTTGACCTATCAATATTCACTGTTAACAATTTACACTCTGGATTTAATCGGAAAATCATGTGTGGTATGTATTAATCTTCACAGTATACTTTGAGACGGAGTCTCGCTCTGTCACCAGTCTGGAGTGCAGTGGTGTGATCTCGGCTCACTGCAACCTCTGCCTCCTGGGGTTAAGTGATTCTCCTGCCTCAGCCTCCCAAGTAGCTGGGATTACAGGAGCCCACCACCACGCCCAGCTAATTTTTGTATTTTTAGTAGAGATGGGGTTTTACCATGTTGGCCAGGATGGTCTCGATCTCCTGACCTCATGATCCACCCACCTTGGCCTCCCAAAGTGCTGGGATTACAGGCACGAGCCACTGCGCCCAGCCAGTATATTCTTTCTAACGAAAAGTAAGTAAGTAAGTAACCATTAGGAGCATATTCCTATGATGAAATGTTACTTAAGCTTTTTGAAAGAATGATATGGAAATGTTTAGTTATCAATTATATGGTATAATCCCACTGTGTAAATATCGACACAAATATACGCAATTTAATGTAAATAAAATACATACACATGAATGTGTGCATGTATGCACACAAAAGCCAATAGTGGTTACCTTTAGAGGCCGTGGAGAAAGTCTTTTCACTGTTCATTTACATCTCTACCGGGGCACCGCTCTGCTTCCCCTCCCTCCCCCTGCTTGCCCCAGTGAGAAAGTGGATATGCTGATCCCGTTTGTTTCGTGAACCACTCAAGTTCAACATTTATAAATACTCAACAGAAGACACAACTCAACAGTGCTTGGCTCTGATGGTGCACTGGAATTAACCCGGGAGGCCTTGAAAAATACTGTTATCTGGGTCTAACCCCAAGGACGCTGACTTAATTAACGTGAGGTGCAGCCTGACTTTGGGAGTTTAAAAAACTCCCCAAGTAATTCTACTACGCAGCCAGAGGTGAGAACTTAAATGATTCCTCAATGATGTATGACCCAAGTTTAAGACGTCTCATGTGACAGCAAGAATCAAGCGTCTGAGATCACAGGCAGCGTCACCAACTGGACCTGCCACATGAAGAATTTGAGGCCCAAAGGAAGCACACAGGGACGTGCCATGCCCTCCTGCTCTGTGTGCTCACTCAGCTTTCACTGATTTTGCCACCCTAGGTCCTGTTTGAAGACTGTGGACTGTTTTGGTTTACTTCCTCATACCTTTCGTGTTTTAAAGTAATAAACATTAGTTGAAGCAATACTGTCCCCCACATGCAACAAAAGAAAGAGAAAGGTACATACATCATGAAAGCCCACGTTGTTCTGTTAAACAACAGTTGTTCTGTCTGCAACTGTGAGCCACATTTTCGAAGTCTCATATCTTGGCAATACTTCAATATCTTCATAAAGAGCAAAAAGTATCTAAGTGCTTCCAAAGAATCAATTTAGCAAGCAAGTTTCTCTTACTAATCCCATGATTAATTTTCCCATCAAGCCAGACAGCTACAGGAAATATTTTTGCAAGAATACATAGAGAAGCTGGCCAAAAGGAAGGGAAAAATAGCAAATTCCAAAAAGAACCACTGCATGAGTTAGATATTCACAAAACTTACATATGATTTACATAGCTGCTATTATTTAGGCAAGGTTTCTCTAGAGTAAATGATTTATACAAAGAAAAGTCCTTTTTTTTTGAGACGGAGTTTCGCTCTTGTTGCCCAGGCTGGAGTGCAATGGTGTGATCTCGGCTCGCTGCAACCTCCACCTCCCAGGTTCAAGTGATTCTCCTGCCTCAGCCTCCTGAGTAGCTGGGATTACAGGCATGCATCACCACACCCGGCTAATTTTGTATTTTTAGCAGAGACGGCATTTCTCCATGTTAGTCAGGCTGGTCTTGAACTCCCGACCTCAGGTGATCCGCCCGCCTCGGCCTCCCAAAGTGCTGGGATTACAGGCGTGAGCCACTGCGCCAGGCTGAGAAAAAGCTTTTGAAAACAGAATATACATGCTCTGAGGAAAGAGGAGCTCAGCCTCAGTCTTAATGGAAACAGTCTTCAAAAAATAAACTGCAATTAAAGTAGTTAAAATGAGCTCAAGTTGAGGGTCTAATGAATACATTTTTAGTTTTAAAATAATTTGAGGTTAATATTAAGTCTTTAAAAGTAGCATTTGAACAGTTAGCCATCATATATTTTTATTTTATTATAAGATATTTTAAAATTTGGGAAATTACAATTGTGACAGAAAACCAGCTTCATACCAAAAATACACTTTCAATTACTTTATCAGGCAAATAAAAACAATCTTCATTTATTTGCTCTTTCCAGAATTACTATACAGTAAAAATTCAATACTGTATATGACCGACACGTATTAAGCATACATACAAAATGAACGGATTGAATGTTCAAAAACAAAGGTAAAAATAAATAGCAATGATAAAACTTTGGAAAAAATAATGCACATTTTAGTTGTGGAAAATATGGTTCTTATATATACATAGTTTATACTTAATAGAAAGCCATCTCTTTAAAATTGCACAAAACATGGGACCAATAAAGCATAGTATTTTATGGCATGTAATACTATAATCCTAAGGAAATTTGTTCCTTGACTCTAGGATATAAAACACTTAGGTTTGTAATATAATAAAAGGTATGTAGTATTGTTTGAGAAAGACTGTCTTCCTCAACTCACATTAACCTGTAGTAATCCTACAAAAGGCTGTACAGGAAATTTCACAAAAAGAAATATTAAAAAATTATCATGCCCACTTCATGCTGACTAAACAGCCAAAAATGGGCTTCAAAGTAAACTTGGTGGCCATTTAATATTTCAATACCTTTTTTCTGTTAAAGACTGTTTCTTCATTCTATAAAAACACTTTGTGTTTAACCGTGATTGGCAATCTCAGCACAACAAAATCCTGGCAAAATGGAGTTGGTTTTTGCTTACCTTATTTTCATGAATAAAATATTTCAGGACAGGAATTTATACAAAAGAAACATTAATGCTCAATTCACTTATAACCAGAGTTGTATCAGGAGTGTTACTACATTATTTAAAAATCCTATTTAAACTCCTTTATAAGAAAATCAAAGGTAACATTTCCATTTGTATTATGGCATAGCCCTCGACTTAGAGAAAAATACACTTTGGGGAACCAGAAAAAATTGCACAAAGCTTAGGGGCAACCTGAAAAGCTCTTGGTGAAAAACACTTGAGTACTCTAGGGCAATAAAAAAATATGTGCAGGCTTAATTACAAATATTTACATTCAAAACAGAGTCATGAGTTAGCTTCAGCTGCTCAATGCCAACAATTCACAGGTATTTCAAAACATAAGATAATGTGTCCACAATATTTGTGACCACATTTGAATGCATAGAATACAGTAAAGATTATGGTTTTCAGTCTGTTGCCTATCATATCTATAAAACAAAATTAATTATATTTTGAAAGCTGTACAACCAAAAGAATTGAGCAAATATTTTATCTTACATAACATATACTTTAAGTACTACTGATTTCACTCATTTGTTCAACAACTTGTCCTAAAATCTCATCAACTACATCAACATCGTAATTCACTTGCTGAAGATCAAGATCAGGCACAATCATAGCCAGCAGTTGTCCTACGTTAACTCGAAGAGATCGGAGTTTGAGGCTGCAAATACAAATATGTAACTTATTAGATGAGCATTACAAGTTAAGATTCATGTAGACCTTAAAAAGTAAAATATCAAAATCAAATCTCCGTAGAATAATATACAATTAAACAAAAGGAAAAGCAAAACCTCCCCTAGAGAACTCAATTTACTTTAATAATTCACTTTTATGAGTCAGGTGCACTTGCCCATGCCTGTATTCCCAGCATTTGTGAAGCCGAGGAGGGAGATCGCTGGAGCCCAGGAGTTCGAGACCAGCCTGGCCAACATGGTGAAACCCTGACTCTACTAAAAACACAAAATATTAGCCGGGCTTGGTGACGACACCTGTAGTCTCAGCTTCTCAAGAGGGTGAGGTGGGGGATCACCTGAGCCCAGGAGGTCAAGGCTGCAGTGAGCTGCGATGGCACCACTGCTCTCCAGGGTTCACGCAATTCTCCCACCTCAGCCTCCTGAGTAGCTGGAAGCACAGGCCCACACCACCATGCCCGGTTAATTTTTATTATTATTATTTGTAGCAATGGGGTTTCACTATATTGCCCAGGCTGGTCTCAAACTCCTGGGCTCAATCAAGCATTCTGCCCACCTCAGAGTGCTGGGATTACAGGCATGAACCACCATGCTTAGCCAGAATTATCTAAAACATGTTCTATAAGATATCCATAGTTGTGTAAGAGGTAATAAAAGGTTCTGTGGTCAAATAAGCTTGCAAAACATTGTGTTAAACAATGTTAAAGCAGCTTTTTTTTTACGCCGGGCACAGAGGTTCACGCCTGTAATCCCAGCACTTTGGGAGGCTGAGGCGGGCAGATCGCCTGAGGTCAGGAGTTCAAGACCAGCCTGATCAACATGGTGAAACCCCGTCTCTCCCTAAAAATACAAAATGTAGCTGGGCGTGGTGGCGCACACCTATAGTCCCAGCTACTGGTGAGGCTGAGGCAGGAGAATTGCTTGAACCTGGGAGGCAGAGGTTGCAGTGAGCCGAGATTATGCAACTGTACTCCAGCCTGGGCATCAGATCAAGACTCTGTCTCCAAAAAAATAATAATAATAATAATTGTAGGACTGCTCTGATCCTATTACATGCTTAAGTTACCGTGCATTTACAGAGAACAATGGTTTGCTGAAAACACTGGGAAACCATAGATTAAGATAATTATGCCTTCCAAGTTTATGAATATCAACATTCTAGACTTTTTAAAAAATGCCCAAAAGTATTTAAGCAATAAACACCTAAACTGTAAGGCAGCTTTTGCTTCAAATATTATGGCAAACACATAAAATGAGTGTTACAGTTGTTCTTGTTCCCTACCCCACTACAATATAATAAGTCCATATTTAATTTAGATACTGATTTTTCTCGAGTGGAAATCTATGAAGGGATCAAGATGTTCTTCCTTAGTCTGATAATGCGGAGAATGTGATTTTGAGCATGTTTTTTTGTGAGCTTTTATGGTAAGAGTCCACTAGACCTTTGATAATACTTTAATCGTTCCCATACCAGCTTTTTTTTTTTTTGAGACGGAGTTTTGCTCTTGTTGCCAAGGCCACAGCGTGATGGCGCGATCTTGGCTCACTGCAACCTCCTTCTCCCAGGTTCAAGCGATTCTCCTGCCTCAGCCTCCCAAGTAGCTGGGGTTACAGGTGTGCACCACCATGCCAAGCTAATTTTGTATTTTTAGTAGAGACGGGGTTTCACCATGTTGGTCAGGCTGGTCTCGAACTCCTGACCTCAAGTGATCCACCCATCTTGGCCTCCCAAAGTGCTGGGATTACAAGCATGAGGCACCACGCTTGGTTTTAAGACAGAGTCTTGCTCTGTCACCCAGGCTGGAGTGCAGTGGCGCAATCTCGGCTCACTGCAACCTCCACCTCCTAGGTTCAAGCGATTCTCCTGCCTGAGCCTCCCGAGTAGCTGGGACTACAGGCGCCTGCCACCACGCCCGGCTAATTTTTGTACTTTTAGTAGAGACAGGGTTTCACCATGTTGGCCAGGCTGGTCTTGAACTCCTGACCTCAGGTGATCCGCCCAACTCAGCCTCCCAAAGTGCTAGAATTATAGGTGTGAGCCACCACGCCTGGCCTATCTACTTGTTTTAATAGGACTTCTTCCTAATATCATCTGTACTATGGCAATTTTTAATAATTTTGCAATTTCCTAAAAGATTAGAGTGAGCATACAGTGAAATAAGGACAGCAAGCCATAAAGACATGGTACCAAGTACGACAATAAAAGAAAAACAGGTTGAAGGAGTGAGTTTCAGTAAAAGTCTCCTGTCTTCTACTCATGGCCAAATTCCCCCTATTCTTCAATATCTTGTCCATTTTTATTTTCCTTCAAAAAGCATTCTAAAACCACTCTGACCAATCAAATGCTTTATCCCTTCTAAATTCCTATTCCACTTAAATAGAACCTAAAGGGTCAGAAACTGGAAAGGAAGGATAATGAAGTGTCACTTCTTTTTTATCTATCATAACACCAGGGTCACAGCAGACCATCAATAACTTCTTTTGACAGAACAGTATCTATTTGATGGGTGCTAGCAGATAAAAATAAATAGTATCCTAACCATAATTGCAGCCCCACAAAAACGCCTCATTTAATATTACCTTTCTCCATCCATATGATTTACAGACTCCTCAATGTTACTTGATGTTGAAACATCTGTTGCCGTCTGTTGATTTGTAGATTTTAACTGTTCTACTTCAGTTTTGAGTTCTTCACACTGTGAACGGATTTGTGACTTTTCCATTTCCAGCAATTCAACCTAACAAAAATATAAATGAGCTTTATAACTGTAAAACTTAAAAATACTAATGGCAAAGTGAAATTTCAAGCTAATATAGAGAACCTGCTTGATAACATTATCAACTATCAAAAAACAAATACACAAAGAAAAACCAGTAGTTTTCTATAAACAAGGCTTCATTCGTTTACAGCTTCACTTCTACATCTTTTTACACTGAGAGAATACAACATATTACCACTTGATTTAAAAAAAAAAGTGGTACCTAGAAAATGAAAAACCAGCCGGGCATGGTGGCTCACGCCTATAATCCCAGCACTTTGGGAGGCTGAGGTGGGCAGATCACCTGAGATCAGGAGTTTAAGACCAGCCTGACCAAAATGGAGAAACCCCATCTCTACAAAAAATACAAAATTAGCTGGGTGTGATGGCAGCCGCCTGTAATCTCAGCTACTCGGGAGGCTGAGGCAGGAGAACTGCTTGAACCCAGGAGGTGGAGGTTGCGGTGAGCTGAGATCACGCCATTGCACTCCAGCCTGGGCAACAAGAGCGAAGTTCCATCTCAAAAAAAAAAAAAAACAAAACAAAACAAAACAGAAAAACCAAGATACTAATGCCTAAATTATGTTAATGTCACAGTGGTTTTTATTTCTTGCATACTCATCAGCTTATAATTAAGTTACAATAATGAGTTTATGCTTTTTATAAACAGATGGTCCCTGACTTACAACGGTTTGACTTTATGATTTTCCAGCTTTATGATGGTGTGAAAGTTATATGCATTCTATAGAAACCACACTTTGCATACCAATACAATCATTCTGTTTTTCATTTTCAGCACAGATTCAATACATTACATGAAATACTCAGTATGTTGTAATAAACCAGACTTTGTGTTAGATGATTTTGCCCAAATGTAGGCTAACACAAGTGTTCTGAGCACTTTAAGGCAGGTTAGGCTAGGCTAAGATTTTGGGAGGTTGGCTGTAATTAAATGAATGTTGGAGTTAATGCTGTTTCCAACCTATGATGGGTTTTTCAGGACTGACACCATCATAAGTTGAGGAGCATCTGTATTTTGTCATTCAACTCCTGAGCCAAGACATCAAGATTAGTGTTTGCATGAGTAGCAAATATTCCCAAGGAAGAGACAGCACAGCACCACACCATGGTTCCCAAACTCTTTTTAGCAGGAAAATCCTTTCAAAGGCCTCACACACAAAAATGTATAAAATAGATTAAAAGGAGCTACCTGAATTTGAAGTAGGGGCATATGAAGAAGCTACTGATATTTATCATTTGTCTCTTGGTATTTATCGTTTTTCTCCTTCTTTCTCAGTAGAAGAACCCATGCATAAAGACTGCATTTCCCAGGCACCCTTTAGCCAGATGACTCAGTTCTGATAGTCAGAACACAAGCAACTCAGGCCAGGCATGGGGGCTCACGCCTGTAATTCCAACACTTTGGGAGGCCAAGATGGGTGGATCACTTGATGTCAGGAGTTTGAGATCAGCCTGGCCAATGTGGTGAAACCCTGTCTCTAATAAAAAGACAAAAATTAGCCGGGCATGGTGGCATGTGCTGTAATCTCAGCTACTCGGGACGCTGAGGCAGGAGAATCGCTTGAACTCGGGAGGTGGAGGTTGCAGTGAGCCGAGATTGGGCCACTGCACTCACTCCAGCCTGGGCAACAGAGCGAAATTCTGTCTCAAGAAGAAGAAGAAAAAAAAAAAAAAAAAAAAAAAAAAAAAAAATATATATATATATATATATATATATATGTATGTATGTATATTAATCAAAGATTTTAAAAGGGATAAGTCAGTTTCTCTCAGGAATCTTGAAAGACATAATCTAGAAAAATGAATGACTCCATAACTAAAGGATTAACTATACTTAAAAGCAGAATTGATGCCCAAAAAAGAACATAATTAACTGTATTAATGAGGTATTAAGTTAATATTGGTATTCTGAACAGGACATTTACCATACCTGGCTACCCCTAATATTTTTCAGGAATGCACATCTCAAGACATTGGAAGAACCAAAAATGCCCCTACACAATTCCATATGCCTCCAGGAGGCCCTCTCCTCAGTTGAGAACCAGTAGAATAACAGACACTCAATAAGAACAGAATTATTTTTAAGTGAAAGCATTCCAATCAAGCAATTGGCAGCTTTTTTTTGAGACAGAGTCTCGCTCTGTTGCCCAGGCTGGAATGTGGTGGTGCAATCTTGGCTCACGGCAGCCTCCGCCTCCTGGGTTCAAGTGATTCTCCTGCCTCAGCCTCCCACCACCACGCTAGGCTAATTTTTGTATTTTTAGTAGAAACGGGGTTTCACCATTTTGTCCAGGCTGGTCTCGAACTCCTTGACCTCAAGTGACTGACCCACCCGCCTTGGCCTCCCCAAGTGGTGGGATTACAGGTATGAGCCACCGCGCCCAGCCAACTGGCAGCTTCTTAAGGTTTAAATGGCCCTGGACTCCATGACTACATGTTGGATGATATAACTCACCTCACTTTTATACTGGTCCCTCTCAATACTGCATTTGTCCAGTTGTCTAAACACATCGTCAAGCTGCACAGCCATCTCATCCATTTCACTTTTACTCTCATTATTGGAACACTGGCTGCATTCAGCCTTTACATGTTGCAAAGCACTACATTGTTTTTTCAGCCTTTCTATTTCTTCCAAAGCTTGCTGATACTGAGATACCATATGGTCTGGACTTTCAGATTTGCCATTAATACTTTCAAGTAAAAATACAGCATCGGTTTCAGTGGACTGATGGCAAGTTTCTTTCTTAACATACTTGTCATTCATTTCTAGTATCCTCTGTTGTAACACTTTGATTTGATCAGTAAACATATGACACTGTCTTTTATAATTCTCTTTTTCCTCAGTGACAAGGAGTAGCTGGTTTCTCAGTTCTTGTAATTGGCAGCCTGCATCATCTGCAGATTTATCGGTGGTTTCCTGGGTTTCATGTATCTTTGCTTCAGCTTCTACACAGGAGGGCAGAATCACTGCATCATTTCTTACGTCTATCTCGTCTTCAACAGTTTCTTCTTTTTTAACAACTAAACTTGGTACTTCAGTCTGGGTAGCTGCAGTATTTCCCTGGTCGCATCGGGATGATGAGGTGCTTGTTGAACCAGTCTGGCCACAAGGTTCACTGTCACCCACAAACTCAACCTGAACACCACCTTGCTCAACGTGACTCTGTTCTGATTTCATGTCAATATCATGATCTACTGCAGGTTTGGGGGTACTGTTTTCTTCTAAGATGATGACATCTTCATCATCATCATCACCTTTATAAACTGAATTTTCAAACTGACTACTCAATCTCCGATTCTTTGCATTCAAAATTGAGGAACGAGTAGAAAGTCTCCGTTTCAAGCTGAAAAAAATTTTATACATAAAACATAAGATTATAAAATATGGACAAAATAGATGACCTTGAAGTAATCATTCTAACAAATGCAGTATTGTAACAGTTTTTTTGTTTTTTGAGATGGAGTGTCACTCTGTCGCCCAGGCTAGAGTGCAATGGCACAGTCTTGGCTCACTGCAACCTCTGCCTCCCAGGTTCAAGTGATTCTCCTGCCTCAGCCTCCTGAGGAGCTGGGATTACAGGCACCCGCCACCACGTCCAGCTAATTTTTATATTTTTAGTACAGATGGGGTTTCCCCATGTTGCCCAGGCTGGTCTCAAACTCCTTGAGCTCAAGCAATCTGCCTGCCACAGCCTCCCAAAGTGCTGGGATTAGACACATGAGCCACTGTGCCCAGCTATAAGTTTTGCAATACTAAGAAATACCCAGGCTCATTTTTTAAAGTGACGCATTGTATAGTACCAATCACTGATTTAATGAAGTAGAGATTATTTTCTCTTTTTACAGATGAAGACGATGGACTATTGAGATCTCTTTGAAGTACCAGATCTATTTACTGCCAAACATCTCTGCATTTGATCACCTCCAGGCATTTCAATGTACACATTTCCAGAACAGAATGCTACCCACCCCGGCCCCTTCTTTGTATTCTTCAGCTCAGGGAATGGCACCACCATTTTCATTTGCCCATAATAATTTTTATCAGTAATCAGTGATCAAAGATAAGCCATAAAGCAAACCAGTATTTATCCTTTCATATGAAATAATTTTATCTGAATTAAAATTGCCCCAATTTCTTCATTTGCATCATTCCCTGTTCATTCATGTTAATATGTGCATAGTTCACATTTATTTATCACCATTTGATTGCCTTTTTCCACACTTGGAGGAATATTTGTACTGGTTTGCTATTTGGGCCTTGTGTTAGACCTCCTAGATCTCAGGAAGGATTTTCCTCTTTTTTGGACTGTCTCATATTGGGCGAGCACAGCCTGCAACAGCATCTTAATGAAGGGTACACAGAACATAACAAACGCAAAGTTTTGCATGATGAAAACATCTTTATTTCTCTCTCAAGTCTATTGCTAGCTTAACTGTTATATAGGCTTCCGGGTTGAAAAATTATTTTCTCAGAAATTTAAAAGCATCATTCCATTTTCATCTGCCATTCAAGTGTTTCTGCCATTCTAATTCCTCATCTCTTGCCCGTACATAATCTGTTTCTTTCTGAAAAAATCTTTTATTCCCTGCGTTAAAAAAATGTCATGATCCTATGTCTTTGAGTGGCTCTCCTTCCAGACATTATGCTCTGTAGTTAGTGGAAATGCAGTTTTTCTGGTATGATTTCCCATTCTGGAAGGCAGCTATGTTTGCTACACCATACCAGTGCCTACGTCCCATTCTGAAACTCCCTTATTCAGATGGTGGCTTTCCAGCACAGATACTGTATCTTTTCTTCTTTCTCTATCTTCCGACTGTTAAGCTTTTCATTCTAAATGATTTATTTATTCAAGTTTACATCACTTTCCCCCAATAAATTTCACAATGTTTTCTTCTATTCCCTTTGTTTCAGTCTGCTGTCCCATGTGGGAGATGACACATGTGGCTATCCAGGGCGATCTGCGTATACCTAAGAGTGAAACTGACTAGCAGTAGTTAGGGCTGAGCTTGTGATTCAAAGGGTGCTCAAACTGCCATCATCATTTAGGGCTTCTCTCTTGGAGCCCAGTGAGGAGGGAAGGGTGGATTTCTGACCATTCAGTATCCAAACTTTCCCTTACTCATTCTGTTTCAAAACAATGGCTCATGTACATCTTCAGCAGTAAAAACTGCTCCATAAAGTAAATTCCCTATCTTCTGACAGAGGCAGAGAAAGGGCACTCACCAGACTTTGCAGGTTGGAAAGAGGTCTCGACTTTAAGTTTCCAACCAAGCCTCTGGTTCTCACCCCTATCTATCTTCCACCTTCAGCAGTCCCCAATGCTTCCAAGTTAGGAGACTTTCTAGGGACCTGTGGCGTAAACTGGTTTCTACCATCCTCCAGCAGCTTAGGTTTCAGCTTCCCTTGGTTTGCTGTATCAAGTACTTCTTGCTTACTCTGCCCTGTTTAATTTGGAGTTACTCTATTCTTTTTCTTACCAAGCTCATTCCTATTTATATTTCCTAAGACTTAGATACACCCTTTCCACAAACTTTGGTTTATAAATTTGAGAATACGGCTTTAAAAACTGTTTAATAGGCCGGGCAAAGTGGCTCACGCCTGTAATCCCAGCACTTTGGGAGGCCGAGGCAGGCAGATTGCCTGAGCTTAGGAGTTTGAGACCAGCCTGGGCAATATGGTGAACCCCCATCTATACTACAACACAATAAATTAGCAGGGCATGGCGGTGTACATTTGTAATCTCAGCTACTCAGGAGGCTGAGGCAGGGGAGTTGTTTGAACCAGGAGGCAGAGGTTGCAGTAAACAGATTATGCCACTGCACTCCAGGCTGGGTGACAGAGAAAGACTCTGTTTCAAAAAAAAAAAAAGTTGTTTAATCAAAAATTTCCCTCTTTATTCTTGTCTTCCATTTTGATGACGGCCAACTTTTAAAAAATTTTCTTTGCAGCCATAAAAAAGAAAGAAATAATGTCCTTTGCAACAACATGAATGCAGCTGGAGGCCTTTATCCTAAGGGAATTAAGGCAGGAACAGAAAACCAAATACTTCATGTTCTCACTTATAAGTGGGAGTAAGTGCTAGGTACACATGGACATAAAGATGGGAACTATAGACACTGGGGACCACTACAGTGGGGAGAGAGGAAGGGAGGTGGGCAGGGCTGAAAAACTACATATTGGGTACTATGCTCAATAGCTGGGCGATGGTATCATTCATACCCCAAACCTCAGGATCACGCCATATACCCATGTAACAAACCTGCATGTACCCTGAATCTAAAAGTTAAAATCATTAAAAATACCTTTAATCTCTTATCTATAAACTACAAAACCATCCTTACAAAGAAAAGCCAAAAATGTTAAGGAGAACTGTAAAATATGAGTTCTTAATAAAGTAGCAATCCAGCTCCAAAATGAGTGTCCAATACACAGGTTATAAAGAGCAAACTGGCCGGGTGCTGTGGCTCACACCTGTAATCCCATTACTTTGGGAGGCCGAGGCGGGCGGATCACCTGAGGTCAGGAGTTCGAGACTATCCTGGCTAACACAGTGAAAACCTGTCTCTACTAAAAATACAAAAAATTAGCCAGGCATGGTGGTGCGTGCCTGTAACCCCAGCTACTCGGGACGCTGAGGTGGGGGAATCGCATGAACCAGGAGTCGGAGGTTGCATTGAGTTGAGATTGCACCATTGCACTCCAGCTTGGGCAACAAAAGCCAAACTCCGACTCAAAAAAATAAAGAAAGGAAGAGCAAACTATTCTAGAATATGCCCTCTTTGATTTATATATGCATAAAGGCAGTTAGTTATTTATAATCTTCCTTGGGGTCAAAAATTCCTTTGAGAATTTGATAAAAGTTACAAAACATCTCAAAAAAAATCTGGCCCCACTATCTTAGAGAAGCTTGTTTCAATGTTCCTCTTCGAATAACAAACATCAGTATAGTCAGTGTGATCCACTCGTTTGTAGACATCACATTCATTCTTCTTCACTTGTCTTCATTCTATTAAATTGGAAGAGGCCATCTACAAGACTACTGTTTTCAGAACTTCAGGAACCAACGTAAGTACCACCTCATCACAAAGCCTTCGCTGATCAATCCAGTCAAGATGGCTAACTATTCAATTCATGCATCACTTTCTCTTTGTCCCTTCCTTCTCCATCCACTCCTCCAATAAATTAAGTGCCTACAGTGTGCCATAGGCTTTGCAAAGAACTTCTGGGTCACTATAGTGTCGTACTGTTAATTGCTTCATGTTTTTTTTTTTTTTTTTTTGAGATGGAGTCTCGCTCTGTCACCCAGGCTGGAGTGCAGTGGCGTGATCTCGGCTCACTGCAACCTCCGCCTCCCAGGTTCAAGCGATTCTCTTGCCTCAGCCTCCCAAGTAGCTGGGATTACAGGCATGTAACGCCACACCCACCTAATTTTTATATTTTTAGTAGAGACGGGGTTTCACCATGTTGGCCAGGCTGGTCTCGAACTCCTGACCTCAAATGATCCACCCACCTCGGCCTCCCAAAGTGCTGGGATTACAGGCGTGAACCACCGCGCCCGGGCTGCTTCACATTTTTTTAAGTCCTGATCATCTTAAAAGCAGGAATTGTCATACTATATAGAAATTCAAACAGGTGAGAATGCGATCAAACTCTACAATGAATACAATTAATGCTTTTTTTTTTTGAGACGGAGTTTTGCTCTTGTTGCCCAGGCTGGGGTGCAGCCTCAGCCTCAGCCTCAGCCTCCGCCTCTGGAGTAGCTGGGATTACAGGTGCCCGCCACCACGCCTGGTTAATTTTTTTGTATTTGTAGTAGAGATGGGGTTTTGCCATGTTGGCCAGGCTGGTCAATTAATACTTTTTAACGAATTTAACAGGTGGCAGAAGTAGGGTTTAGCCTAAGTTTAGACAATAAAAGCAAGACAATTTGTCCTGAAGATTTTCACATTCATGGAACCTACAATTCACAATGGAACCTACAATGATCCCGAATTGCATCACTGTCACAGAAGTGTCAAGTAAAAGCTCTGTTTAATATTCCCCAAATGGAAAACCAATCTTAGCCACTGACCTGTTGCTCTCAGGTTCAGACTGAGGTGGAACTTGATGATTATTTAGAAGTCTTGTCGCATAAGAATTTGTTCCTTCTGAAAGATGTCTTCTTGGAACACTTTCCTTAGGAGAAGAAAAGCTTGGAGTTGAAAGAGCAGTTGGCCGAAACAACAGTTCAGCATTAATCTGTTGGAGGGAAAAATCATCACCTTAAAGGAACTATTTCTAGTGTGACATGCCCAAAACACAAGATATAATCTTCCTCTTCCCCCTTATCCCAGAAGACACAAAAACAATTCCAAACATGTAAATTCCTTGTGCTATACCAGGAATCAACAAGTAAACCAATGAACTAAATCCAGCCTGCAAGTAGGCTAAGAATGGCTTTGTATTTTTAAAAGGTGTGAAGAAACAAAGCAACAAAACAAAGAATATGCAACAGAGACTTTATGTGGCCCACAAAGCCAAAAAGATTTACCATGTGGTGACCTCTTTGCTACTAGACTTATCAAGACCCAAACTTCTCAAGCAAGAAGCACAACTGCCTACTTGCATTCAGATGGCCCCTGATTTACAATGGCATCAACTTTATGATGGTGCAAAAGCAATACCCATTCAGCAGAAACTGTACTTCGAGTACTCAAGCAATCATTTTTGTTTTGTTTTTCACTTTCAGTATTCAATAAAGTTCATGAGATACTCAACACTTTATGATAAAACAGACTGTCAGATGACTGCCCAATGTAGGCTAATATAAGAGTTCTGAGCACAATTAAGGTAGGCTAGGCGAAGCTATGATATTCAATAGGTTAAGTGTATTAAATGCATTTTTGATAACAATATTTTGTTTGTTTTTTGTTTTTTTGAGACAGAGTCTCAGTCTGTTCCCCAGGATGGAGTGCAGTGGTGTGATCTTGGCTCACTGCAACCTCCATCTCCCAGGTTTAAGCAATTCTTGTGCCTCAGCCTCCTGAGTAGCTGGAATTACAAGTGCCTGCCACCACATTATTTTTTATATTTTTAGTAGAGACAGGGTTTTGCCATATTGCCCAGGCTGGTCTCGAACTCCTGGCCTCAAGTGATCGCCCACCTCACCTTCCCAAAGTTCTGGGAACACAGGCATGAGCCACCACGGCTAAAAACATTTTCAACTTATAATGGGCTTATCAGGATGTAACTCTACGGTAAGCCTAGGAGAATCTATACTCAACCAAAGCTCTTTAACACAGTAAGTATTAAGACAGAAGAGAGAGGCCAGGCAGAGTAGTCAACACTGGGAAAAACACTATGGCTTTTGTCCCGGTTAGCACTAAAATATGGCTTCCTGGGTGTTCCTGGGATGTCTTCCTTAACTGCTTATCTAACAGTACAATTTTTAAAGTTTGTTTGCCTTTCCTCAGAAGATACCCAACTAAACAATCAAACTAACAGTTTGAATGATGTTGGATTAGGAAGAGTTGGAAAGGTGGGCAAGCAGAAGTACAAGAGAAGAAAATGAACTAAATAAACCAAATCCCTTTGATATGTATTAAACTTTAACATTCACTACTGATTAAACTAAGCACTACACAATATAAGACACAGCTATAAAATGGAAAGCTTGGACAGGTGTGGTGGCTCATACCTGTAATCCTAGCACTTTGGGAGGCTGAGATGGGAGGATTACTTGAGGCCAGGAGTTCAAGACCAGCCTGGTCAACACAGTGAGACCCCATCCCTATTTTATTTATTTTTTGAGATGGAAGTCTCGCTCTGTGGCCCAGACCGCAGTGCAATGGTACCAATCTTTCTCACTGCAACAGCTACCTCCCAGGTTCAAGCAATTCTCCTGTTTCAGCCTCCCGAGTAGCTGGGATTACAGGTATGTGCCACCACATCCAGCTAATTTTTGTGTTTTTAGTAGAGACAGGGTTTCACCATGTTGGCCAGGCTGGTCTTGAACTCCTGACCTCAGGTGATCCACCTGCCTCGGCCTCCCAAAATGCTGGGATTACGGGTGTCAGCCCCCATCTCTATTTAAAAAAAAAAAAAAAAAAGAAGGCTTAATTACCCGAGGGATCATTTCCGGTTGTCTGATCCTGAATTTTTCCTTGTTGCTTTAAAATAAAGATGAAAAACATGTTGTTATTTCTCAATCCCATTTCCCAATGACATACCTGCCATTTATGCAGTTACTAAGGTACTCTGAACTCTGCTTCTATTTCAATATAATCAACAGTAAGCCCTTCAGGAAATACTTTCTACCTTTTATCTCAGTAGCACCCTAATTTTAGCCTGAATTTTTCCATCCTCACCGGTATAAACTGCAGATCTTTGGTGTTTTTTTCTCCACTAAGACCAGATAACTCAGTCCAGAATCACAGGCTTTTGAACTAGAACATCACATAGGTTTTTTCTTTTGAGAGGGAGTCTTGCCCAGGATGGAGTGCAGTGATGTAATCTCGGCTCACTGCAACCTCTGCCTCCCGGGTTCAAGCAATTCTCCTGCCTCAGCCTCCCGAGTAGCTGGGATTACAGGCGTCCACCACCATGCCCGGCTAATTTTTGTGTTTTTTGTAGAGACAGGGTTTCACCACATTGGCCAGGCTGGTCTCGAACTCCTGACCTCAGGTGATCCGCCCAACTCAGCCTCCCAAAGTGCTAGAATTATAGGTGTGAGCCACCACTCCTGGCCTGTCTGGGATTACAGATGTGAGCCACCACACCTGCCTTTTTTTTTTTTTTTTTTTTTTTTTTTTGAGACAGAGTCTCACTCTGTCGCCCAGGCTGGAATGCAGTGGTGTGCTCGGCTCACTACAATCTCTGCCTCCTGGGTGCAAGTGATTCTCCTGCCTCAGCCTCCTGAGTAGCTGGGATTACAGCATGCACCACCACACCCAGCTAATTTTTGTATTTTTAGTAGAGACGGGGTGTCACTATGTTGGCCAGGCTGGTATCAAACTCCTGACCTCAAGTGATCCACCCACCTCAGTCTCCCAAAGTGCTGGGGTTACAGGTGTGAGCCACCACACCAGCCCACATAGGTTTCTATACTTCCAATACTATTGCTGGATTTCACTAAAGAATAGTACACTACAAATCAAAGCCACCTGAAAGGCTCTTAGTAACCTGGCCTTCTGTGTGTGGTAGATTAGCCTGAAGTCTCCACTGGCTGACTATCCTTATTCAGCATCTGTCCCACTTCCACTATCTTTTTTTTTTTTTTTAAGATAGAGTCTCACTCTTGTTGCCCAAGCTGGAGTGCAGTGATGCGATCTTGGCTCACTGCAACCTCTGCCCTCCAGGTTCAAACGATTCTCCTGCCTCAGCCTCCCGAGTAGCTGGGATTACAGGCACCTGCCACCACACCCGGCTACTTTTTGTATTTTTAGTGGAGACGGGGTTTCACCACGTTTGCCAAGCTGGTCTCGAACTCCTGACCTCAGGTGATCCACCCGCCTCAACCTCCCAAAGTGCCACATCCATTTTCCATTATTCCCATTCACATACTCTAGCTACACTGAGTAAATGTTTATTCCCTGTACATTCTCATCGTACCCATCCTTCAAGGCCTATTACAAAAATGACCTCCTTCATGAAGTTTCCTGATCTATTTCTGCTCTCCTGCCCACCAGACAGAACTACTCTCCCTATGAGCTTCCTTACAGCACTGGACCAGAGCTTCTATGGCACTCACCAACACGTAACTGGTAAAATTCATGTATCACCTCTTCTGTTACACCTTCTCTATAAGCTTCAATGGGGGGGGTATTCACTAATGATTCCTCTGCATACAGCTCACAACAGCAGACTGCTCTTACACAAAACATCCGCACATATGGCAGCAATAAGCATGAAATAAACAGCAGGTATCCACAGCATAAGTTTTTGTTTTTAAAGCCCTTGATATTACGCACTCCACATTATAAACTTTTTCAGTTACAGGTGCTTTACCTTGGAGAAGCATCAAATAATGTTGCCAAGGCATCACTGTTCATGATCTGGGCATTATTACCCACTATACATCAATACAACACTCACGTCTTTTTGTAGGTTTTTTCATAAGTGGGATGTACCAAATCCTCATCTTCAGGTTCTTCTGGAACCTCACAATTTCTATTCAGAAAAATCACATAGGAATAACATGTCACCAGCGCCTATTCATACACTGTGAACAGTACTTTCCGTCTTTCCAAAAAGGGTACTACCAACTCTATGGTACCTGAACTGTGGGTCAGGGTTATTGGAGCAATACCATTTTTCAGGAAGTTGATCCATCCCATCAGGTAATTTCCGCCACTTTAGACAGGCATCACACTGAACCCATGTCTGATCAGGACGCTTCCTGTCCCAAAACAAGAACAAAATATTAACACAGAAATATGGACTCTAAATACTTCATCAGATGTTCCACATCATTTCTACCACAAGATGCCATTATTTAATTCCTTTCCTAAAAATTATGACGTAACTCTTTCAAAATTAGGCTGGGTGCGACGGCTCATGCCTATAATCCCAGGAGTTAGAGACCAGCCTGGACAACATGGTGAAACCCTGTCTCTACAAAAAAACACAAAGATTAACTGGGAGTGGTAATGCACACCTGTGGTCCCTGCTACTTGGGAGGCTGAGGTGGGAGGATTGCTTGAGCCCAGGAGGCAGAGGTTGCAAAATCATGCTACTGACCTCCAGCCTAGGCTACAGAGTAAGATCCTGTCAAAAAAAAAAAAAAAAAAAAAAAAAGGAGAGGAAAGGAAAGGAAAAGAAAAGAGAAAAGGCAAGGCAAGGCACGGTAGCTCATGCCTATAATTTGGGAGGCTAAAGCAGGTATTTTTTAGAAATACATTTTAAAAACAACTATTTTGAGCTGGGTGTGGTGGCATACACCTTAGTCTCAGATACTCAGGAGGCTGAGGTTGGAGAATCGCTTGAGCACAGGAGTATGAGGCCAGCCTGGGCAACATAGTGAGACCCCATCTCTCAAAAATTAAACACAACCATTTTGGTTACCTTCAAAAGATTAAAAGTCACAAGCCAATTTGAACAATGTGACTTATGTCTTAATAGCATTAAATTTTTTCTATAACTTAATATTTCAAATGCCTTGCCCTGAACTTTATGTTTAGTGTCTACAATGTTAAATCTACAATATATTGTATTTATTAGCATAATAAATCACTCAAGTCCAGAAAACAGAATTCTGTTGTTATAATTTAAGTAACTTTAAATAAGACACTTTTGCCCTCTTATTTCTGAATAACTAAAATTAGTATACTTTTAGTTTACAAAATGCTTTCATATTTTTCTCATTTAAAAATCAAGGCTGGGCGCGGTGGCTCATGCCTGTAATCCCAGCACTTTGGGAGGCTGACGCGGGTGGATCATGAGGTCAGGAGATCGAGACTACCCTGGCTAACACGGTGAAACCCCATCTCTACTAAAAATACAAAAAATAAGCCATGCGTGATGGCGGGTTCCTGTAGTCCCAGCTATTCAGGAGGCTGAGGCAGGAGAATTGTATGAACCCAGGAGGCAGAGCTTGCAGTGAGCCGAGATTGCGCCACTGCACTCCAGCCTGGGCGACAGAGCAAGCCTCTACCTCAAAAACAAAAAAAAAAGAAAAATCACAATAATTCCTGTAAAGAACTTGTATATATTCTTTTATTTTTTTAATTATTTTTTGCTTCTACTTTATTTATTTATTTTTTTAAGAGATAGGTCTCACCACGTTGCCCAGCCTGGTCTCCAACTCCTGAGTTCAAGCAATCCTTCTGCCTTGGCCTCCCAAAGTGCAGGGATTACAGGCGTGACCCACTGGATACAGCCTATGTAGACTTATTTTACATATGAAAACTTCACCTTAATGTCAATAGCTTTTTAAATCTAGTTTTATTTCATTTTATTTATTTTTTTTGAGACAGAGTTTCACTCTTTTCGCCCAGGCTGGAGTGCAATGGTGCAATCTCGGTTCATTGCAACCTCTGCCTCCCGGGTTCAAGCTATTCTCCTGCCTCAGCCTCCCAAGTAGCTGGGACTACAGGTGTGCACCACTATGCCTGGCTACTTTTTGTATTTTCAGTAGAGACAGGGTTTTACCATGTTGATCAGGTGGGTCTCAAACTCCAGACCTCAAGTGATCCGCCCGCCTCGGTTGGCCTCCCAAAGTGCTGGGATTACAGATGTGATCCAACGTACCTGGCCTGCTTTTTAAATCTAGCTTTGAAAAAGCATTTAGATATTTATAAACAACTTCAAAACAGGATGAGCGCGGTGGCTCACGCCTGTAATCCCAGCACTTTGGGAGGCCAAGGCAGGCAGATCACCTGAGGTCAGGAGTTCAAGACCAGCCTGGCCAACATGGTGAAACTCTGTCTCTACTAAAAATACAAACATTAGCCAGGCGTGGTGGCACACGCCTGTAGTCCCAGCTCCTCGGAAGGCTGAGGCAGGAGAATTGCTTGAACCCGGGAGGTGGAGGTTGCAGTGAGCTGAGATTGCGCCACTGCACTTCAGCCTGGGTGACAGAGTGAGACTCCATTTCAAAAAAAAAAAACCAAAAAAAAAAAAACCCAACCAACCAACCAAACAAATCCGAAACTTCAAAACAATCTAGAGGTTTATAAAGCATAACTTTATACTTTATAAACTCCTTGTCTCAGGAAATTACCACTGCTAATTTTTAAAATACTAGCAGAAATTTTCTATGCTTATAAAGTATGCATGTGTATACTGACACATTAAAAAAATACAAGCTGGGCACGGTGGCTCATGCCTATAATCCCAGCACTTTGGGTGGGAGGATCACCTGGACCCAGGACATTGAGACCAGCCTGGGCAACACAGGGAGACCCCACCTGTATAAAACTTTTTTTAAATATAAAAAAATTGAAAAGTACGATGGGAAGTCTATACACTGAGCTGCATCTTTCTTGTTTTTCATTATATATCTTGGTTATCTTTGTAATAATGTATAAATTATGAATAATATGTATAATGTATAAATTATGTATAATAATGTATAAAGAACACACAGATAAAGAACACACAGATATTGTTCATTCATTCATTTATAGGACTGTTATCCTGTGATGTGTTACTAAGTGACTGTCAGGCATATTATTTAATTCATATAATTCGAGGAGGCAAATGCTCTTAATGTTCCCATTTTATACACAAGAAAATGGAGGCTTACAAGAGGCCAAGTAATATGTTCAATGCCACATGGCTACTTAAGCAGAATGAGAATATGAACTCAAGTTGGGTTTCAGCCCCATCATCCTAATGATACACTATACCAGTGTTTTTCAAACTATTATATAATCCATCCATAGCATCTTAAAATGAAATAACATTAACATGCATCACATATGGGTAAACATTGTTTTATGGATGTTTTGTGTGCATGTATACAGGTTTACATTCTATTCACTGATTTTGCAGTGCGCTAATTCATGTTGCAGAATTTATTCCTATGAGTTACAGTCCTAAGTTTGTGAAACATTGTACAATCCCTTTACTCTCTAATACCACATCTTGATATCTAAGTGAAATGATATGTTTTAAAAATGTACTTACTGTATATCTTCAACTGGCAAATTTAGAGGATATTCTGTATTTTTCTTCACTTTCATTTCATTCCAGTAATCATTCAGCTTTTCTCCTAGTGCTGTTATTGTAAGTCTTAAAAAGTAAATCATAAAATCAAGAAAAAATTCTTTTCAAACATAAATCATAAATAATCTAGTAATGAGTACATAGACACTGTGAAGAGAAAAAACTCCAAAACATATAGTTAATAAAGAACATTCAAGGTATAGGTGACCCTTGAACAACACAGGTTTGAACTGCACTTATACACAATTTTCTTTCAATAAATTAGAAAATTTTTTAGAGAGTTATAACAATTTGAAAAAAACTTCCAAGAACTGCATTGCCCAGAAATATCCAAAAAATTAAGAATAAGTTAGATATGTCATGAATGCATAAAACATGCAAATACTAGTCTATTTTATAATTTACTACCATAAAATATACACAAAGCTATTTAAAAAGTTAAAATTTATCAAGACTGAAGCATATACAGACTGTAGGTGGTTTCATTTGCAGTCAAGAGAAATGTAAACAAAGATGCAGTCTTAAATTATAACTGCATAAGATTAATTATATACATACAATATTATTATAGTAATTTCATAGCCACCTCCTGTTGCTATTTTGATGGGCTCAAGTTTTTTATTTGCTTCAAGTGCCTTATGACATGCTTATCTCCATGTAAGCATCTCCAAGAAATTTTATATTGCAGTAAAAATCGTTTAGTGCAATACTGTAAACCTTGAAAAACACCACAGGACCCACACGAACTGCCACTAGTGATGCCAGTTGTTTTCCCAAGAAGCAAAGTCATAATATAAGAAAAAGTATAAATTGCTTGATATGTAGGTTGAGGCGCCTGAGTAGCTGGGGCCACAGGCACTTGCCACCACACCTGGCTAATTTTTTTTTTTTTTCATTTTTTGTAGAGACAGGGTATTGCTTTTTTGCCCAGGCTGCTCTCGAACTCCTGGCCTCAAGCTATTCTTGTCTCAGCCTCCCAAAGTGCTGGGATTACAGGGATGAGCCACCATGCCCAGCCTGTTTGAACAGGTTTTTAATGCAAACAAAAGTACTCTATTCTGGGAAAAAATGCCACAAAGAACACTTATTAGCAAAAAAGAGGAGCATAAACCAGGATTTAAGTCCAAGAACGGACAGGCTAACCCTACTGCTTTGTGCAAATGTAGTCAGGTTTATGATCAGGACTGCCATTATCTATAAAGATGCTAACCCTTAAGCCTTGAAGAGAAAAGACAAACACCAGCTGCCAGTCTTTTGGTTGCACAAATAGAAGGCCTGGATGAGAAATTCTTTTTCTGACTGGGTCTATTGATGCTTTGTTCCTGAAGTCAGGAATTAACTTGCCAGTAAAGGACTGCCTTTTACAGTTCTTTTGATATTGGACAAGGTACCCTGGCCACCCATAACCCCATGACTTCAATACCAAAGGCATCCAAGTGGTCTACTTGTCCCGAAACACAATGTCTCTAATTCAGCCTCTAGATAACAAGGAGGGTCATAAGACCTTTAAGGCTCATTACACACAGCAAATCTACGGAAAAGATTGTTAACGCTGTGGAAGACAATTCTGACAGAGAAAACATCATGAAAGTCTAGAATAACGATGCCATTATTAAGTACAGAAAAAGCTGTGAAAGAAATCAAGCTCAAAACAATAAATTCCTGCTATGTCCACATGTTGTGCATGACTTCACAGTATTTACAAGATAGCCAGTTGAGGAAATCATCAGAGAGATTGTGGATATACAGGAAAAAAAAGGTAGAGGGCAAAAAGTTTCAAGATATGGATGTTGCAGGAATTCAAGAGCGAACAGACACCACACCTGAGGAAATCAACTGAAGCCTACTTGATGGAGATGAGTGTTTCTGAACCAGTGTTAGACAGTGAGGAAGAAGACAGAAGAAGCAGTGCCCAGACAACAAACTGACATTAGACAATCCAGAAGGTGGGTTCCAATTATTCAAGACTGCTTTTGATTTCTTTTACAACATGGACACTTCTATGATACAGGCACTGAAACTGAAGCAGACAGTGTAAGAAGGATTGGTACTGTACAGAGATATTTTTATGAAAATAAAAATGCACTGGGCACGGTGGCTCACGCCTGTAATCCCAGCACTTTGGAAGACAGAGGCGGGCGGATCACAAGGTCAGGAGTTCAAGACCAGCCTGGCCAATATGGGGAAACCCCATCTCTACTAAACACACAAAAATTAGCCGGGCGTGATGGCGTGTGCCTGTAGTCCTAACTACTCAGGAGGCTGAGGCAGAAGAATCGCTTGAACCTGGGAGGCGGAGGTTGCAGTGAGCCAAGATGTGGGCAACAGAGCGAGACTCCATCTCAAAAAAAAAAAAAAAAAAGAAAGAAAGAAAGAAAGAAAACAAAAATGGAAATAAGTCAGACAGAAATTACAGTGTATAAAAATTAAACTGAGTGTGCCTGCCTCTCCTTCCACCTCTTCTCGTGCCATGGCAAAACCAATCCCCCTTCTTCCTCAGCCTACTCAACACGAAGACTACGAGGATGAAGACATATGAACCACTTCCACTTAATGAACAGTACATATATTTTCTCTTCCTTATGATTTTGTTTTTGGTTTTCTTCTTTTTTTTTGAGACAGGGTCTCACTCTGTCACCCAGTCTAGGGTGCAATGGCGTGACTTAGGCTCACTGCAACCTCCACCTCCTGGGTTCAAGTGTTTCTCCTGCCTCAGTCTCCAAAGTAGCTGGGATTACAAGTGCCCACCACCATGCCCGGCTAATTTTTTTATTTTTAGTAGAGATGGGACCAGGAGTGGTGGCTCACACCTGTAATCCCAGCACTTTGGGAGGCCGAGGTGGCCGGATCACCTGAGGTCAGGAGTTAGAGACCACCCTGGCCAACGTGGCAAAACTCTGTCTTTACTAAAAAAAAAAAAAAAAAAAAAATACAAAAATTAGCCGGGCTTGGTGGCAGGTGCCTGTAATCCCAGCTACTTGGGAGGCTGAGATAGGGAGAATTGCTTGAACCCAGGAGGCGGAGGTTGCAATGAGCTGAGATTGCACCACTGCACTCCAGACTGGATGACAGAGCAAGACTCCATCTCAGAAAAAAATAAATAAAATAGTAGAGATGGGGTTTCACCATGTTAGCCAGGCTGGTCTCGAACTCCTAATCTCAAGTGATCTACCCACATCAGCCTCCCAAAGTGCTGGGATTGTGGTTCCCTGGTGGTCTAGTGGCTAGGATTCAGTGCTTTCCAAAGGGCTGGGATTACAGGTGTGAGCCACCGCACCGGCCTGAGCCACGGCACCCGGCCATGATTTTTTTTTTTTTTTTTTTTTTTTTGAGACAGAGTCTCTCTCTGTCACCAAACTGGAATGTAGTGGCTCAATCTCAGCTCACTGCAACCTCCGACTCCCTGGTTCAAGCAATTCTCCTGCCTCTGCCTCCTGAGTAGCTGGGATTACAGCCACACGCCACCAAGCCCAGCTAATTTTTGTATTTTTAGTAGAGACTGGGTTTCACCATGTTAGCCAGGATGGTCTCGATCTCCTGACCTCGTGATCCGCCCACCTCGGCCTCCTAAAGTGCTGGGATTACAGGCGTGAGCCACCATGCCCGGCCTATGATTTTCTAATAACATTTTTTCATTAGCTTATTTTAAGAATACAGTATATATTTAACATATGAAATACATGTTAATAGATGGTTTTCTTTTTTTTTTTTTTTAGAGAAAAGGTCTTGCTCTGTCACCCTGGCTGGAAAGCAGTGGCACTATCACAGCTCACTGCAGCTTCAAACTCCTAGGCTCACATGATCATTCTGCCTCGAGCATCCTGAGTAGCTGGGACTACAGATGTGTGCCACCATTCCCAGCTTAATCAACTATTTATGTTATCAGTAAGGCTTCCATTCAACAGCAGGCTCTTAAGGTTCTGAGGAGTTATACGTGGATCTTTGACTGAGGGGTAGTCAGTCCCCCTAATAACTGCGCTGTTCAAGGGTTAATGGTACTTAACATTGTCAACTACTGGTACAAGCTGAACATCCCAAATCCAAAAATCCAAATTGCTCCAAATCTGAAACTTTTTGAGTGCCAACATGATACCCAAAGGAAATGCTCATGAAAGTACCTTGGATTTCAGATTTTCAGATTTGCAATGCTCAACCAGTAGGCATAATGCAAACATTCCAAAATACAAAAAAATCCAAACCAAAACACTTCCGGTCTCAAAGATTTCAGATAAGGATACTCAACCTGTAATAGAGCTTTATGTCTTCCTTTTCAACCTGCCCCCCCCCACCCCTTTTTTTTGGCCTTATTACATTAGTTATTTCCTCAAGAATATTTAGTGAATGGCTGGTATCCTTAACTCTCCCACCCTTCTAAGGAAAGCTATCAATTGTTCCCCATTAGTAATGTAGCTTGCCGTGTGTGTGTAAATACTCTGTTATTATGCCCTTTGATTCACAGTTTTTGTAGGTGTTCCTTTTAAAAATAATTGCAAGTGCTTTTTCTCTATCTATGTATATGACCATAAGGGCTTTCTCTTATTAAACATCAATATGATGAACTATACTCATTTCTTACATTAAAACCACCCATATTGTCTTAGAACACAACCCACTTGGTTTTAATGTTATTATTCTTTTAGCATGTACTGGATGGTATTTACCAATATTTTAATTAAGACTTTTAATTCTATGATAAGAGACTGACATAAATTTCCTTTCCTGTACTCTTGAGCTTACTAACAAGGCTATGTGGCTTCATAAAACCTTTGACTACTGTGAACAGTGCTGCAATAAACATGAGAGTGCAGGTATCTCTTCAAATATACTGATTTTCTTTCTTTTAGATATATATCCAGCCATGTGATTGTTCAATCATATGGTAATTCTATTATTAGTTTACTTGAGGAAACTCCATCCTATTCTCCATAGCAACTATACTAATTTACTTTCCCACTAATAGTGTACGAGGGTTCCCCTTTCTCCACATCCTTGTCAGCATCCATTAACGAATAAATGAATAAAAAAACTATGGTACATACACACAATGGGATATTATCCAACCACAAAAATGCTGTCATTTGTAATGACATGGATATAAATGGATATACCTGGAGGACATTACATTAAGTGAAGTAAGTCAGGTATAGAAAGACAAATATCTCATGTTCTCATCCATATCTGAGAGCTAAAAAATACTGCCCTCAGGACATGGGACAGGTAGTGGGGAGAGGGAAATAAAGAGGGGCTGGCTAATGAGTATAAAAATACAGTTAATTAGAAGGAATAAGATACAGTATTTGGTACCACAATAGGACAACAGGGCCGGGCGTGGTGGCTCACACCCATAATCCCACCATTTTGGGAGGCCAAGGCGGGTGGATCACAAGGTCAACAGATCAAGACCATCCTGATCAAAATAGTAAACCCCATCTCTACCAAAAATACAGAAAATTAGCTGGGCATGGTGGTGCATGCCTGTAGTCCCAGCTACTCGGGAGGCTGAGGCAGGAGAATCACTTGAATCCCAGAGGCAGAGGTTGCAATAAGCTAAGACCTGGGGGCCACTGCACTCCAGCCTAGTGACAGAGTGAGACTCAGTCTCAAAAAAAAAAAAAAAAAAAAAAAAAAGGAGGACAACCGTAGTTAACAATAACATCTTATATATATATTTCAAAGTAACTAGAAGAGTAAAATTGGAATGTTCCTAACACAAAATAAGGCAACTGCTTGAGGTGATGAATATCCCAATAACCCTGACTTGATCATTACATGTTGTATGCTTGTATCAAAATATCACATGTATTCCATACAAATGAACTATTATGTATTGTTTTAAATAGTTTTTGTAAATAAAAAGACTGATGCCACTTCTTCCTTAAATGTCTGAATTTAGTATGTGGGAAGTTTTCTAAAAAGTGATTCAATTTCAAAGGAATGTGTCCACGTCATCTAAAATGGAGAAAATTTATTTGTGCTATCTGCTTAATGTTTCATGTCTGGAGGCTCTGTAGTAATTTCTTCTTTTTCATTTCTAATATTGATGATTTGTATTTTCTACTCCTTTTCCTTAATCAGTCTTGACAAATGCTTATAGACTTTATTAGTCCTACCAAAGAACCGAAATTTTTTTTTTTTTTTTTTTTGAGGCAGGGTGTCTTCTGTCACCAGCGCGGGAATGCAGTGACACAATCACGGCTCATTGCAGCCTCAATCTCCTGAGCTCAAGTGATCCTCCCACCTCATTTTTTTATTTTCTGTAGAGATAAGCTCCCACTGTGTTGCCCAGGCTGGTCTCAAACTCCTCGGCTCAAGCGATCCTCCGCCTACTAAAGTGCTGGGATTACAGGTGTAAGCCACTGTACGTGGTCTTTTTTTTCCTGAGACGGGATCTCACTCTGTCATCGGGTTGGAGTACAGTGGCGCCATCTTGGCTCACTGCACACTCCACCTTCCCAGGCTCAAATGATCCTCCTGCCTCAGCCTCCTGAGTAGCTGGGACCACAGACACATGCCACCACACCTTGCTAATTTTTTGTATTTTTGGTAGAGACAGGATTTTGCCATGTTGCCCACGCTGGTCTCAACCTTCTGAGCTCAAGCAATTTGTCCACCTTTGGGCCCCCTTAGTGCTAAGATTACAGGAAAGAGCCACTGCACCTGGCTGACTTTTTTGATTCATTCAGTTACCAATTTATTGTCTCTAGGCTCCAAATCCAGCCCAAGTTCTGGTACTCTGTTACTATTTTGCTAGGGCCCAGTGACCTCCCAGAGGAGCTTCAGCTGTGCCCATCAGGCCATGCTTTGCCCACCAGCAGTCTTCTGCTAGCTCCAACAACATAAGGCTCCCTCTACAGACCAGCTCCAACCTATCCACACACCCTATGTCAACCAGAGACCACGTCTATAGGCCAGCATTGGCCAGGCCCTCTATTTACCTATTTAAATTATTGACTTCTTTTTAAAGTTTATTTTCAAAATACTTGCATAACTTCTCTTAAGCTAAATGTTTTGCCACCTTGTGGATTTTTATTTTAATTACAAAATTATAATTACATTATCGAACTTTAAGAAAATGGGTAGGTAAGGGACTTACATAGAAAACTAATATAACCATCTTCCATTCTAGGAATTGTAACCTACACCATCACAAGTAGTATATTCAAACCTTTCTTTACTAATAAGGTATTTCTGAGATTCACAGAAAATAGAGTAGTTCCTGCTTTCTTGGTAATACATTTCCTAGGAACCTCAGTCAATAATTTAAATAGGTAACATACCTGTACTCATTAGTATAGTCGAAATCTTGTTTATTATGAGTTGGCTTAAGGAAATTACACTCTATAATTCCAACCACTCCAACACCCATGTTGTTTGCCTGAAAAAATAAAATGAAATCAGCATTTTAAGCATAAGACATGATGCTCAAAATAATTACCCTTAAAGAATTATAGTTTGTATATTTTTCTATATTTTATCTTGTATGATTCTCATCACATTTATTTTTATTTTTATTTGTTTTTATTTTTTTGAGACAGAGTCTCATTTGGTCACCCAGGCTGGAGTGCAGTGGCATGATCTTGGCTCACTGCAAGAACCAAGAGACCGCCCAAGCTCAAGTGACTCTCGTTGCCTCAGCCTCCCGAGTAGCTGGAAGTACAGGCGCGCACCACCAAACCCAGCTAATTTTTCTATTTTTAGCAGAGACGGGGTTTCACCATGGCTAGTCTCCAACTCCTGACCTCAAGCAATCCACCAGCCTCGGCCTCCCAAAGTGCTGGCATTACAGGCATGAGCCACCGCGTCCGGCCAATTCTCATCAAATTTAGACTGAAAAAAACACTGGTAGGTGATTTATATTCCTGGGAGTTAATTTCTAAATACACTAGAGCCTTCCTCAAAAACCCTTTGATTGTTGACAAGTATCCATTTAGACAAGTATTAACATCCCCAATGTTATACAAGAGAAAAAGGACTACCTGCCAGGGGCGATGGCTCACGCCTGTAATCCCAACACTTTGGGAAGCCGAGGTGGGCAGATCACCTGAGGTCAGGAGTTCAAGAACAGCCTGGCCAACATGGTGAAATCCCATCTCTACTAAAAATACAAAAAATTAGCCGGGTGTGGTGGCATGCACCTGTAATCCCAGCTACTCAGGAGGCTGAGGCAGGAGAATTGCTTCAACCTGGCAGGCGGAGGTTGCAGTGAGCTGAGATCGTGCCATTGCACTCCAGCCTGGGCAACAAGAGTAAAACTCCATCTTTCAAAAAGACAAAAAAAGAAAAGAAAAGAGGACTACCTCTACTAGGATACAATTTCTTAGAGAACAGAAACCACAAATAATTCATCCTGATCTTGTAGTGACTAGCAAAGGCTCTGAAAGGCAATATTCCATACGTTTGTGAGATAAAAGTTAAAGTCATTTACCCAAAGTTAGGTATCCAGTTGCTAACAATGAAGTAAAAATCTAGGTTGGTTAAATTAGTTATTTTTTAAATCTGCTAGCTAAAATGTTGAACTCAAAGTATATGAGTCATCTTCTGATTATCTACGTGTGACTAACAAGTATATTTTGTTCATGATTGTAGCTATACTTCTTAGTCTATGAAGAAAAAAGTAAAATGTGTAACTCATAAAATGAAAATTTTTATAAACCCAACTATAGACCAAACCATACAACTAATCCTAATTCTGCTCTATTAAAAACCATCAGGTTCACCATTTCAGACTATTTTTAAACTACAGTAATAACAATATCCTTCAATTTGTGGTTCTTATCCATCTTCCTTCCAGCCTTATCCTGTCTCTCTCATTCCTCTGTTCTCCACTTAAAATATGGTCCAGCCACATCAAATTACTCCCTTTATGATGTCATACTCTCAGAAGCCTCTTTCTCTGCCTTTGCACATGTTGTCTCTGCCTGGAAAGCCCTTCCAGACTTTGCAGCACAGTGAAATCAACTGAGACTCATTTCAATCAACACTTTCTCTAAGAAGCCTTTTCTGATGCTTCCAAGGATGTTCCACAGTCCCCTCACAAAACTGAGCTTTGAGGGCATGCTCTGTATTTTACCAACTTTTTATGCTGAGCACCCAGCACAGCAAATCACAATGGGTATCTGATACTTATTTAATGTTTACCGAATCCACAGAATGCAAATACTAGGCCCAGTCCATCATCTGGTAAAGATAAACATTGTAATTTAGCTGTAACAGCCTATCTTTACAAGGTCGAGCTTAACTAGGAAATATGTACAGTACAAATTTAACTCGGTTGGGAAAATGGGCTATATATCTTGGTTAAGTCAGATTCATAGGTGATAAAAAGAAAAAAATTTACATTCTGTGGTAGACATAAAGTTCATTTACTTCTGCAAATATGCTATATTTGGGCTCATGCCATGTAAAGTAGGTGAAGCAGAGTCAGAACCCCTGTTAAGTGGTATTCAAGGTGAATCTGCATTGGTATACTGTGTAGATCTCACATCATTCTACAAAAAACTCAGAATAAAGTTAAGACAAAGAATTATCACCAAAATCTTAAAAATATGCAATGGATCCATATCCAAATGCAGTCAAATGATGTGTTTGTGTCTGAGATCCACGCTGTTATGTCTTAAGCAACTTGCTTCATCTATTTGTTATTTGCCCCAATTTCTTTGTTTTTTTTTTTTTTTTTTTAAGAGACAGGGTCTCACTCTGTTGCCCAGGCTGGAGTACAGGGGCAAAAATCATAGCTCAGTGTAGCCTCAAACTCCAGGGCTCAAGCACTCTCCCACCTCAGCCTCCCAAATAACTAAGACTACAAGGACGTACAACCACACCTGGCTAATTTGTTTTTATTGTTTTGTAGAGACGATTTTTGTTTGTTTGTTTGTTTGAGATAGGACCTCACCCTGTTGCCTAGACTGAAAAGCAGAGGCACAATTTTGGCTCACTACAGCCTCAACTTCTTGGGCTCAAGCAATCCTCCCACCTCAGCCTCCTGGTAGCTGGGACCACAGGCATGCACCACCAGGCCCAGCTAATTTTTGTATTTTTTTGTACAGACAGGGTTTTGCCCCATTGCCCAGGCTGGTCTTGAACTCCTGGGCTCAAGCAATCCCCCGGCCCAGACCTCTCAAATATGCTGGGATTACAGGTGTAAGGCACCGTACTCAGCTGAGGTAGAGACTTGGTATGTTGCCCAAGCTGGTCTTGAAGCACTGGCCTCAAGCAATCCTCCTACCTCAGCCACACGAAGCACTAGGATTACAGGAATGAGCCACTGTGTCTGGTCCCCAACTTCCTTATGCATAAAATAGGGATAAAAGAAATATTCTGTCCCCACCTCAGGGCTGTTCAGGATCAAATACAAAATTAATATACTAGGCCGAGCGCATTGCCTCAGGCCTGTAATCTGAGCACGCTGAGAAGCCGACGTGGGTGGATCACTTGAGTTCAGGAGTTTGAGGCCAGCCTGGTCAACATGGTAAAGCCGTCTCTACTAAAAATACAAAATTTGGCCTGGCATAGCGGCACACGCCAGTAGTCCCAGCTACTTGGGAGGCTAAGGCCCGAGAATCGCTTGAACCAGGGAGGTGGAGGTTGCAGTGAGCTGAGATCACACCACTGCACTCCAGCCTGGGTGACAGAGTGAGACTCCATCTCAAAAAATAAACAAACAAATAAATAAATAAAAGAAATTAAGGTGCTGGCATGCACCTGTAGTCACAGCTACTCAGGAGGCTAAGGTGCGAGGATCACTTGAACCTGGGAGTCAGAGGCTGCAGTGAGCCAAAATTGCGCCACTGCACTCCAGCCAGGTAGAGTCTCTCAAAAAATAAAAATAAAGCCGGGCGCGGTGGCTCACACCTGTAATCCCAGCACTTTGGGAGACCGAGGCGGGTGGATCACCTGAGGTCAGGAGTTTGGGACAAGCCTGGACAACACGGTGAAACCTCGTCTCTACTAAAAATACAAAACAACTGGCCGAGTGCGGTGGCACACGCTTGTAATCCCAGAACTTTGGGAGGCTGAGGCAGGCAGATCACCAGGTCAGGAGATCAAGACCATGCTGGCTGACACACTGAAACCTCACCTCTACTAAAAATACAAAAATTAGCCAGGCGTGGCGGCACGTGCCTGTAGTCCCAGCTACTTGGAAGGCTGAGGCAGGAGAATTGCTTGAACCCAGAAGGCAGAGGCTGCAGTGAGCCGAGATATCGCCACTGCACTCCAGCCTGGGCGACAGAGCAAGGCTCTGTCTCAAAAAAAAAACAAAAAACAAAAAAAACCAGGCGTGGTGGCATGCACCTGTAGTCCCAGCTACTTGGGAGGCTGAGGCAGCAGAATCACTTGAACCCAGAAGGTGAATATGGCAGTGAGTTTAGCCAAGATTGTGCCACTGCACTGAAGCCTGGGCAAGACTCAGACTCCGTCTCAAAAAAAAGGAAGGGAAAGGAAAGGAGAGGGCAGGGCAGGGGAGGGGAAGGGAGGGGAGGGGAGGGGAGTTAATAAAAGTTCAAATACCACAGTGTTATTTTTTACAAATTTACATTAAAAAGCTATAGGCAAAAGGTACAATAAAATTATTTAACATTTGACTCAAGAGCATATATTATCCTAACTTTTGTGGAAAATAGACATTTTCTTTTCAAATAAAAAATAAAGCTTACCCTTAACTGACATCCAACTTTTTCATAAGCTTTGATGAGTCTATTTCTGTGATACATCATTATCCCATAATGATCTTTATTTCTGCAGTTGAATCCAAAGGTAATTCTCACTGTTTTAGACTTAAAATATTAAGGTAAATTTTGAACACAACACCTCACTCAGTTCAAATCATCCTTTCTATTTCATTATTTGGTAAGTCCAAAAGCACACAAAGGAGGGCAAAGCTAGAGCAGACTAGAATCCCTATCAGCATATAAGGGGAAAGGGGCAAAAGAGAATACACCTGACTAACATATCTCTATAAGGAATCAGAAAAAGGATACTAAAAATTTTGGTCGATAAACATCACGTTCGATGTAGGCAAGACTCTTCGAAACCAGCTGTGTCTTCACTTTCTGTCCACGTAGGATGATCTGCATTCTTGGCTTTAGATATAATATACTGCAATAAGCCTGGAAAATAACATAACAAGAAGTTAGTATCTACAGGTTTGCTCACCATTACTTAGACATGGATTTACACAGAAGCTCTCCTATTAACTTGATAAAAGATCAATTAACTCTTCAATAAAATAGGCTATAAAGCTGTATGTTATTCTGATTTGGTTATTTTTCATTAAAAATAAGCTCAATATACCGCAGCCAGTAAAAATGACTTGCAGAATACAATCAACTGATCTATATAGATGCTGATATATTTATTACTAAGTGAAAAAGATTACAAAACAGCACGTATGGTATGATCACATTTTAATTTTAAAAAATGTATATATGTACAAAAAGGTACATTTTCTGATTTTTCTGTCAAGTATGGAGGCGGAGGCTGCAGTGAGCCGAGATCACACCACTGCACTCCAGTGTGGGGGACAGAGGGAGACCCCCCCACCTCAAAAAAAAAAGATTCAACACAAAACTAAAACTTAAAAGCTTCTCCTACTTTTCCTGACTCTTGATTTCAAAAGAAGTGGTGCTTTGCGTCATTTAAAAAACACTGTATTTTGTAGTGTACTAAAACCATACCATCTTCTCTGGCTGCCTCTGAACCTGTTTCATACTTGAATAAGACTTTTTCAACACTAGGAACACATTAGGATACATCAAGGAACAGTAAATATCTGCTATTTACTATTTTAGTAAATAGTAATACTACTATTTACTATTACTATTACTAATAATGTAATTGCTAAGACCTTAGCAAAAATTACATGAAAAATCTGTAAATGACAAATACATCCACAGCTTGGGATTAAAGAATAATATCAACACAAGAAATAAAGCAAAAAGTGGCTAGGCAAGGTGGCTCATTCCTGTAATCCCAGCACTTTGGGAGGCCGAGGCGGGCGGATCACGAGGTCAGGAGTTCAAGAGAAGCCTGGCTAACATAGTGAAACCCTGTCTCTACTAAAAATACAAAAATTAGCCAGGCAGGGTAGTGCATGCTTGTAGTCCTGGCTACTCAGGAGGCTGTGCCAGAAGAATCGCTTGAACCCAGGAGCCGGAGGTTGTGGTGAGCCGAGATCACGCCACTGCACTCCAGCCTAGGCAACAGAGTGAGACTCTGTCTCAAAAAAAAAAAAAAAAAGAAAGCAAAAAGTTAGTATCACATGTCTTATCAAAACAACTAAAAAACTTGATATTGGCCGGGCACGGTGGTTCACACCTGTAATCCCAACACTTTGTGAGGCCGAGGCAGGCAGATCACTGAGGTCGGGAGTTCGAGACCAGTCTGGCCAACATGGTGAAACCTTGTCTCTACTAAAAATGCAAAATTAGCCGGGCATGGTGGCGCATGCCTGTAATCCCAGCTAGTTGGGAGGCTGTGGCAGAAGAATCCCTTGAACCCAGGAGGTGGAGGCTGTGGTGAGCCAAGATCATGCCATTGCACTCCAGCCTGGGCAACAAGAACAAAACTCCGTCTCAAACAAACAAACAAAAAAACCTTGATATTAATTTATCGACATTATTATATCAAGATATTAATTTCTCCAATCTTTTTTTTATTTTTATTTTTTGAGACAGAGTTTCACTCTTGTTGCCCAGGCTGGAGTGTAATGGTGCGGTCTTGGCTCACCACAACCTCTGCCTGCCGGGTTCAAGGGATTCTCCTGCCTCAGCCTCCCAAGCCGCTGGGATCACAGGCTCCCGCAACCGTGCCCAGCTAATTTTTCTATTTTTAGTAGAGACAGGATTTCACCATGTTGGCCAGGCTGGTCTCCAACTCCTGACCTCAGGTGATCCACCCGTCTCTGCCTCACAAAGTGCTGGGATTACATGTGTGAGCCACTGTGCCTAGCCCATTTCTTTTAATCTTAAACAGATACTCATTTTGACCAGGTGCAGAGGCTCACACCTGTAATCCCAGCACTTTGGGAGGCTGAGGCAGGTGGATCACTTGAGACCAAGAGTTTGAGATCAGCCTGGACAACTTGGTGAAACATCGTCTCTACCAAAAATACAAAAAAATAGCCGGGTGTGGTGGCACACGCCTGCAGTCCCAGCTACTCAGGAGGCTGAGGTGGAAGGATTGCTTGGGGCCAGGAGGCAGAGGCTGCAGTGAGCTGAGATCTCACCGCTGCACTCCAGCCTGGGTGAGAGAGTGACACCCAAAGACCTAATCTCCAAAAAGAAAAACAAAAAAACAAAAACCTCATTTCTAAAGGGAAAATCCTAGAGGCATTTATCACAAAATTATATTAATGTACCTTATCTAACTATAGTCTATAATTTATTGCTTTAGGAGGACAATTAAGGTATGTATTCTAGAATACGTTAAATTTTTTGTGTGTGTGTGATGGCGTCTCACTCTGTCACCTAGGCTGGAGTGCAGTGGTACAATCTCCGCTCACTGCAACCTCCGTGAACCGCACTGCCCCACCTGCAGGTTCAAGCGACTCTCCTGCCTCAGCCTCCCGAGTAGCTGGGATTACAGGTGCCTGCCACCGTGCCCAACTAATTTTTGCATTTTTAGTAGAGACGGAGTTCAAGACCATCTTGGCCAGGCTGGTCTTGAACTCCTGACCTTGTGATCCACCCACCTTGGCCTCCCAAAGTGCTGGGATTACAGGTGTGAACCACCGTGCACGGGCAAATACGTTAAAATTTAATAAGACTTTGAATTTGTTGTTTTTTGAATTAGTCTGGCCACCATATACTGACTAATATATTGATTCTAATAAGATAATAATGTCAGCATATAGTAAAAACTACAAGCATTGTTAGGCCTGACGACTTCATAATTTAAAAAGGGTTTCCAAACAAATAAATCAACCAGTGTGCTAATGAAAAGTTTAACTAAATTTGTGTGTGTGTGTGATACAGCCTCACTCTGTTGCCCAGGCTGAGTGGGCCAGGGAAAATCATGTCTGAGATACTTTCATTTAGAGAGCACTGGCAGCCTTTCTATCACAAGCAGGTAACATGACCTCTCCTAATACTACCAGCATTCAATGATTTTCTCACTTCCACAAAGAGAGCTGAATACATACCCTCAGGGAATAGTCACTCTCAGGGGCAATCTGGTCCATCCTTTCCTGCTTCTTGTACCCCTTCTTCCCTGTTATCTCATCTAAATCCTCGGGAATTCTGATATCATATTTATCCTTTTCAAAATCGAACTCTGTTGCATTTTTGTAGCTGTAAAAATAATTTTTAGAAAGAACCAAAATTTAACTTCACAGCAAGATAAGCCAGCAAACACTGTAAGTCATTAAAAAGGTAAGCAAATAAATAAACCTACACATGGTGCACGTCAGTGGGGGGTTGGGGGTGCAAAGGCAAGAGAAAAAGAAAGAAAACGGATCCTGGATGATGTGGAGAAACTGTAACACTCATACACTGCTGGTAGGAAAACACTCAGGAAAACAGTCTGGCATTTCTTAGAAAATAAAATGCAAGTACTATATGATACAGCAATTACACTTCTAGATATTTATTTCAGAAAAATGAAGACTATATTCCCACAAAACTGTGTACACAAATGTTTACAGCTTTATTTGTAATATCCCAAAACTACAAACCTAGATGTCTTGAATAGGTAAACACACTGGGTTCCATACATACAATGAAACACTACTCAGCAAGAAAAAAGTGCAAACTGGCTGGGTGCAGTGGCTCACGCCTGTAATCCTACCACTTTGGGAGGCTGAGGCATGTGGATCACCTGAGGTCAGAAGTTCAAGACCAGCCTGGTCAATATGGCAAAACCCTGTCTCTACTAAAAACACAAAAATCAGCCAGGCATGGTGGCAGGTGCCTATAATCCCAGCCACACGGGAGGATGAGGCAGCAGAATCGCTTGAACCCGGTGGGCGGAGGTTGCAGTGAGCCGAGATGGCGCTATACTTCACTCCACCCTGGGGGAAAGAGCAAAACGCTATCTCAAAAAAAAAAAAAAGAAAGAAAGAAAGAAAAGAAAAGAAAGAAAAAAAAAAGAAAAAGGAAAAGGTGCAAACTATACATACAAGAACCTGGAAAACGCCAGGAGTTATGCTAAGTGAAAAAAGTCAAATCCAAAAGGTTTCCATGTTGTTTATGTAATATTCTTAAAATGGCAAAATTATAGAAATAGAGAACAGATTAGAGGTTGCCACGGATTAAGGAGGGAGTGGGGTTATGAGGGAAGTGGGTATGGCTACAAAAGAGCAACATGAGGGATTCCTGTGATGACTAAAGTGTCCTGCATCTTGACTGTATCAACATCAAAATCCTGTCAATATCAATAGTACTACTGTACTATAGTTTTTTTTTTTTTTTTTGAGACAGAGTCTCGCTCTTTCGCCCAGGCTGGAGTGCAGTGGTGCTATCTCGGCTCACTGCAAGCTCCGCCTCCCTGGTTCACGCCATTCTCCTGCCTCAGCCTCCTTAGTAGCTGGGACTACAGGCGCCCGCCACCGCGCCCAGCTAATTTTTTGTAATTTTAGTAGAGACAGGGTTTCGCCGTGTTAGCCAGGATGGTCTCGATCTCCTGACCTCATGATCCACCCGCCTCAGCCTCCCAAAGTGCTGGGATTACAGGTGTGAGCCAGTGTGCCTGGCTGTACTATAGTTTTGTTAGATGTTACCAGCAGGGGAAACTGAATGAAGTGTACCTAACATCTCTCTATTACTTCTTACAACTACACATGAATCTACAATTACCTCAGAAAGTATAATTGAAAAAATCCTCCAGGAGAAGGAGGGGTAGGGAAGTGAAAGCAAGAAAAACGAATTCAGGTATCAGAATAGCACAAGTTTTTTCAGTTCTTTAGGCTTATCACTACCTGTGCTTTATTCCTGTGATTCAGTATGTCTTAGATCTTTCAGTATTAGACATTAGTCTTAAATTTTAAAATTTATTTGCGAAGGATTTTATCCTCACAAAGATAAAGGATTATAAATTTTAGCAACACAAAAATCTCACCTATATTACTTTTCTCATCAGGTGCTACATCACTTTTAGTTTTAAGTAATGTACACAATGAAGAAAGATTTATCCTCCTGAATTTGTCTTCTCATTGCTTTTTTTCTTTTTTCTTTTTTTTTTTTTTTTTTTGAGAAGACGGGGTGGAATAAATGAGAGAGAATAGAGTGCTAATGGAGACTGAATGGCAGGGATAGAAAAAAATTTTTTTTTTTGGCCGGGTGTGGTGGCTCACGCCTGTAATCCCAGCACTTTGGGAGGCCAAGGCGGGTGGATCACCTGAGGTCAGGAGTTCTAGACCAGCCTGGCCAACATGGTGAAACCCTGTCTCAACTAAAATACAAAAGTTAGCCGGGCATGGTGGCAGGCGACTGTAATCCCAGCTACTCGGGGGACTGAAGCAGGAGAATCGCTTAAACCTAGGAGGCGGAGGCTGCAGTCAGCTGAGATTGCGCCATCGCATTCCAGCCTGGGGAACAAGAGTGAGACTTCGTCTCAAAAAAAAATTTTTTTTAACAAGATGAAAATATCTCAAATTGAAGCTGAAATGGCCTCTATAACATATCCTGGGCAAAGACAAATCAGTAACTACACCAAAAAATGAGTACCTTTCCATGTATTTCTACTGTGTGTAACGAGAGATGAATATAACACCACCACCCTGCACGTGCACTTTACTTCCCAAACGGTCAACATCTATGTCCACGTTTACCTTCTAAGATTCCAAATGATGATCCTCGTCCCCTTCTTGCCTATAATAGCATCAAGTTCTGCCAGTAACTTCTGTTCCGTGGAAAACAGAGAATGTTCCAGAATTGCAGCAAGGCTGGCTTTTGATTCTGCTAAATTAATCATCTGTCGTATATCATAAGTTAAAGACTCAGATTGACAACATAGTTTTCATAATTACAATATGAAAACTAACTCTATAAACTTAAATAACAGAAAAACTATTTATAAATAATTTTCTAAGGTTTTTTTTTTTGTGAGATAGGGTCTCACTATTGCTTAGGCTAGAGTGCAGTAACATGATCAGGGCTAACTGCAGCCTAGCTGGGACCGACCACAGGCACCCACCACCACGACCGGCTAATTTTTAAATTTTTTTTGTAGAGATAGGGTCTCCCTACGTTGCTTGGGCTGGTCTCAAAATTCCGGGCTCAAGCAATCCTTCTGTCTTGGCCTCCCAAAGTGGTGGAATTTCAGGGATCAGCCACCGAGCTCAGCCTATTTTCTAAGTTTTAACATGGCAGTTTGATTTCAAATGAACAAGAAGAAGAATAAAAAATAAGCAGATTATTATTCCTAACTAACTTAATACTTTCTAATATTCCAATGTGTTCATACAAAAGGCATTTTCCTAAAGTTATCCTGCCTTTTGTGGTCACTAGTCAAATTTTCAAGCCAAACCATAAAGTCTTACTAGTCTACAATAACCCTGAAGTAAACAGAAGAGCTATGGGAAGTTTAACATAAAATGTTGAGTATTTCCATAGCAGGATTCCAACAGAGAAGAGAAAGGGACAAACCCTTAGCCTCAGGTGTAGGGTAAATGCAGAGGACAGAGGTAAGAAATGGAATAGGTGTTATTCAAAGGGAATAATCTGGAAGAAGGCAAAAACATAGAATGTTTCCAAATTATTTCTTCAGTTTCTCCACAGCTTTTATTTCACAACCAAAAGGATATGGTGCTTGTTGAATGCCACTATTGGAACAACAACATGCTCCGCTTTTATGACTTCCAAGTAGGTCTGAGACAAAAGGCCCACGCTCATGCTTTCTCCATTTTTGGTAAAAACGATTGCGTCTTTACCCAGACGCATAGAACCCGACTTGAAGCCATTCCCATATAATCCAACTGGGACATGACCATTCATGGTGACTTTGTCACTGAAGCCAAAGCTAAGAAGAAAATAAAGATTTTTAAAAATAAATACCTATAATCAAAAATAAATAAATAAATAAATACCTATAATCTTTTTTTTTAATTCATTAATTGTAATACCAAGTAAAAAGCCTGGGTTCAAATACTGGCCTCACCCTTCCTAGCTGTATAATCTTGGGCAGATTACTTTTTTGTTGTTGTTGATTTTTTATGTATCGGGCAGATTACTTTTAATCTATCTTGACGTGTTTTCCCAGCTCTGAAATAAGGAAACCAAATCTACATCACAGGGGAGAAAAAGGATCACAAGTACTAACATGCAAACTCATCGCTGGCACACCCTGACTAAATAGCTGAGTATAACCCATGCTTCCGGGACTGTGAGATTTCACCCCATGAATCTCTTCCTCTAAAAGTTACTCCCAACAAAGTGGTAGGTTTTATTACAAACAATGGTTAAACCTAATTTACACTAAAGTTATCAGTAATTGATATAAATATACTACAACTCTAAAGGAATGGTGGACTTTTAGGGAGTTGGAAGTAGGGTGGGGTAGGTGATGACAGTGGTGAAGACTGACTCATCATCTACCAGTAGTAGAAAATCATGCTTAGAGAACAGCTCACACTGTACATACAGCATTTCATTTCAAAAAACAAAAACCAAGAATAGTAAGTATGGCATGGAAAACCCTTTAGGTAAAAGCAACAATTTTAAGAAGTGTGGCACATTTTTACCTACCTTAGCATTTTATGTAATTTATCAGAAGTCATACCATTCCCATTGTCGGTGAATGTCAAGCATATATGGTCATTTATCACTGTTTTGTCAATCCATATTTGTTTAGCGTTCACATCAGGATCATAAGCATTATCTGGGAAACACAAGTTTGAAGAAATTCTGATTTTACACTTTAAAAAGAGCAATTAGTTCAGAACAATCCTGTAAGAAGCAATAGAAGACTATGTTTTAAGACAACTTTAAAAGCTGCAATTTTTAGCAGCTTTAAAATTTAAAGATTTTAAACATGAAAATAAGATTTAAAAACATGAAAATAAACTGCATCCTGGTATATATTAATCGACTATTATAGAATTAACACCCTCCATGTTAAAGAGACAGCAAAGACTGGTACCCAGCACACCAAAGAAGTACAAAGGAAGAAAAATCACTACACTGCAGAGATGATTAAAAGATGGACTAAGTCTGCATGTGGTGGCTCACGCCTGTAATCCCAGCACTTTGGGAGGCTGAGGCGGGCAGATCACCTGAGGTCAGGAGTTTGAGATCAGCCTGGCCAACATGGTGAAACCCCATCTCTACTAAAAAATACAAAAATCCGCCAGGCATGGTGGCACATGCCTATAGTCCCAGCTAATCCAGAGGCTAAGACAGGAGAATCGCTCGAGCCTGGGAGGCAGAGGTTGCAGTGAGCGGAGATCGTGCCACTGCACTCTAGCCTGGGCAACACAGCAAGACTCTGTCTCCAAAAACAAAAACAAAAACAAAAACAAAAAAGCTGACCATGGTGACTTACGCCTGTAATCCCAGCACTCTGGGAGGCTGAGGTGGGCAGATCACCTGAGGTCAGGAGTTTGAGACCAGCCTGGCCGACAGGGTGAAATCCCATCTGTATTAAAAAAAAAAAAAAAAAATTAGCCAGGCATGGTGGCGGGCACCTATAATCCCAGCTACTCAGGAGGCTGAGGCAGGAGAATTGCTTGAACCCAGGAGGCGGAGGTTGCAATGAGCTGAGATAGCGCCATTGCACTCGAGCCTGGGCAACAAGAGCGAGACTCCGTCTCAAAAATGGAAAAAAAAGAAAAAAAGAGAGAGACTAACCTGGCTATTGTAGGGGAAAGAGATCTGAGTGTCAATGGAAGGTACACAATAATCAATAAATAAATGAAAAGGCAGCAACATTTTCTGCTAAGTTACATACAAGGATGGAAGATTTACTTTCTACTATTTCTTTAAATTGTGATCCTTTTCAGTTTAACCAAGTTAAACCAAGTTTCTGGTGGCTTTTACATTTTTATTTCTGTATACTTCTCCATTTAACATCCTTGTTTAGCATACTCATTTCTCTCAGAATAGGTGTAGGAAGAAATACGTTTAAAAATGAAAAATAGGGCTGGGCGCAGCGGCTCATGCCTGTAATCCCAGCAGTTTGGGAGGCAGAGGTGGGTGGATCACCTGAGGTCAGGAGTTCGAGACAAGCCTGACCAATATGGTGAAACCCTGTCTCTACTAAAAATACAAAAATTAGCCAGGAGCGGTGGCATGTGCCTGTAGTCCCAGCTACTCGGGAGGCTGAGGGACAAGTGCTTGAACCCAGGAGGTAGAGGAGGTTGCAGTGAGCCGAGACTGTGCCACTGCACTCCAGCCTGGGTGACAGAGCGAGACTCTGCCTCAAAAAAAAAAAAAAAAAAAAAAATTCCTTCTTTTTCTTTTATCTTCCATCTATGATAGAACCCTTCCTTGATAAAGATTCTAAAATATATCTAAGAATTCCTAAGAATACAATTTCCCTTTATTATCTGTTTCTTAAACATATGCCTAAATTTTTCAATTAGGCTTATGTTTGTGTGCATGAATTTTTCTTTTCTTTTTCTTTTCCTTTTTTCTGGAGACAGGGTCTCACTGTAGCCCAGGCTGGAGGAAGACTCACTCTGCTGCAGCCTTGACTTCCCTGGCTCGAGTGATCCTCCCACCTCAGACTCCCGAGTCACTAGGACTACAGGTGTGCACCACCACCCTGGCGAATTTTTGTATTTTTTGTAGAGATGGGGTCCCACTATGTTTCTCAGGGTGGGCCCCAACTCCTGGGCTCATGTGATCCTCCTGCCTCAGCCTCCCAAAGTGTTGGGATTACAGGTGTGAACAACTGTGTGCCCAGCCTATGCATGAATTTTTCCCAAGAAAAAAATCATGACCCATAAATGCAAATCAGACCGCAACCTTGCCGCTTTCTCACGTTCATTGAAATGCTGTTAAAATACAATCCTAAACCTTAAACTTCCCATTTATTGAAAGAAGCAAGAACTTATTACATATCTAACACAATACCAATCCTCCTATTGATACCAGAAAAATGAATCCATGCTGTATGTTACACATACTTTTGTACTACTAATAAACATAATTCTGCCAGTCACTGTGGTGCACACTTGTCATCCCAGATACTCCTGAGGCTGAGGTGGGAGGATCGCCTGAGCCCAGGAGTTTGAGACCAGCCTGGACAACATGGTGAGACCTCATCTCAAAATAAGCAAACAAATTCCCCATAATTCTCACTGTTTACTTTTATAATAAAAATAAAAATATTTTCAATATAAACACTTCAGGAACTTAGCAAAGTAAATCCTAAACACTATGAAATACTTGGGTAGTATTAAAGAGAAAGCTGAACAGTGACTAATCTGACATCCATGTGAATAGCTGTTATGCTATGCAATTTTTATCATTAATGTTATCATTCAAGGTATCTGTTTTTTTTCTTGCTTTGTCGCCTGCCCAGGCTGGAATGCAATGGCACAATCACGGCTCATTGCAGCCTCAACTTCCCGGTCTCACGTGATCCTCCCACCTCAGCCTCCTGAGTAGCCGGGACCACAGGCCTGCACCACCATACCCAGCTGATTTTTAAAATATTTTTGTAGGCCGGGTGCGGTGGCTCACACCTGTAATCCCAGCACTTTGGGAGGCTGAGGCAGGCGGATCACGAGGTCAGGAGATCGAGACCATCCTGGCTAACACAGTGAAACCCCGTCTCTACTAAAAAAAAATACAAAAAAATTAGCTGGTCGTGGTGGCAGGTGCCTGTAGTCCCAGCTACTCAGGAGGCTGAGGCAGGAGAATAGCGTGTACCCAGGAGGCAGAGCTTGCAGTGAGCCGAGACTGCGCCACTGCACTCCAGCCTGGGCGACAGAGAGAGACTCTGTTTAAAAAAAAAAAACAAAACAAAACAAAAAAAAAAACACTACAATTGTAAGCAACAAATGGTATATGAAATGTCAAACTACATACCTATTAATTCAGCAACTGCACTGAATGGCCAGGTGTGACTAGTAGAATTTGTATGTAAAAACTTCGGGCAAAGCTGAAACAAACAAAAGGTCCATGTAAATTAATTCAGGTCTTACTTTTGAAAATAAAAACCAGTATTTTTATCCCTGTGTTAAACAACATTGAGACCAAACAAAAGTGACTTAGCTGCTTGCTCCAGGATACATCTGGAAGATACAATCTAGAATATACGATTCTTGGAAGATAACACTGGGAACCAACTAAACAGCTTACTCACCAAGACTTGGTTCAAAACCCTTGCCCTCTTTATGTCTACAATGTCATAACTGTCCAATCCCAAATAGGGACATACCTTGCCAAGACCTACCTTAAAATGATCCAGCCAAGGCCCTAAAATCCTATAAACACCATTTCCTAATTTCTCTATTCTGAGACACAACTAAGACTTTGTCAAGGAGGCACTTTCTCCTACGTGTATCAGGCCTAATAAACTTAACTGTGCTTGATCACTAAGTTTTTCTGGCACTGTGACTTCATTATTTACTCCAAGTTCATTATAGCTGAACTTGTAGCAGTGTAGTAGTATACATCTACAAACTCTTCAAAGAATTCAAATAAGAGTTACAATTGTTGGCCGGGCGCAGTGGCTCATGCCTGTAATCCCACCACTTTGGGAGGCCGAGGCGGGCAGATCACGAGGTCAGGAGATCGAGACCATCCTGGCTAACATGGTGAAACCCGTCTCTACTAAAAATACAAAAAAAGTACCTGGGCGTGGTGATGGGCGCCTGTAGTCCCAGCTACTCGGGAGGCTGAGGCAGGAGAATGGCATGAACCTAGGAGATGGAGCTTGCAGTGAGCCAAGATCGTGCCACTGCACTCCAGCCTGGGCAACAGAGCGAGACTCCATCTCAAAAAAAAAAAAAAAGAAAGAGTTCCAATTGTTAAACTAAACTAAACTTGGCCTGAGGATGCCTCCATACTCGAGTCAGTACATAAGGAACTACAACCTAATAGTATGAAAACTAACTGTACAAATTCTTCTAACTTAGGGCAATTTGTACTCCAGTAACAAACAGCTGAGTCTCAGTCAACTACAGAATCCCATCTTCGGTCAATCACAGGTCACCAGCTGATTTAAATAAGGCAAAATGCCAAGCTGCAACCAATTAAACTATTTCTGTATCTCACTTTTGTTTTGTCCATAAATATTGCCTGATCACGTTGCAGGCCAGAGTGCTTAGAACCTGTTCCGGTTCTGAAGCCTGTCCTATTTTTTTTCTGAGACAGAATCACACTCTGTCACCTAGGCTGTAACGCAGTGGCACAATTTCGGCTGACTGCAACCTCCGCCTCCTGGGTTCAAGCGGTTCTCCTGCCTCAGACTCCCGAGTTGCTGGGATTACAGGTGCGCACCACCACACATGGCTAATTTTTTGTATTTTTAGTAGATAAGGGGTTTCGCCATGTTGACCAGGCTGGTCTCAAACTCCTGGCCTCAAGTGATTCACCCTCTTCAGCCTCCCAAAGTGCTGGGATTACAGGTGTAAGCCACCACACCCAGCCTCTTATTTTTTTCAGAGATAGTCTCTCTCTGCTGCCCAGGCTGCAGTGCAGTAGTGCAATCATAGCTCACTGCAGCCTTGAACTCCTGAGTTCAAGTGATTCTCCTCCCTCAGCCTCCCGAGTAGCTGGGACCACAGGCATGGACCACTATGCCTGGCTAATTTTATACTTTTTTGTAGAGACAGGAGTCTCACTGTGTTGCCCAGGCTGGTCTCCAACTCCCAGCCTCAAGTGATCCTCCCACATTGGCCTCCCAAAGTGCTGGGATTGCAGGAGTGGGCCACTATGCCCAATGTGCCCAATTCTTGAATCATTCTTTGCTCAATAAAACTTTAACTTGTCTAAGGTTTTTCGTTTGAACGCAATGCAACAAATTTGCATTGCATCTTAATTCCCAAGGCTTTTATGCCTGATTTTACTCACAATTCATTATGGAAGAATATGCCAGTCAACCTCATGCTATTGGGAACTCTCTTAAGTTCCTGAGTAGTGGTACGTACCAAATGTATAAAAACACACAAGTAGTTTTTTTGTTTGTTTTTTGTTTTTTTGAGATGGAGTCTCGCTCTGCTGCCCAGGCTGGAGTGCAGTGGCGCCATCTCAGCTCACTGCAAGCTCCGCCCGCCGGGTTTACTTACACCATTCTCCTGCCTCAGCCTCCCGAGTAGCTGGGACTACAGGTGCCCACCACCATGCCCAGCTAATTTTTTGTATTTTTAGTAGAGACGGGGTTTCACCGTGTTAGGCAGGATGGTCTCAATCTCCTGACCTCGTGATCTGCCTACCTCAGCCTCCCAAAGTGCTGGGATTACAGGCATGAGCCACCGTGCCTGGCCAAAAACACACAAGTAGTTTTAAAAGGCAGAGCCTTAAAAATTTCAGTATGCAGAGAATTTTCATGCAATTTTTTTGTTCATTCTGAACAGATTCTCTCCTAATAAGGGGAAAAAAGGTGGAAAGCACTTTGCAGTGTGAAGAGCCCTAAAAATATGATTAGACTGTAGATCAAGCCAACCACATCTGTAGTGCTCACGTGCTGCCACAAGGTGTCAGAAAGGTCTACTTCTCCTCTGTCCACACTTGCTTCTGGACAATTCCAAAACCTTCATTTACCATTAAGTTGAAGCACACAAGTGAGAAACAGTATCCTGAAGAAGACTGTTCAAACTGGTATATATGCAATTTAGACTTGCTCTGGCAGACATCACATAATACAGCATACATCCGTGAAATATGGAGTATAGGTAACTCAAGACTTTCTAAAGCACACATCACAAACAGTTCTTAATGAAACTAAATTTCTAGCTCTTCATCTTGCACAAGAAGTCTTTTTTCAAAAGTGAGCCATCAGGAAAACTTTCCTGTCCCACCTTCTCCCCTGTACAAATATCATTCTACCACTGATAAAAGAATGATACACTCCTCCCCCACTCTACATCTTAACCATGGGACATGGCCTTGGGGTGTAAAACCTCTGGCTACTGTCGACTAAAAAGAGTCAAAGTTTGTAAAATATTTGAAGATGTTTATTCTGAGCCAAATATGAGTGACCATGGCCCATGACACAGCCCTCAGGTGGTCCTGAGAACATGTGCCTGAGGTGGTCGGGGAGCAGCCTGGTTTTATATATTTTAGGGTGGTATGAGGTATCAATGAAATACATTTAAGATGTACATTGGTTTGTTTCAGAAAGGCGAGACAAGTCAAAGCGGGGACTTCCAGGCTATAGGTAAATTTATACATTTTCTGGTTAAGATTGGTTGAGTTTGTCTAAGGACCTGGGATCAACAGAGAGGAAATGTTTGGGTTAAGACAAGGATTGTGGAGACCAAAGTTTTACTACGCAGAGGAAGCTCTTAGCTAGCAGGCATAAGACAGAAGAGGCTGTAAAATGTTTTCTTATGAGACTGAAAAGGGTGCCTGACTCTTAATTGATTATCTCCTGGATCTGGAAAGAAAAAAAAAAGGGAATGGCCAGGTGCGGTGGCTCAGGACGGGTCTGGTGGCTCACACCTGTAATCCCAGCGCTTTGGGAGGCCAAGGCTGGTGGATCACCCAAGGTCAGCAGTTTGAGACCAGCCTGACCAACATGATAAAACCCCATCTTTACTAAAAATGCAAAATTAGCTGGGCCTGGTGGCTCATGCCTGTAATCTCACCTACTTGGGAGGTTGAGGCAGGAGAGTTGCTTGAACTCAGGAGGCGGAGGTTACAGTGAGCTGAGATCAGGTCATTGCACTCCAATCTGGGCAACAAGAGCGAAACTCCGTCTCAAAAACAAAAACAAAAAAAAACAAAAAAAGAAAAGAAAAAAGGGAAAAGAGGATTCTCTACACAATGTACATTTTTTTCCACAAGAGACAAACTTTGCAAGGCAATTTCAAGATATGACAAGGAAATCTATTTAGAATTATTTTTATTTCTTTCCTTGTTATGTGATGTTACGCCAGAGCAGTATAATGAAGCAGGTCTGACCCCAACTTCCTGTCATGGCCTGAACTAGTCTTTCAGATTAAATGTTAAGAGTGCCCTGGCTGAGAAGGAAGTCCATTAAAATGGTTGGAAGAGCCTTAGAATTTTATTTTTGGTTTATACTACCAAACAAGGAGAAATTAGTCAACTACTATAAACCCTTAGTCTCCTGTACTTCTGACAGACCAACCATAAATTGGGCATTCACATGATTCCCCTCATGTTTGATAATGTGCTATAATGCTCACAAAACCCAAAAAAAACACTGATTCATTGTAAAGCAAGCCTGTCCAACCCTCAGCCCCCATGGGATGCATGTGGCCCAGGACAGCTTTGAATGCAGCCCAACACAAATTTGTAAACTTTCTTTTTTTTTTTTTGTTTTTGAGATGGAGTCTCGCTCTGTTGCCCAGGCTGGAGTGCAATGACATAATCTCGGCTCACTGCAACCTCTGCCTCCCGGGTTCAAGCGATTCTCCTGCCACAGCTTCCCAAGTAGCTGAGATTACAGGCAACTGCCACCACGCCCAGCTAATTTTTTTGTATTTTTGGTAGAGACATGATTTCACCATGCTGGCCACGCTGGTCTCGAACTGCCGACCTCAGGCGATCCGCCCACCTCGGCCTCCCAAAGTGCTGGGATTACAGGCATGAGCCACCCTGCCCGGCCTGTAAACTTTCTTAAAACGTTATGAAGTTTCTTTCGTGATTTTTTTTGTTGTTGTTGTAGTTCATCAGCTATCGTTACAATTTCTTTTTCTTTTTTTTTTTTTTACCTCATCAGCTATCGTTAGTATATTTTATGTGTGTGTGGCCCAAGACAATTCTTCTTCCAATGTGGCCCAAGACAATTCTTCCAATGTGGCCCAGGGAAGCTAAAAGATACAATGTAAAGGATATTACAGACTGGGCCCAGTGGCTCACACCTGTAATCCCAGCACTTTGGGAGGCTGAGGCAAGTGGATCACCAGAGGTCAGGAGTACAAGACCAGCCTCGTTGACATGGTGAAACCCTGTCTCTATTAAAAATACAAAAAATTGGCCAGGCGCGGTGGCTCATGCCTGTAATCCCACCACTTTGGGAAGCCGAGGTGAGTAGGTCAACTGAGGTTAGGAGTTCAAGACCAGCCTGGCCAACATGGCGAAACCTTGTCTCTACTAAAAATACAAAAAATATCCAGGCGTGGTGGTGCGCGCCTGTGTCCCAGCTACTGGGGAGGCTGAAGCGGGAGAATCACTTGAACCCAGTAGGTGGAGACTGCGATGGCGCCACTGCACTCCAGCCTGGGCGACAGAGGGAGCATGAACTAAGGTGTGGTTAAAAAAAAAAAAAAAAAAGGCGGGGGGGGGCTTATTATTATAAATAACAAAAGATGTTCCACTCATAGTTATCAGGAAATACCAAAGATTTCAGGAACTCCAGTGCCAAGAACCAGGACAAAGAACAAATATACATTTTTGATCATATCAAATGTATGTAAATGTGAAATAAAAAATATAGGACAGCTGGGCGTGGTGGCTCACACCTATAATCCCAGGACTTTGGGAGGCCGCGGCAGGTGGATCATTTGACGTCAGGTGTTTGAGACCAGCCTGGCCAACATGGTGAAACCCCGTCTCTACTAAAAATACAAAAATTAGCTAGACCTGGTGGCACACACCTGTAATCCCAGCTACTTGGGTGGCTGAGGCATGGCAATCACTTGAACCCAGGAGGCAGAGGTTGCAGTGAGCCAAGATCATGCCACTGCACTCCAGACTGGGCAACAGAACAAGACTCTGTCTCAGAAAAAAAAAAACAAAAAAGGAGGCCACTGTTTTGGACTAAGCTCCTGCTCTAGGCCTCCAAAAACAGACTAAAAATCAAAATGGAGTCACCCATGCTAAAATTTCAGTCACCAAACTGAAACTAAGTTGTTATCTGACCTTCAGCGAAATCAAGGGAGATAACAGCCAATTTACCGAACAGGTCAGTTTCAGTCATCAACTGGTATGACAGATAATAAGTTCCCTCCATTTTGTTGTTTTACAACAAAAAGTAACCTAATGTCAGTCAGTTATTTATCTATTGTTTTTAACTTTGAAATGACGTATCTGCTTTTTGTTCTTTGTTTCTGCTTTCTTTCGGCCTTTTTCTGTCTACAAAGCCAGCCTCCTCTGTTCAGTTCACTAGAACACTTACTGTATTTTATGGAAGAAGTGTTGCCCAATTCCAGAATAGGAAATAAAGGCCAAGCACGGTGGTTCACTCCTGTAATCCCAGCACTTTGGGAGGCTGAGGCGGGCAGAACACTTGAGGTTAGGAGACGAGCCTGGCCAACATGGCAAAACCCCGTCTCTACCAAAAGCCAAAAAAATTAGCCAGGTGTGGTGGTGAGCGCCTGTAATCCCAGCTACTCAGGAGGCTGTGGCAGGAGAATTGCTTGAACATGGGAGGAAGAGGTTGCAGTGAGCTGAGAGATCTCACCACTACACTCCAGCCTGGGAGTGTCTGTCTCAAAAAAAAAAAAAAAAAAAAAAAAAAAGAAATAAAGCCAATTAATATCTTTAAATTTAAATTTGAGGCCAGGCGCGCTGGCTCACGCCTGCTGTAACCCCCGCACTTTGGGAGGCTGAGGTGGGCGGATCACCTGAGGTCAAGAGTTCAAGACCAGCCTGGGCAACATGGCAAAACCCGTCTCTACTAAAAATACGAAAATTAGCCGGGCGTGGTGGCAGGTGCCTGTAAACCCAGCTACTAGGGAGGCTGAGGCACAAGAATCGCTTAAACCCGGGAAGCAGAGGTTGCAGTGAGCCGAGATCGCACCAATGCACTCCAGCCTAGGCGACAGAGCGAGACTCGGTCTCAAAAAAAAAAAAAAATCTTTAAATTTATAATGTTGTCTTCTGACATACAATAAAATATTCACCTTAAGCAAACAAGGAAATCCTAACGCACACTACAACATGGATGAACCGTGAAGACATTAATGAATAAGGCAGTCACAAGTCAAATATTGTATAATTCCACTGATAGGAGTACAGCAGTCTCCCCTTATTCTCAGAGAATGCATCTCAAGACCCTCAGTGGATTCCTAAAACTGCAGTATACATATGTATGATAAAGTTCAACTTATAAATAAGGCACAGTAAGAAATAAACATTTTATTATTTATTTATATAGAGATGGAGTCTTGCTCTGTTGTCCAGGCTGGAGTGCGGTGGTGTGGCTCACTGCAACTTTCACCTTCAGGTTCAAGCGATTCTCCTGCCTCAGCCTCTGGAGTAGCTGGGACCACGGTTGTGTGTCACCATGCCCGGCTAATTTTTTTTTATTTTTGGTAAAGATGGGGTTTCACCATGTTGGCCAGGCTGGTCTCAAACTCCTGATCTCAAGTGATCTGCCCGCCTTAGCCTCCCAAAGTGCTGGGATTACAGGCATGAGCCACCGAGCCTGGCCAAATTAACAATAATTTATTCTATTTTTTTTGTTTGAGAATAAGTTTCACTCTTGTTGCCCAGGCTAGAGTGCAATGGCGCGATCTCAGCTCACTGCAACCTCCACCTCCCGGGTTCAAGCGATTCTCCCGCCTCAGCCTCCCAAGTAGCTGGGATTACAGGCACCCACCACCATGCCCAAATAATTTTTGTATTTTTAGTAGAGACTGGGTTTCACCATGTTGGCCAGGCTGGTCTCGAACTCCTGACCTCAAGTGATCCCCCTGCCTCGGCCTCCCAAAGTGCTGAGGCGTGAGCCACTGCGCCCAAATTAACAATAATTTAATAATAAAATAGAATGATACAACAACAGCAAATCTGATAACCACAGCTACTAAGTGACTAATAGGTTGGCATCATATATCCACAGTGTGGATACACTGGACAAAGGGATGATTCACATTCCAGGTGCTACTCAGATGGGGGCACAGTTTAGAATTTATGAACTATTTCTACAATTTTCCATTTAATACTTTCAGACCATGGTTGACTTTGGGTAATTAAAACCGAAGAAAGCAAAACTGCAGATAAGGGGGGACTACCGTAGTCAAATTCCTAGACAGAAAGTAGAATAGTGTTTGTCAGGTGCTGGAGAAGTTACTATTTAACGGGAACAGGGTTTTAGTTTCCCAACAAGAAGAGTTCTGGAGACTGGTTATTACACAACCATGTGAATGTACTTAGCACTACTGAATTGAAACTTTAAAATGGTTAGCATAAATTGTTTGCTACATGTGTTTTATTACAATAATAAACAAATAATCAAACAAACAGCAAGTCAGCAAACTGAACAATGTGATACGCCTTTCTTCCTTTCATGCCAATTTCCAAGAGCTAGCAGCCAGAATTATGCCATGGCAGGAGACCAGACGTAGAATTCCTCCTTGGGAAGCTGATTTCTCAAAGTTCTATTTGGTTCTTAGCAATTCCGCCTGGCTTTTCTGGATAGCATCTTGTTTTTGTTGTTCTCGTTTTTTAAAATTACTTTTTAAAATTTTCAGTTTTTAAAAATATACTTATGGTCCAACAGTTCCCATTTTTTATGGTCTACAAATACCAACATAGAGCACCCCCAACAAAATGACTCCTTCCTATGTGATCACCCAACAGTGAAGCCCACCAAAGGACTAGCTCTATTCATGTATGAAAATTTTGCAGTCAGCTTTAAGTGTCTCACTTAAAAATGTGAGAAGGCTGCCAGGCGCGGTGGCTCACGCCTGTAATCCCAGCACTTTGGGAGGCCGAGGCGGGTGGATCAGTTGAGGTCAGGAGTTCAAGATCAGCCAGGCCAACATGGTAAAACACCATCTCTATTAAAAACACAAAAAATTAGCCAGGCATGGTGGCGCATGCCTGTAATCCCAGCTACTTGGGAGGCTGAGGCAGGAGAACTGCTTGAACCTGGGAAGTGGAGATTGCAGTGAGCTGAGATCATGCCACTGCACTCCAGCCTGGGCAACAAGAGTGAAACTCCCGGCTCAAAAAAAAAAAAAAAAATGAGAAGGCTGTTTCCAGACATTTGAGAGTGTTTAAAATTAGAAACCAAAAACAATACACAGTAAAAGAAACATGAAGAAAATAGAGATAATGCAGTGAGCAAAACAAAACTTCAAAAATACTACGGTTAGGCCAGGCATGGTGGCTCACGCCTGTAATCCCAGCACTTTGGGAGGCCGAGGCAGGCAGATCACGAGGTCAGGAGATCAAGACCATCCTGGCTAACACGGTGAAACCCCGTCTCTACTAAAAATACAAAAAATTAACCAGGCAACGTGGCAGGTGCTTGTAGTCCCAGCTACTCGGGAGGCTGAGGCAGGAGAATGGCGTGAACCTGGGAGGCGGAGCTTGCAGTGAGCCGAGATCGCGCCACTGCACTCCAGCCTGGACGACAGAGCGAGAAGACTCCATCTCAAAAAAAAAAAAAACTACAGTTAATGTATCTAGCAATAAGAATGAACATTTTGTCCAGGGAGAATTCAAAAAGACATTCAAAAGCTAAGACATTGCTTGTAACAATTAAAACTATGGTGGCCGGGCTCGGTGCCTCATGCCTGTCATCCCAGCACTTTGGGAGGCCAGGGCGGGCAGATTACCTGAGGTCGGAAGTTCAAGACCAGCCTGACCAACATGGAGAAACCCCATCTCTACTAAAAATACAAAATCAGCCAGACGTGGTGGCGCATGCCTGCAATCCCAGCTACTCGGGAGGCTGAGGCGGGAGAATCGCTTGAACCCGGGAGGCAGGGGTTGCGGTGAGCCGAGATCACGCCCTTGCACTCCAGTCTGGGCAACAAGAGCGAAACTCCGTCTCTAAAAAAAAAAAACACTATGGTAAGAGCAAGGTAGGAGATAAGTAGAGGAAATCCCCCAAGAGGAAAAACAATAAGACAGTAAATAAAAAAAGAGAAAAATGGTGCGAAGAAAATTGTCAAAATAAGTAAGAACATTTTCCAGATGTTAAGGACTTGAGCTTCCAGGCTAAGTGCCCAATAAAATGCAGAGGCTCTATTAAACAATCAAGCACGTCTTTAAAATTCGGAAAGAATTTCCAATCCAGAATGCAAATCCAGCCAAATTATAATTAAAGAAAGAGCAAGGGTAGCATGAATGTATTTTCAAGAAATGATGAAATTTTTTTCTTCCCATGAACCCTTTTTTCAGGAAGCTACACCTGTTTCTGGAAGTGGTGTTATTGTTAGTGGTGGATATTCTCCACCACTAACAATAACAAAAACAGCAAACATTATTGTGCACCTACGGCACGCACAGCCCTTTTATTTATCTATCTGCTCATGTAATTTTTAAAACAACACTTTGAGGTGTGTAAGATTATTATTGCCAACATTCAGATTGGAAACTCTGGCACAAAGAGGTTAAATGACTTGGCCAAGGACATACATCTGGTTATGAGTCAGGATTTGAACCCGAGAGAGTAGGCTTCAGAATGGCAGTCACTAAGCTACATATCAGACAGAAGGATATGTGAGATGGAGACACATGAAAAGAGGAAGGAAATTTCCAGACAGATGTTAAAGGGAAGTCCCCAAATTACGACTGAGCCGATGACTCCCAACTGACTTCCAAATGACAAAACACTGGGTGTGTCTGAATCCATCTGGAAAAGAGCTCCCAGTTCTCTGGATGTCTGGATGATCAGTACAGAGAAAAACTAAGAAAACAAAATATAAATCAATTAACTTCAGGGAAAACAAAAGGTTTGTATAGGAAAGAAAATGCAATCATACTACCCTGGCTAGCTCATTTGTAAGAGTAATAACAAACCATATAGTAATTCAACCAAAAAAAGTGAAAAAAGCATTGAAGTATGGGAGGTGGTGAAGAGTGTGCATCAGCTAAATCCACAGCAGCATTTCTGAAAAAAAAAATCAACAACAAAAACCAAAGTATATGCATTTCATTTCACTAGAATTACAGGGGTAAAAAGCAAAAAATTTAAAAACTTTTTGTCACTCTGCATTTCATCCTGGGATCTCCGACCTCCTAAATGACTGTTTAAAATGTGTATACATTGGGCCGGGCACAGTGGCTCAGGCCTGTAATCGCAGTGCTTTAGGAGGCCAAGGCAGGAGGATCACCTGAGGTTGGGAATTTGAGACCAGCCTGGCCAACATGGTGAAACTCTATATATACTAAAAATACCAAAATTAGCCGGGTGTGGTGGCCCACGCGTGTAAACCCAGCTACTCGGGAGGCTGAGGCAGAAGAAGTGCTTGAATCCGGGAGGTGGAGGCTGCAGTGAGCCGAGATCGTGCCACTGCACTCCAGCCTGGAGACTGAGTGAAACTCTACCTCAAAAAAATAAAATAAAATAAAAAAGTGTATACACTAAGGGTTCACCCTTTGTGCCTTAAAATGTAGGACTTTTGACAAATACATAAGCTCATTAATTTTTATCTCTTAACGCATGCATTTGAAAACTATAAGCAAATAATGTTTCTGGCTATATTCCAATAAAATTTTATGGAAACTGAAATTTGTATTTCGCATAATTTTTATGTCACTAAACATTCTTCTTTTTTTCTCAACCATTTACAAATGTATAAATCACTCTTAGCCTTCAGGCCACACAAAAACAGGTGCTGGGCTGGATTTGGCCCATGAGCTGTATGTAGTTTGCCAACTCCTGACCTAAAGCAAAAGCAAAGAGGCTGCAGATGGGAGATTTCTGTCAGTCAGGTTCCCAACAGCCCATATTACCCACAAAACAAAGACCCAGCACATGGACAGCAGCTACACCCAGAGTGCCCGCTAACAATGCTGGTCTCTAAACACTGACCATTATCTCTGCTTCCTTTCTCCCCTCAATCTTGAAGAGCCAGAGTCTACAAGGGCCTGGGGGCGGGAAGGGAGAAGAGAATCAAAGGACAGAAACAGGAAATCAACTCACTCCGTTTCTCCACTACAGGTTTCTGGGCCTGAACAAGACTCAACCTCGAGAGAGGAAGGAGAGAGAAGTGGGGAAAGGAGATAGGGGAAAGAGAGGGGGAAAAGGGAGGGAGAGAGAATAGAGATTTTAAACTAGGTAAGGCCAGACTTTACAATACCTTAAGCTAATGGGAAAGCGTTAGTCAACCCAGATTCACACAAGTGGGGAATAATTAATGTTTACACTCAGTGGTTAAAAAAAAAAAAAAGAAAAAAAGAATAAAATTGTCCTCTATTTTCAAACTACTAAAGCCTAGCTCACTCAATAAGCTAGTTACATAACGAAAGGATGGACCTTTATCCAGAATACGTAAAGAACTCTTACAAATCAATAAAGATCCTCCCAAAAGAAAAACAGAAAATGGTCAAAGGATATGAATAGGCAATTCAAAAAAACAAAACAAAAAACCACAAAGACTAATACATGCGAAGAGCTCAACAACACAAACAGTCAAGGAAACGCAAGTAAAAGCAAATATCATTTCACAAATATCGGACTAGAAAAAATTTAAAGTCCGTCAAAACCAGGTGTTAGAATCTGCCTAAACGAATGAAAGTCCCAGAGCAATGCACCAATTATTCACTACGTGTTTGTACCCCAAGGAGTCACTACCCATTCGAATGTTAAAATTAGTGGCACTAGGGCAGTCATTCTTTGGCAAAAGTCAACAACCTCCAGAAAAGAGGAACATTTCAGCATAACATCAACTGCGCTCACAAGGTAGAAAAGTTTTTTAGGATAATCAGGTGGGGAAGCCACGCCCACATTTCCTGGACGTGAGATTTCAAGTTATCTTGTGTGACCGCTCCCTACGATTTAAGATACAAGAAATGTTCACAGGGTTTCCAAGAACTCGAAACGCCCCAAAACAGACGCAACGCGGGATAAAGAGGAGAGCTCGAGCTCAGCGATCTAGGGTCTGGGCCCCAAGGCTTCCACTGCCAAGGAAGCTGCAGGCACTGACAGGCATCAGGCACACTCATCCTGACTCCACTCGCCCGCAGGCAGGCCCGCAGCCCCGTCCCCCCGCCCCCGGGACGTCGAGGCCGCCGGCGTTTCTGGACGCGGAACCCGCTCCCTCCCACCACGACGCCCAGCGGACAGAAGAGGGTCAGGGGCCCCGCGGCCCCGAGAGCAGACCGATCTCCCGCCGAGGCCTCGCCCGCGGACGACAGCTGCTGGGAGACTAGGAGGGAGCTGGGAGGAGGAGCCGCGACCCTGGCCCGCCCCGAAGCAAAACAGAAACACAATGCAGAGGCGACGGAACGCAGCCCGGCCCGCAGCCGAGCTGTTCCGCCGACGGGAGCGAGATGGCCGCCCCCTCCCCGGGCCCCGCCGCAGCCCCCGCCGCCGCGTCGGCCCCACAAGCCGCCACCGCCCACTGCCGGCCCCCCTTCGCTTGCCCGCCCGCCCTCCTGGGACACGGCCCGCTCCACCCCTCGCGGCTGCTCACCGCGCTGAGGCGTATCCCGCGGGGTGGCTGCGCCGCCATCTTGAGCGAGCTACAAAGCCAGGAACGGCCTCCGCCGCAACCCGACTGGGAGGTGGCGGAACGACTGTGGAGCCCTATGGGTACCGCCCACTTCCGGGGAGGGGCGCACGTCTGGCCCCTCCCACCCACTTCCGCCTCCAGGCAATGCCGAATTGGGAGCTTGGGGAAGATGAATTGCCTGACTGGTTAAAGCAGGGTACAGTGGGAGCTGAGCTTCCAGCGCGGGGCCCTGCGGGCCTAGGGCGCATGCGCGAGGCGCGGCCGGCCCGTACCCGTCTCGACACCCAGCTGGAGCTCGAGACTCGGGGATCTAGAGTTTGAAGCCTGGCGCGAGATGCGGTATACCCGAGACCGGTGAACTCCAGTCACTTGACCTGGTCGGATGTGAATTGCGCAGAAAAAAGCCATTCCATATCCACCAGTGTCCATGTGAAACCTTAACGAAATAAAGACGGAAATTAATGTAGACTGTTTGGATTTGCCCTGAAAACTATCAATCTAACTCATGATTTAAAAAAAAAAAAAAGAGTTCTGGGGCCGGGCGCGGTAGCTCACGCTTGTAATCCCAGCACTTTGGGAGGCCGAGGTGGGCGGGCGGATCACCTGACTTCGGGAGTTCGAGACCAGCCTGACCAACATGGAGAAATCCCATCTCTACTAAAAATACAAAATTAGCCGGGCGTGGTGGTACATGCCTGTAATCCCAGCTACTCGGAAGGCTGAAGCAGGAGAATGCTTGAACCCAGGAGGCGGAGGTTGCAATGAGCCGAGATTGCGCCATTGCACTCCACCCTGGGCAACAAGAGTGAAACTCCGTCTCAAAATAAATAAATAAGAGTCCTAAAGGCATAAGGCCGGTGCAGTGGCTCATGCCTATAATCCCAACACATTGGGAGGTCGAGGTTGGGGGTTCACTTGATAGGGGTTCAAGACCAGCCTGGCCAACATGGTGAAACCCCATCTCTACTAAAAATACAAAAATTAGCTGGGCATATTAGTGGGCGCCTGTAATCCCAGCTACTCGGGGGGCTGAGGCAGGAGAAGTGGGTGAACCCAGGACAAGGAGGTTGCAGTGAGCCCAGATCGCGCCACTGTACTCCAGCCTGGGCGACAGAGTGAGACTGTCTCAAAAAAATTAATTATTTTTAGAAAGAGAAATTGGCTGGGTGCAGTGGCTCATGTCTGTAATCTCAGCACTTTGAGAGGCTACATTGCGAGGGTCTCTTGAACCCAGGAGTTCGAGACGAGCCTGGGCAACACGAGGAGACCTCATCTTTACAAAAAAAAAATTGAATTAGCTGGCAGGGCGTGGTGGCTCACACCTGTAATCCCAGCACCTTGGGAGGCTAAGGCGGGCAGATCACTTGAGGTCGGGTGTTTGAGACCAGCCTGACCAACATGGCGAAACCCCATCTCTACTAAAAATACAAAATTAGCCGGGTGTGGTGGCACATGCCCGTAATCCCAGCTACTGGAGAGGCTGAGGCAGGAGAATCACTTGAACCCAGGAGGTGGAGGTTGCGGTGAGCCAAGATCACACCACTGCACTCCAGCCGGGACAACAAGAGCGAAACTCCATCTCAAAAAAAAAAAAAAATTAATTGTGCTTGGGGGCGCACGCCTGTGGTTCCAGCTACTTGGGAGGCTGAGGTGGGGAGGACTACTTGACCCTGGGAGACTGAGGCTGTAATGAGCCATGTTCTCACCACTGCACTCAGTCTGGGCAACAGAGCGAGACTCTCGTCTCAAAAAGGAAAAAGAAACAAAAGAGAATGGATTTTTTTTTCTTTTTTTTTTTTTGGAGACCGAGTCTCGCTCTGTCGCCCAGGCTGGAGTGCAGTGGAATGATCTCGGCTCACTGCAAGCTCCGCCTTCCGGGTTCACGCCATTCTCCTGCCTCAGCCTCCCGAGTAGCTGGGACTACAGGCGCCCGCCACTGCGCCCAGCTAATTTTTTGTATTTTTAGTAGAGACGGGGTTTCACCGTGGTCTCGATCTCCTGACCTCGTGATCCGCCCGCCTCTGCCTCCCAAAGTGCTGGGATTACAGGCGTGAGCCACCGCGCCTGGCCTGGATTTTTTTCTTTTTCTAGAGACTCTGTTGCCCAGGCTGGAGTACAGTGGCACAATCATAGCTCACTGCAACCTTGAACTCTTGGGTTCAAGCAATCCTCCCGCCTTAGTCTCCCAAGTAGTTGGGACAACGGGTGTGTGCCACCACACTCAGCTGATTTTTAAAATATTTTTTATAGAGAAAGGGGTCTTGCTGTGTTGCCCATGCTGGCCTTGAACTCCTGGGCTCAAGTGCTCCACCTTCTTTGGCCTCCCGAAGTGCTGGAATTATAGTCGTGAGCCACCATGCCCGATCAAAGAAGTAAGTAACCAGGATAGAGAGGAATTTCCAAAGAATTCAGAGGGACAGCATTCGAGGGAGACACAACTCTGCAATTCCAGAAAAACAACAGCAGAGGCCTAGAGATTTGGAAAGGGCTGCTCATGTTTGAGGAACTGATATGGGACAAGTGTAATTAGAGCCTGGCATTGGAGACAGAGAGTGCAGTAGGATAGTGATGAATTGATGAAGTGCAGTAGGATAGTGATGAATTGATGACATAACCTATTGTACAACAGACTGGTCTGCACAACCTGTTGTACAATAGAGTATGTCTTCAAATTTTCCTAAGGTTGAGAGGATTCTGGAAAGATAGTGTGAGGACATGGTTTTTGAGCCACCCCAAAAATACCACTACATAAATCCCTCCATAAAAACACATAGAGGGCTGGGTGTCATGTCTCAAGCCTGTAACCCCAGCACTTTGGGAGGCTGAGATGGGCGGATCACTCGAGCCCAGGAGACCAGCCTGGGCAACATGGGGAGACCCCATCTCCACAAAAAAAATAAAAAAATTAAAAAATTTTCTGGGCGTGGTGGTGCACACCTGTAGTCCTAACTGCTCGGGAGGCTGAGGTGGGAGGATCGCACTCCAGCCTGGGCAACAGAGTGAGACTCTATCTCAAAAATAAAAAAATAAAAAAAACAGCTAAAAGGCATCCTCATCAACCCCAAGACAGGAGCAAGTGGAACAACATGCACGAGTGTGTCCGTTTAAGAACAACAGAGGGGGGAGTAGCAAGATGGCCGAATAGGAACAGCTCTTGTCTGCAGCTTGTCTCCCAGTGAGACCAACGCAGAAGGCAGGTGATTGATGCATTTCCAACTGAGGTACCCGGCTCATCTCATTGAGACTGCTTAGACAGTGGGTGCAGCCCACAGAGGGTGAACAGAAGCAGGGTGGGGCGTCACCTCACCCGGGAAGTGCAAGGGGCCGGGGAACTCCCTCCTCTACCCAAGGGAAGCTGGGAGGAACTGTGCCTTGAGGAACGGTGCACTCCAGCCCAGATACTACTACACTTTTCCCACAGTCTTCACAACCTGCACACCAGGAGACTCCCCTGGGTGCCTACACCACCAGGACCCTGGGTTTCAAGCACAAAATTGGGTGGCCATTTGAGCAGACACTGAGCTAGCTGCAGTTTTTTTTCATACCCCAGTGACGCCTGGAATGCCAGTGAGACAGAACCGTTCACTCCCCTGGAAAGGGGGCTGAAGCCAGGGAACCAAGTGGTCTAGCTCAACGGATCCCAACCCCACAGAGCCCAGCAAGCTAAGATCCACTGGCCTGAAATTCTCACTGCCAGCACAGCAATCTGAAGTCGACCTGGGACGCTTAAGCTTAGTGAAGGGTGGGGGCATCCACCATTACTGAAGCTTGAGTAGGCAGTTTTCCCCTCACAGTGTAAACAAAACTGCAGGGAAGTTCGAACTGGTGGGGAGCCCACTGCAGCTCAGCAAAGCCTCCATAGCCAGACTGCCTCTCTAGATTCCTCCTCTCTGGGCAGGGCATTTCTGAAAGAAAGGCAGCAACCCCAGTCAGGGGCTTATAGATAAAACTCCCATCTCCCTGGGACAGAACACCTGGGGGAAGGGGTGGCTGTGGGTGCAGCTTCGGCGGAATTAAACATCCCTGCCTGCCAGCTCTGAAGAGAGCAGCAGATCTCCCAGCACAGTGCTTGAGCTCTGCTAAGGGACAGACTGCCTCCTCAAGTGGGTCCCTGACCCTTCTGCCACCTGACTAGGAGACACCTCCCACCAGGGATTGACAGACACCTCATACAGGAGAGCTCCCACTGGCATCTGGTGGGTGCCCCTCTGGGACGAAGCTTCCAGAGGAAGGAACAGGCAGCAATCTTTGCTGTTCTGCAACCTCTGCTGGTGATACCCAGGCAAACAGGGTCTGGAGTGGACCTCCAGCAAACTCCAGCAGACCTGCAGCAGAGAGGCCTGACTATTAGAAGGAAAACTAACAAACAGAAAGCAATAGCATAAACATAAACAAGAAGGACGTCCACACAGACACCCCATCTGAAGGTCAGCAACATCAAAGACCAAAGGTAGATAAATCCACGAAGATGAGGAGAAACCAGCGCAAAAAAGGCTGAAAATTCCAAAAACCAGAACGCCTCTTCTCCTCCAAAGGATCACAGTTCCTTGCCAGCAAGGGAATAAAACTGGATGGAGAATGACTTTGACAAATTAACAGAAGTAGGCTTCAAAAGGTGGGTAATGACAAACTCCTCTGAGCTAAAGGAGCATGTTCTAACCCAATGCAAGGAAGCTAAGAACCTTGAAAAAGGTTAGATGAATTGCTAACTAGAAAACCCAGTTTAGAGAAGAACATGCATGACCTGATGGAGCTGAAAAACACAGCACAAGAACTTCGTGAAGCATACATAAGTATCACTAGTCAAATCAATCAAGCGGAAGAAAGGATATCATAGATTGAAGATCAACATAATGAAATAAAGCGTGAAGACAAGATTAGAGAAAAAAGAATGAAAAGGAACGAACAAAGCCTCCAAGAAATATGGGGCTATGTGAAAAGATCAAACCTACGTTTGATTGGTGTACCTGAAAATGATGGGGAGAATGGAACCAAGTTGGAAAATACTCTTCAGGATATTATCCAGGAGGACTTCCTCAACCTAGCAAGGCAGGCCAACATTCAAATTCAGGAAATACAGAGAACACCACAAAGATACTCCTTAAGAAGAGCAACCCCAAGACACATAATCGTTAGTTTCACCAAGGTTGAAATGAAGGAAAAAATGTTAAGGGCAGCCAGAGAGAAAGGTCGGGTTACCCACAAAGGGAAGCCCATCAGACTAAGAGTGAATCTCTCTACAGAAACTCTACAAGCCAGAAGAGAGTGGGGGCCAATATTCAACAATCTTAAAGAAAAGAATTTTCAACCCAGAATTTCATATCCAGCCAAACTAAGCTTCATAAGCAAAGGAAAAACAAAATCCTTTACAGACAAGCAAATGCTGAGATTTTGTCACCACTAGGCCTGCCTTACAAGAGCTCCTGAAGGAGCTAATTTAAATTTCATATGGAATCAAAAAAGAGCCCATATAGCCAAGACAATCCTAAGCAAAAAGAACAAAGCTGGAGGCATTATGCTACCTGACTTCAAACTATATTACAGGGTTACAGTAACCAAAACAGCATGGTACTGGTACCAAAACAGACAGATAGACCAATGGAACAGAACAAAGGCCTCAGAAATAATGCCACACATCTACAACCATCTGAACTTTGACAAACCTGATAAAAACAAGCGATGGGGAAAGGATTCCCTATTCAATAAATGGTATTGGGAGAACTGGCTAGCCATATGCAGAAAACTGAAACTGGATCCCTTCCTTACACCTTATATAAAAATTAACTCAAGATGGATTAAAGACTTAAATGCAACACCTAAAACCATAAAAACCCTAGAAGAAAACCTAGGCAATACCATTCAGGACATAGGCATGGGCAAAGAATTCATGACTAAAACACCAAAAGCAATGGCAACAAAAGTCAAAATTGACAAATGTAATTAAACTAAAGAGCTTCTGCACAGCAAAAGAAACTATCATCAGAGTGAACAGGCAACCTACAGAATGGGAGAAAAGTTTTGCAATCTATCCATCTGACAAAAAGCTAACATCCAGAATCTACAAAGAACTTAAACAAATTTACAAGAAAAAAAAACCCATCAAAAAGTGGGTGAAGGATATGAACAGACACTTCTCAAAAGAAGATATTTATGCGGCCAACAAACATATGAAAAAAAGCTCATCATCACCAGTTATTAGAGAAATGCAAATCAAAACCACAATGAGATACCATATCATGCCAGTTAGAATGGCAATCATTAAAAAGTCTGGAAACAAGAGATGCTAGAGAGGATGTGGAAAATAGGGAATGCTTTTACACTGTTGATGGGAGTATAAATTAGTTCAACCATTGTGGAAGACATTGTGGCGATTCCTCAAAGATCTAGAACCAGAAATACCATTTGACCCAGCAATCGCATTACTGGGTATTATATACCCAAAGGATTATACATCATTCTACTATAAAAACACATGCACACATATGTTTATTGCAGTGCTGTTCACAATAGTAAAGACTTGAAACCAACCCAAATGCCCATCAATGATAGACTGGATAAAGAAAATGTGGCACATATACATCATGGAATACTATGCAGCCATAAAAAAGGATGAGTGCATGTCCTTTGCAGGGACATGGACGAAGCCAGAAACCATCATTCTCAGCAAACTAACACAGGAACAGAAAACCAAACACTGCATGTTCTCACTCATAAGTGGGAGTAGAATAATGAGAACACTTGGACACAGGGAGGGGAACATCACACACCAGGGCCTATCGGGGGGTGGGGGCTAGAGGAGGAATAGCATTAGGACAAATACCTAATGTAGATGACAGGTTGATGGGTGCAGCAAGCCACCATGGCACATGTATACCTATGTAACAAACCTGCATGTTCTGCACATGTATCACAGAACCTAAAGTATATTAAAAAAAAAAAAAAAAAGAACAACAGCAAGATGGCGCCTATACCAATGAATGAGAACCACCAGACTGTAGCTAGGACTCAGGGAGCAGGAGCAGTCTGGCCCACTCAGATTCTGAAAAGTAAACCAACCAGCGTGCCTTTCCAGGACAAAGCCCCACATGGGATGAAAGTACTGGGAAGAAAACCAACCAAGCAGCAGGGAATCAATAGGGTCAAAGGAAAAACGACGTCGATAAATGTCAGGAAAACTAATTTAATACAAAAATGAGATATGGGCTGGGCAAGGTGGCTCACGCTTGTAATCCCAGCAGTTTGGCAGGCCGAGGTGGGTGGATCACGAGGTCAGGAGATCGAGACCATCCTGGCTAACACGGTGAAACCCCATCTCTACTAATAATACAAAAAATTAGCCGGTTATGGTGGCAGGCGCCTGTAGTCCCAGCTACTCGGGAGGCTGAGGCAGGAGAATGGCATGAACCCAGGAGGCAGAGCTTGCAGTGAGCCGAGATTGCGCCACTGGACTCCAGCCTGGGTGACAGAGTGAGACTCCGTCTCAAAAAAATAAAAAAAAAAACACAACAACAACAACAAAAATTAGCCAGGCGTGGTGGTGGACACCTGTAATCCCAGCTACTCGGGAGGCTGAGGCAAGAGAATCGCTTGAACCCGGGAGGCAGCAGTTGCAGTGAGCCGAAGATGGTGTCATTGCACTCCAACCTGGGCAACAGAGCAAGACTGACTAAAAAAAATAATAATAAAAAATAAAAATAAGGTATGATTTATTTGTTCTTTCTCCACTTCCACTGCTCGATGTGACTTCTCTTTAAATAAAATGAACTATATGGCCAGGTGCCATAATACATGTCTGTAATCCCAGCACTTTGGGAGGCTGAGGTGGGAGGATTGCTTGAGTCTGGGAGTTCAAGATCCGCCTGGGTAACAAAGCAAGACCCTCCTCTTTGCCAAAATTTAAAAAAAAAAATGGCCTGGCACAGTGGCTCACGCCTGTAATCCCAGCACTCTGGGAGGCCAAGGCAGGCGGATCACTTGCAGTCAGGAGTTTGAAACCAGCCTGGCCAACATGGTGAAACTCGGTCTCTACTAAAAATATGTATTTTTTAAATTGGGTCAGACGCAGTGGCTCACGTCTGTAATCCCAGCACTTTGGGAGGCCAAGGCGGGCAGATCACCTGAGGTTAGGAGTTTGAGACCAGCCTGACCAACATGGAGAAACCCTGTCTCTACTAAACATACAAAATTAGGCGGTCATGGTGGCGCATGCCTGTAATCCCAGCTACTCTGGAGGCTGAGGCAGGAGGATCACTTGAACCTAGGTGGCAGAGGTTGCGGTGAGCTGAGATCATGACATTCATTGCACTCCAGCCTGGGCAACAAGAGTGAAACTCTGTCTCAAAAAAAGAAAAAAATTAGTTGGGCGTGGTGGTGAGTACCTGTAATCCCAGCACTTTGGGAGGCCGAGGCCGATGTATCACCTGAGGTCAGGAGTTCGAGACCAGCCTGGTAAACATGGTATCTCTACTAAAAACACAAAAATTAGCTGGGTGTGGTGGAAACATGTCTGTAATCCCAGCTCCTCGGGAGGCTGAGGCACAAGAATCACTTGAATCCGGAGGCAGAGGTTGCATTGAGCTGAGATCATGCCACTGCACTGTAGCCTGGACGACAGAGTAAGACTCTGTCTCAGAAAAAAAAAAAAAAAGCCAGGCACAGTGGCTCACACCTGTAATCCCAGAACTTTGGGAGGCTGAGGAGGGCAGATCAAAAGGTCAGGAGTTCGAGACCAGCCTGGCCAACATGGTGAAACCCCGTCTCTACTAAAAATACAAAAAATTAGCCAGGCATGGTGGCAGGCACCTGTAATCCCAGCTACTCGGGAGGCTGAGGCGGGAGAATCGCTTGAACCCAGGAGGCGGAGATTTCAGTGAGCTGAGATGGCGCCACTGCACTCCAGCCTGGGCAACAGAAGGAGACTCCGTCTCAAAAACAACAACAACAACAAAAAAAAACAGGCACAGTTGGCTGGGTGCAATGGCTCACACCCTTAATCCCAAGACTTTGGAAGGCCAAGGCTGGTGAATTGCTTGAGCCTAGTAGTTTGAGACCAGCCTATGCAACAACATAGTAAGACTCCATCTCTATTTAAAAAAAAAAAAAGAACACAGTAAATGTCTGAAGAAACTGACCTAGAACCACCAATACCAAGGCTTACTTTAGTAAAATTATTGGACTTTAATTTCTTATAAATCCAGGCAAAATAACCAAGTTATTTGTAAAGGAAAAAAGATCAAACTATCATCAAACTTTGCCAGCAGTGCTTTAGGCCAAAAGAAAACTCAATAGTATATATTTTTTAATAAACTGAAGGAAAGAACATATGTGCCAAGAATTTTATAATTAGCCAAAGTGAGATTCAAGATAAAGGCCACAAACTGTCATCAATATGCAATAACTCAAGAAATATTGTTCTCATGATTTCTTTTTTAGGAATCTTCCAAAGAACAAACATTAGACAAACAAAATGTCTGTCTATATTAACATAAGATGATGATGAATTTTAAATACATATTTACTTGTAGGAAGAAATCAAAATCAGGGATGTAAAAGATGTAATGGGCCAGGCGCGGTGGCTCACACCCACAATCCTAGCACTTTGGGAGGCCGAGGTGGGCATATCACTTGGGACCAGGAGTTCAACGTGGTGTATTTTTTCTCTACAAAAAAAATACAAAAATCAGCCAGGTGTGGTGGCAGGTGCCTGTAGTCCCAGCTACTCAGGAGGCTGAGGCAGGAGAATCGCTTGAACCTGGGAGGCAGAGGTTGCAGTGAGCCAAGATCACGCCACTGCACTCCAGCCGGGGTGAAAGAGCAAGACTCTGTCTCAAAAAAAAAAAAAGACATACTGTATAAACATAATGTATAGAGGGTCAAGTAAATACCCAGCCAGCAGTTTTGACTGTGAACTGGAGGCATCAAGGCTTATGGGGACTTCCTGACCACAGCAGTTGCTCAGCCACGCACCTGTGCTGCTCATATCAGACAAATTCAAATTTACGTGTAAGTCTAAAGAACAAAAAGTCAAATCTGAATTTTCTGTGAATCAGAAATATCACTATGAATTCATGAGGGTTTTTCTGGGGGTGGGGTTGTTTTTTGAAACGGAGTCTCACTCTGTCGCCGACGCTGGAGTGCAGTGGCACGATCACAGCTCACTGCTGCATCAACCTCCTATGCTTAAGTGATCCTCTCACCTCTCAGCCTCCCAAGTAGCTGGGACTACAGGGTGCTACCACACCCAGCTTATTTTTGTATGTTTTTTTGTTTGTTTGTTTGTTTTGTAGAGATGGGATTTTGCCATGTTGCCTAGGCTGGTTTCAAACTCCTGGGCTCAAGCGATCCACCCGCCTCAACCTCCTTAAGTGCTGGGATTACAGGCGTGAGCCACCGGGTCCCCTCTAGCACTTTAAGAGGCTGAAGCAGGTGGATTGCTTGAGCCTAGGAGTTTGAGACCAGCCTGGGCAACATAGCAAGACCTTGTCTCTACAAAAATAAAAAAAAAATTAGCTGGGTGTGGTTGTGTGCACCTATGGTCCCAGCTACTTGGGAGGGAGAGGTGGGAAGACTGATTGAGCCCGGGAGGTCAACACTGCACTGAGCCCTGATTGTGCCACTGCACTCCGGTCTGGGTGAAAAAGGGAGACCCGGCCGGGCGCGGTGGCTCACGCCTATAATCCCAGCACTTTGGAAGGCGGAAGCGGATGGATCACGAGGTCAGGAGATGGAGACCATCCTGGCTAACACGGTGAAACCCTGTCTCTACTAAAACATACAAAAAATTAGCCGGGCGTGGTGGCGGGCGCCAGTAGTCGCAGCTACTCGAGAGGCTGAGGCAGGACAATGGCGTGAACCCGGGAGGCGGAGCTTGCAGTGAGCGGAGATCGCGCCACTGCACTCCAGCCTGGGCGCCAGAGCGAGACTCCGTCTCAAAAAAAAAAAAAAAAAAAGGGAGGTCCTGTCTCAAGAAAAAAAAAAAAGTGTGTTTTCTAGCTCTTAGCTCTTCACTGAAAAGGCCTAGAAACAATGAGCAACCTAGCAGCAATGAGCACATATAGAATTAGGCTTGTAGGCTGGGCGCGGTGGCTCACGCCTGTAATCCCAGCACTTTGGGAGGCTGAAGCAGGTGGATCTCCTGAGGTCAGGAGTTCGAGACCACACTGGCCAACATGGCGAAACCCTGTCTCTACTAAAAATACAAAAAATTAGCCGGGCATGGTGGCGGGTGCCTGTAATCCCAGCTACTTTGGAGGCTGAGCCAGGAGAACTGCTTGAACCTGAGAGGTGGAGGCTGCGGTGAGCTGAGATTGCGCCACTGCACTCCAGCCTGGGCGACAGAACGAGATTCTGTCTCAAAAAATAAATAAATAAATAAATAAATAAATAAATAAAAGGAATTAGGATTGTAATCTCAAAATACCATTTTTCTACTTCTCCCCGCCTCCCCACCCCGGAATCAAAAAAGAACAAGGCATCTAAGATGACTGATTCCAAGTCTGCCAAGAGAATCCTGGAAACTCTTGTCACACCAGATAGCAAAGACACTATTAAAGACCACCGCCATTGTGTCAAACAGATTGAGAGCCAATTTGAACAGACAGTTTTGTTAGGTTTCTCAAAAGACCACATTTCAACAAATTTAGTTTAATGATATAATTGGCTTTGTTTGTGAGGCGTGAATGGGGAGCATCTCATCTAAAAACACAGGTGCTCTGTTGGGCACGGCAGAACAGTCGGGTTTGGAAGGTAACATGAGCAGGAACAAGAAAACAGCAAATACAAAAAGTAGGTTGATTAGTATCTGGTTACTTCAGGTTACTTTCCTTGTAAGGGCAAACAGAGGGGACTTCCTTATTATGCCGGCTAAAACTGGCCCATTTGCATCAAATGAACAACTTAGTTTTGCTTGGTGACGTGCAACTTTGGCATGAGTGACTCCATTTTTGTTTTAGTCTGTTGGGTCTAGTGCAAGTGTTCGGTCCAAATAAATGGCTTCCCATATATTTTATTTATTTACTTATTTTTATTTATTTATTTATTTATTTATTTTGAGATGGAGTCTTGTTCTGTTGCCCAGGCTGGAGTGCAGTGGCACCATCTTGGCTCACTGCAACCTCCACCACCTGGGTTCAAAGGATTCTCCTGCCTCAGCCTCCTGAGTAGCTGGGACTACAGATGCATATCACCACACCTGGCTAATTTTTGTAGTTTTAGTAGGGATGGGGTTTTGCCATGTTAGCCGGGTTGGTCTTGAAATCCTGACCTCAGGTGATCTTCCCGCCTCAGTCTCCCAAAGTGTTGTCATTACAGGCATAAGCCACCTCGCCCACCCCATAGACTTTATTTAATAGGCAGAATAATGACCCCCAAAGATAGCCACATCCTAATCTCTGGAACCTGTGAATGTAAACATATATGGCAAAAGGGAATTGTAACTGCCCAACGGGTTCATTTTGCCAACTGCCCAGATAGAGCCGATTTATCAAGACAGAGGGATTGCAATAGAGAAAGGGTTTAATTCACACAGAGCTGACTGAATGGAGTTTTATTGTTACCCAAATTCAGTCTCCCCAAAAGTTGTGAGGACTAAGCACTGATTTTTTTTTTTTTTTTTGAGAGGGAGTCTCGCTCTGTTGCCCAGGCCAGAGTGCAGCTTACTGCAAACTCCGCCTCCCAGGTTCAAGCAATTCTCCTGCCTCAGCTTCCTGAGTAGCTGGGATTACAGGCACACGCCACCAGGCCCAGCTGATTTTTGTAATTTTAGTAGAGATAAGGTTTTGCCATGTTGGCCAGGCTGGTCTTGGAACTCCTGACCTCAGGTGATCTGCCCGCCTTGGACTCCCAAACTGTTGGGATTACAGGCGTGAGCCACCAAGCCCAGCTTAAAATGCTAATGTTTTTCTTATCGTGATGAAATTCCTATCTAAGGGATCTGGGGATTCATGCCCTACAAACCATAAATTCTCATCAGACAGGTTTTACTTAACCCTATATATTGTGACTTACTTTCCAATCTGATTCTGGCATAACATTAGGTGACAAAGAAGAAAAATTTTAACCCAAAACATGTTTCTTTGCCATATTTTGTAATGGCCCTGAAAAGCCGTCCTTTGTGGAGAGAAATTTGCATCTGTAAAGAATCTCTATTAACATAGCTGGATCTCTTTCTTCCACGCCCTCCCAATCTTGAAAAGATTGAGACTCTAGCACCTTTTAAAGGTCTGAATAGGAAACATTTGTCATCTTTGTCTCTAAGGGCAGCCAGTATAAAGACTTCAAAAGAACCTTGGTCTCCACAATCTTTTTTTCTTTTTCTTTTTTTTTTTTTTGAGATGGAGCCTCGCTCTGTTGACCAGGCTGGAGTGCAGTGAGGCAATCTCAGCTCACTGCAACCTCCACCTGCTGGGTTCAAGCGATTCTCCCGCCTCAGCCTCCCGAGTAGCTGGGACTATAGACGCCCACCACCACGCCTGGCTTTTTTTTTTTTTTTTGTATTTTTAGTAGAGATGAGATTTCACCATGTTGACCAGGCTGGTCTCAAACTCCTGACCTCAAGTGATCCACCCACCTTGGCCTCCTAAAGTGCTGGGATTACAGGCGTGAGCCCCCACACCCAGTCTCCACAATATTTTATCTTAACCTGAACATTCCCTTTCTGTTGATCCCAGGTCTTTAGACAAACTCAACCAATTGTCAACCAGAAAATGTTTAAATTTACCTACAGCCTCAAACCCCTGCCCACCACCCACCCCCCGCCAACTTTGAGTTGTCCTGCCTTTCTGGACCAAATCAATGTATTTCTTTTTTTTGAGATAGAGTTTCGCTCTTGCCGGGATCTCAGTTCACTGCAACCTCTGCCTCCTGGGTTCAAGAGATTCTCCAGCCTCAGCCTCCTGAGTTTGCCCGGCTAATTGTTGTATTTTTAGTAGAGATGGGGTTTTACCCTATTGGCCAGGCTGGTCTCGAACTCCTGACCTCAGGTGTTCCACCCACCTTGGACTCCCAAAGTGCTAAGATTATAGGCGTGAGCCACCGCGACCAGCTGACCAATGTATTTCTCAAATGTATTTGATTGATTTCTCATGCCTTCCTAAAATGTGCCCCAACCACCTTGGGCGCATGTTCTCAGGACCTCCTGAGCCTGAGGCCTGTGTCATGGGCCAGGATCACTTGCATTTGGCTCAGAATAAATCTCTTCACATATTTTACAGAGTTTGATTCTTTTCGTCGACAGTTGAAAATTTGGAGACTGGGTGTTTTTGTTTTTTGAGACAGAGTCTTGCGCTATCATCTGGGCTGGAGTGCAGTGGCGCGATCTCAGCTCACTGCAACCTCCGCCTGGAGACTGGGGTTTTTTAAGGATAAGTTGGTGGATGGGGGCCAGGAAGTGGGGAGTGCTGGTTAGTCAGGTTGAAGATGAAATATAGGGGGTTGAAGCCATCCTCTTGTGCAGAGTTGGCTCCTGGGTGGGGGCAACAAGACCAAATGAGCCAATTTATCTTTTTTTTTTTTTTGAGACAGAGTCCCATTCTGTTGCCCAGGCTGGAGTGCAGTGGTGTGATCTCAGCTCTCTGCAACCTCTGTCTCCCAGGCGATTCTCTTGCCTCAGCATCCCCAGTAGCTGGGATTACAGGCGTGTGCTACAACACCCAGCTAATTTATTTATTATTATCATTTTTTTAGACAGAATCTCGCTCTGTCACCCAGGCTGGAAGGCAATGGCACAATCTCAGCTCACTGTAACCTTTGCCTCCCGGGTTCAAGTGATTCTCCTGACTCAGCCTCCCAAATAGCTGGGACTACTAGCTCAAACCACTATGCCCAGCTAATTTTTTGTATTTTTAGTACCAACGGGGTTTCGCCATGTTGGCCAGGCTGGTCTCAAACTCCTGACCTCAGGTGATCTGCCTGCCTTGGCCTCCCAAAGTGCTGGGATTATAGGCATGAGCCAACAGAAGATTATTTGACTGCTGAAGCAGAGAGAGACGAGAAGATGCTGTGCTTCTAGCTTTCGAAATGGAGAAGGGGGCAAGGAATGTAGGTAATGCAGCTCTGAAAGCTAGAAAGGCAAGAGACTACATCCTAGAGCCCCTAGGGCCTCTAGAGGGATCGAGACCCTGTAGACACCTTGGTTTCAGCCTAGTGAAACTCATTTTGGACGTCTGCTCTCAGAACTGGAAGAGAATACATTTCTGTAATCTTTTTTTTTTTTTTGAAACGGAGTCTCACTCTGTCACCCAGGCTGGAGTACAGTGGCATGATCTCGGCTCACTACAACCTCCGCCTCCCAGGTTCAAGCAATTCTCCTGCCTCTGCCTCCTGAGTAGCTGGGATTGCAGGCACCCGCCACTATGCCCAGCTAATTTTTTGTATTTTTAGTAGAGACAGGGTTTCACCATGATGGCCAGGCTGGTCTCAAACTCCTGACCTTGTGATTCACCCGCCTTGGCCTCCCAAAGTGTTGGAATTACAGGTGTGAGCCACCGAGCCCGGACTTCTGTAGTCTTAAACCACTAAATTTGCAGTAATCTGTTACAGCAGCAATAGGAATAGACAATAGTCTATCCATGTCTAAGCAAATACATACCTATACATACAAATTCTTGCCCGTCCCACTTCCCCACTTTTTTTTTACACAATAGTAACATACTGTGAAGTTAATTCTACATTCCCAAGTCTTACTCATATAAGAGAAGCAGAAGGCAATCAAGTAGAGGTTAAACTTATAAGAGGTTGGTATAAAAGGATTTTTTTAAATTATAAAAACTACTCTGGGGGTGGTGGCTCATGCCTGTAATCCTGCCACTTTGGGAGGCTTAGATGGGAGGATCACTTGATTCCAGGAGTTTGAGAGCAGCCTGGGCAACATAGTGAAACCCCGTCTCTACAGAAAGTTACAAAAAATCAGCCGGGTGTGGTGGTGCACGCCTGTGGCCCCAGCTACTTGGGAGGTTGAGGTAGGAGGATCGATTAAGGCAGAGAGGTTGTGGCTCCAGTGAGCCTTGATCCTGCCACTGCACTCCAGCCTGGGCAACGGGGTGAGACCCTGTCTCAAAAACAAACAAACAAACAAACAAAACAACATAAAAAACAAAAACAACAAACAAACAAAAAACAAACCAAAAAATCCCTATTTGCTCTCTTGGGTCCTCACCTCCAAGTTGACAAAGATAAGGACTTTGGGAGGCTGAGGCGGCGGATCACTTGAGGTCAGGAGTTTCAGACTAGCCTGGCCAACATGGTGAAACCCCGCCTCTACTAAAGATACAAAGGAAAGGAATAATGGTCCTGCCAAAAAGGGCTGCGGCCACACGCAGCCGATTCACTGCACAAACTGTGCCCCATGGGTGCCAAAAGACAAGGCTATTAAGAAGTTCCTCTGGCCAGTGCTCACACCTGTAATCCCAGCACTTTGGGAGGCCGAGGCAGGTGGATCACCAGAGGTCAGGAGTTCAAGACCAGCCTGGCCAACATGGTGAAACCCCGTCTCTACTAAAACTACAAAAACTACCCGGGCATGGTGGTGCATGCCTATAACCCTAGCTACTCAGGAGGCTGAGGCAGGAGAATTGCTTGAACCTGGGAGGCAGAGGTTGCAGTGAGCCAAGATCGCGCCACTGCTCTCCAGTCTCCAGAGCGAGGCTCCATCTCAGAAAAAAAAAAAAAAAAAAGAGCTTCCTCACAGTATTTTGCATCTTCATAATATTCCATTAAATTAATGTGTCACAATTTATTTAGCCAGTCTCCTACTGGAGAACACGGAGTTTGTCTCCAAACCTATGCTACTATCAGTACTACTTTATATTTTATTTATTTATTTATTTTGAGACAGGGTCTCACTCTGTCGCCCAGGTTGGAGTACAGGGGCACGATCTCAGCTCACTGCAACCTCCAACCCCCTGGGTTCAGAGATTCTCCTGCCTCAGCCTCCTGAATAGCTGGGATTACAGGGACATGCCACCATGTCTGGCTAATTTTTGTATTTTTGGTATATACGGGGTTCCACCACGTTGGCCAGGCTGGTCTTGAACTCCTGACTGACTTCAGGTGATCCACCTGCCTCGGCCTTCCAAAGTGTTGGGATTACAGGCAGGCATGAGCCACCGCACCTGGCCAGTACTACTTTAATGAATAACTTGTACATAAGTCATTTTGTGCATATGCACATATATCAGATAAATTCCTGGAAATAGATTTTCTGGGTCAAAAGGTACATGCATTTGTAATTTTGATAGAAATTGCCAAATTTCCTCCAGAGAGGTTGAACCAATTTATATTCCTACCTGCAATATATGGAGTATCCTGTTTTCCCTTATTGATACCTGCAAATGATCAGTGAATAATATCTCAGAACAATTTTTATTTTTTTCTAACATTGTAAATTTTGGCATATTTTACATGTGTAAAGGCCAATTGTATTTTTTGGTAAACTCCCTACTCATATCCATTGCCCATTTTTCTTTTCTTTTTTTTTTTTTTTTTTTTTTGGTAGGCATTCTTCAAGTATTGGAGAAATAAGCACTTTGTGACAGGAGTCTGAAATATTTTTCTCAGTTTGCCATTTATCTTTTACCTTGCTGGTGATATTGATTATGCAGATTTTTTTTTTTCTTTTTGAGACAGGGTCTTACTCTGTTGCCCAGGCTAGAGTGCAATGGCTCGATCATAAGTCACCTCAGCCTTGAACTCCTGGGCTCAAGTTATCTTTCTGCCTCAGCCTCCTGAGTAGCTGGGACTATAGGTTTGTGCAGCCATGCCCAGCTGATTTTCTGACTTTTTGTACAGATGTGGTCTTGCTACGTTGCCAAGGTTTGTCTCAAACTCCTGGTCTCAATCATCTTCCTGTTTCAGCCTCCTGAGTAAGTGGGACTACAGGTGTGTCATGGTGCCTGCCTAGCTTCATATGTACATATTGTAAAAAGTAAAGTAGAGGTTCCTCTTCAAAGACTTTCCTCCCCATTTAATTAGGAATAAATAGTAACTTCTCTTAGAAGCAAAATTTATTCAAAGACCTGTGCTAACATTCTTAAATATCTGCTAGCCATGATAATCAATGTACTTTAAGTTCTTAGCTCCCACAATTTAGCCTAAATATTTGCCCTGGCATGCTTATACTGGTCCAAGCAAGCATTAGGTCATAGCCTGTTCCTCTTCCTTATTTGAAGGTGTTTTTACCTTTCTCAGCATTCCACAAATTACTTCCTCATTTCTTTTCTTGCACTGTTGCCCAGGCTGGAGTGCAGTGGCGCGATCTCAGCTCACTGCAAGCTCTGCCTCCCAGGTTCACATCATTCTCCTGCCTCAGCCTCCCAAGTAGCTGGGATTACAGGTGCCTGCCACCATGCCCGGCTAATTTTTTTTGTATTTTGAGTAGAGACGGGGTTTCACCATGTTAGCCAGGATGGTCTCGATCTCCTGACCTCGTGATATGCCCGCCTCGGCCTCCCAAAGTGCAGGGATTACAGGTGTGAGCCACTGCACCCGGCCTTCCTCCTTCCTTTGTTCTCCTCCACCTTTTGCCTCTTTTAAAAAGTTCTAAGTTGTTAGCCAATCGGGACAAATACAGAATGTGAGGTCCCGTTCCAGCCAATGGAAACCGGACACAGCAGTATAAATGACCCTGTCTCCTTTGTTTGGTGTACTCTCATGGCAAAACTGCTGGCGAGTGTACCTTTTCTGCAGGAAGTAAAAATGGCCTTGCTGAGTAAATTAAATGTATGTTCAAGTGCTATTTCTTTATGGCACCAGGGAACAAGCATTTCAAATAGTATTAGGCCAATCATCGTCTTCAGCTGGCCACAAGAGCTACCCCTCCCAAAACATTAAACAACTTGTCTGTTTCCTGACACAATTTATTTTATTTATTTATTTATTTATTTTTGAGACAGAGTCTCGCTTTGTCACCCAGGCTGGAGTGCAGTAGTGTGACCTAGGCTTATTGCAGCCTCTGCCCCGCTGGGTTCAAGCGATTTTCCTGCCTCATCCTCCCAAGTAGCTAGGATTACAGGCACACACCACCACATCTGGCTAATTTTTGTACTTTTTGTAGAGACAGGGTTTCACCACGTAGGCCAGGCTGGTCTCGAACTCCTGACCTCAAGTGATCTCTCCCAAAGTATAGGGATTACAGGCGTGAGCCACCATATCCGGGCATGAAATTTAGATTGTTATCTTGGATAAGACGGAAACAAACAAAACATAATAGGAGGAGAAACGTGGAACACTATTCAATTGAGTCCTTAGTTAACACAGTACCATTCATATAACACAAAGAGCTGCAAGAAGTACAGCTGTGCACCGAGTCCTGTTTGGTTGTCAAAGGGTCCGGCGAGAATTATGGACAAGCCTAGTGAAGACGGCATGGGTGGTCTTCACAGAGATGCTTTAGGGGGGTTGGACTGAAGCTGGGTAGTCCTGGAACCAGCAGGGAAGAGGTAAAAAGCATGTCAGGGGGCTGGGTGTGGTGGCTCACACCTGTAATCCCAGCACTTTAGGAGTCTGAGGTGGGAGGTTTGCTTGAGCCCAGGAATTTGAGACCAGCCTGGTCAACATAGGGAGATCCAGTCTCTTCAAAAAATAAAAAACAGGCCAGGTGCAGTGGCTCATGCCTGTAATCCCAGCACTTTGGGAGGCCGAGGTGGGCAGATCACCTGAGGTCAGGAATTTGAGACCAGCCTGAACAATATGGTGAAATCTTGTCTCTACTAAAAATACAAAAATTAGCTGGTTGTGGTGGTGGATGCCTGTAACCCCAGCTACTCTGGGGGCTGAGGCAGGAGAATTGTTGAACCCAGAGGCAGAGGTTGCAGTGAGCCAAGATTGAGCCACTGCACTCCAACCTGGGCAACAGAGCCAGACTCCATCTCAAAAATAAAATAAAATAAAATAAAAATAAAAAACATTAGCTGGGCATGGTGGCACACACCTGTGGTCCCAGTTACACAGGAGGCTGAACCTGGGAGGTCGAGGCTGCAGTGGGCCATGATCACGCCACTGCACTTCAGCCTGGGCAACAAAGCCAAAGTGAGACCTTGTCTCAAAAGAAAAAAAAAAAAAGAGAGAGCCAGTCGTGGCGGCTCACGCCTGTAATCCCAGCACTTTGAGAGGCCGAGGTGGGTACATCACTTGAGTCAGGAGTTTGAGATCAGCCTGGGCAACATGGTGAAACCCCATCTCTGCTGAAAATACAAAATTTAGCCGGGCGTGCTGGTGTATGCCTGTAGTCCCAGCTACTCAGGAGGCTGAGGCACAAGAATCACTGGAATCCGGGAGATGGAGATCGCAGTGAGCCAAGATCGTGCCACTGCACTCCAGCCTGGGCAACACAGCGAGACCCTGTCTCAAAAAAAAAAAAAAAAAAAAAAGCATACCAGGAAGAACATCCTCCTGAGCAAAAGGTGGGTGATCAGTGAAATAGCATCTGCCTCGGGGAGATGATTATTAAGATGATGAAAGGTCCAAGTTTGGGGCAGAAAACCCACTGTTCTCTGAGCCCCCACCTGTCTAGTCCTACAAATTAATTGATTAAACATTTGGTTTAGTACCTTCCCCTCTTCCTTCTAGCACCGCCTTGGGCAGATACATCAACCTTCATGTTCGTTTAGTCACGTACCGGGCACCTATATATGCCAGACACCGCTAGGAACCGAAGATATGGACCCTGTTTGTTTCATAAAACAGCTCCTACCTCTCAGCCAGCAATGGGCAACTATGTTAATCATAGGGCCACCCTATGGCAGAGTCCCTCCCTGTACCTGAGGAAGTACAGAAAGAGAGCAAGAAGCTCCTCAAAACCAGAACTCAGCCTGGTTCCCACATATTTGTTAAATAAACCAAAAAATGACTTAACTAGGACTCTGCCAGGTGGAGGAGGAGGATAAAATAATATCAAGCAGATGGAATGGCATATGTTATGAAATGCAAGAGATGATAACGCTGAGTGGTTGGAGGAGGCAGAAGAGATGGATAAGTGGCCGCCAGGAAGGAGGCTAGAAAGAAAGGGCCATCTGTTCCTAAAAGTCATTATTATAACATCAGTTTAGGGTAAAATGTCAAGTGACTTCCATTTCTATAGCCAAAACATTGAAGGGCAAGCTTCTGCTTAATTTGCTACCTCTCATCTGCTTCTAAACACCTCTGAGGATGGGACAGGTGCTTGCTCATCAGAGAAGGGGGAGCCCCGGCTCTCTCCAGCTGCAGAACAATCACACTTGTCTCCCCAGCCCCCACTTTCAGCCCATAGTGTTTTGTTTTTAAATTTTTTCACTGTGGTAAAATATACATAAAATTTTACTATTTACTATTGTAACTTTTTTTTTTTTTTGAGATGGAGTCTTGCTCTGTTGCCCAGGCTGGAGTGCAGTGGTGCAATCTCGGCTCACTGCAACCTCCGCCTCCCAGGTTCAAGCAATTCTCCCGCCTCAGCCTCCTGAATAGCTGGGATTTTAGGCACCCACCACCACGCCTGGCTAATTTTAGTTGCGACGGGGTTTCGCCATATTGGCCAGGCTGGTCTGGAACTCCTGACCTTGTGATCCTCCTGCCTCAGCCTCCCAAAATGCTAGGATTACAGGCGTGAGCCACCATGCCCGGCCGACAGCTGCATTCTTTTACCTCAGAGCATTTAAGACCAAATAGCACAGAAGACTGTCTGCTCCCCAAGACAGTTGTTCAAAACTTTACAGTCTTCATCAATGATCTCCATGATTCCAGCTACTTCTACTGATTTTCAACTGAGCATTGTGTGCAAATACTGGAAAGTAAGGCTTGCTCTCCTTTAAAACACACTTCATCACGCCTTGTAAGCGGGGAACCTCCTCTCTGTGTATGATCTCCCATCTCCTCTGCTGTGGCCCTGGCAGGAGCTGGTTTAGCAGGAAGTCATAACTGGGTGGGGCAGTCTCAGAAACTGTCTCTTCTGCACATGACTAGACAGCCCCGGCTATCTGGTTCCTGTTTAACTTTCTCAGCACTGTGGTTGACAACATAGAGCGCTGGTGAGAGACCTAGGTTTCGATTCTTCACCCTGCTTCTCTGAGCCTCAGTTCTGCTGGCTTTGTAGAATGGGCTAAGGGTCCTTACTTTCTGAGGGGTGGTAAGAAAATCACGCACATGAAGTCCTGAGCACCACCCTGGCTGCTGCGGTAGGGCTCATTTCTTGCCCACATACACAGGGGCTACACCCACACCGGCACTCCCTGAAGATCCGTGTGTTCAACTCTCTGCTCTGTGAGAATTCCCAGTCTGTTCTCATTGTTTGCCACAGCCACCCTTGGCAAACACCAGCCCTTCCAAAACACTGCCTGCCCTTGGTGTAGCGACCCTTTGGTCCTAGGGCCACATATGGCCTACTTCTGGGACAAACTGAGTTATAGCAGTTGTCTCCAAAGAGGGTGCAGAAGCTCATTGTTGGGGGCTAAGAAAAAAATATCAGGCCATCTGTGGTGGCTCACACCTGTAACCTCAGCAATTTGGGATGCCAAGGCAGGAGGATCGCCTGAGCCCAGGAGACTGACCTGGACAACATAGTGAGACTCCTGTGATATGGGTTGGCTCTGTGTCCCCATCCAAATCTCATATAGAATTGTAATCCCCACGTGTTGCTGGTGGGAGGTGATTGAATCATGGGGGCGGTTTTCCCCATGCTGTTCTCATGATGGTGAGTTCTCATGAGATCTCATGGTTTAAAGTGTGTGACAATTCCCCCCTTCACTCTGTCTCCTGCCACCATGTAAGATGTGCCTTGCTTCCCCTTTGCCTTCTGCCATAATTGTAAGTTTCCTGTGGCTTCCCCAGCCATGGAGAACTGTGAGTCGATTAAACCTTTTCTTTATAAATTACCCATGCTCAGGTAGTTCTTTATCGCAGTGTGAAAATGGACTAATACACCCCACCTCTACAAACAATCAAAAAGTTGGCTGGGCATGGTAGTGTGCACCCGTAGCCCCAGCTACTCAGGAGGCTGAGGCAGGAGGATTGCTTTGAGCCCAGGAGTTCGAGGCTGCAGTGAGCTATGATCATGCCAGTCCACTCCAGCCCGGGCAACACAGCAAGACTCTAACTCTAAAATCTAAAAAGAACAAACTGGTAATTTTGTTTGACCTCATTTTTTTTTTCTTTTTTTGGAGATAGAGCCTCACTCTGTCACCCAGGCTGGAGTGCAGTGGGGTGATCACGGCTCAGTGCAATCTCTGCCTTCGGGGCTCAGTCAATCCACCTGCCTTAGCTTCCCAAGTGGCTGAGACTACAGGCTTGCACCACCACACCTGGCTAATTTTTTTGGTATTTTTATAGAGACAGGGTTTCGCCATGTTGCCCAGGCTGGTCTCAAACTCTTGGACTCCAGTAATCCTCCTGCCCTGGCCTCCCAAAGCTAGAATTACAGGCATGAGCCACCACGACTGGCCTGTCCTCATACTTTATTTATTTATTTTTTTTTGAGATGGAATCTTGCCCTGTTGCCAGGCAGGAGTGCAGTGGTGTGATCTCTGCTCACTGCAACCTCCATCTCCCGGGTTCAAGTGATTCTCCTGCCTCAGCCTTCTGAGTAGCTGGGACTACAGGCACGTGCCACCACGCCCAGATAATTCTTGTTTTTTTAGTGGGGACGAGGTTTCACCATGTTGGCCAGGATGGTCTCCATAGCTTGACCTCGTGATCTGCCCGCCTTGGCCTCCCAAAGTGCTGGGAATACAGGCATGAGCCACCACGCCCGGCCCCAGTCCTCATACTTTTAAAATCCCCATCCTCTGTTTTATAAAATACACATGTTGGAACCCAAGTAAATTAATGTAACACACAGCTTATAGATATTGGGGCTGGAGAGATACTTAATTTTTACTGCTGGGTGTATGATCAAAACTGCTTAGAGATCACAGAAGTGGCAGAGCTGGTTAGTTGCTACCACCGTAAGAGGTAGTTACCATTGATATTCCTACCTTAAAGATGAGGAAACTGAGACACAAAATATGCGCAGGACAGTACGTGGGGAAGCTGAGTCAAACCCAGGCACTGCGGAGACTATATCCGTAACTACCGTGCTATATCCTGTGACAAAAGGAAAGATCTAGACGTACATCACGCGTGTAGGACTTTTTTATGAACATGAAGATATGAGTGCTGTTAAATCCCTATCTTTGCAGACATCGCTGTACATAGCTGTAATCCCAGCTACTCAGGAGGCTGAGGCAGGAGAATCGCTTGAACCCAGGAGGCGGAGGTTGCAGGGAGCCGAGATCGCGCCACTGCACTCCAGCCTGGGTGACAGAGCAAGACTCTGTCTCAAAAAAAAAAAAAAAAAAAAAAAAAAATTAGCCGGCCATGGTTAGCTGGCACCTATAATGCCCACTACTTGGGAGGCTGAGGCAGGTGAATCGCTTGAACCCGGGAGGCAGAGGTTGCAGGGAGCCAAGATCACGCCACTGCACTCCAGCCTGGGCGACAGAGAGAGACCCTGTTAGAATAAAACAAAACAGACGCTGCGGGGGCAGCCGTGCTGAGGCGGCAGCGGCGGCGATACGGGCGGATGCGGGCTGCGGCTGGCCAGCAGCGTCGGGCGGTGCGGTTGTCCGGCTGGGCGGACACGAGCGCGGCTGGGAGGGCGACGGGTGCATCTACGTGGGGAAACCTTCCGACCCACGTGCGCGAGAAGGAGCCGCAGGACCTGTTCTACAAGTACAGCCGCATCCGCGAGATCGAGCTCAAGAGCCGGTACGGCCTTGTGCCCTTCGCCTCCGTGCGCTTCGAGGACCCTCGAGATGCAGAGGATGCTATTTATGGAAGAAATGGACTTCTTCCATCAGGCAGCTGGCAGGACCTGAAGGATCACACGCGAGAAGCTGGGGATGCCTGTTACACGGATGTGCAGAAGGATGGAGTGGGGATGGTTGGGTGTCTCAGAAAAGAAGACATGGAATATGCCCTGCGTCAACTGGATGACCAAATTCCACTCTCATGAGGGTGATACTTCCTACATCAGAGTTTATCCTGAGAGAAGCACCAGCTATGGCTATTCAAGGTCTCTATCTGGTTCAAGGGGCCATGACTCTCCATACCAAAGCTGGGGTTCCCCACACTACTCTCAGGCCCTACTGAGACAGGTGATGGGAATTTTTTATTTTTTAGGTTAACTGAGCTGCTTTGTGATCAGAATCTACATTCCAGATGGAGCATTTAGTGTCTTAGGAAATTTTTTTAATTTTTTTTTTTTTTAAAGAAGAAAAGAAACTACATAATTTCTACCAGGGCCATATTAGCAGTGAAACATTTTAAACTGCAGAAATTGTGGTTTTGGTTCAGAAACAAGTTGTATATTTTTCACCCCTGATTATGGGAAAAAAATCAGTTCTGTCTTTGTGGGTTGCTCTGCTATGGAGATCAACAGTTACTGTGACTGAATTGGCCCATTCTGTTTAGAAATATATTTTAAACGTTTAGGGGGAAAAAAGAAAAAAAAGAAAAGAAAAGAACGTGCTGTCAGAAATTTAAAACCCTGTACTTATGTTGTTAAACTGTGCAAACATGAATTTTTTTTTTTTTTTGAGACGGAGTTTCACTCTTGTTGCCCAGGCTGGAGTGCAATGGCACGATCTTGGCTCATGGCAACCTCCGCCTCCCCGGTTCAAGAGATTCTCCGGCCTCAGCCTCCCGAGTAGCTGGGATTACAGGCATGCACCACTATGCCCAGCTAATTTTGTATTTTTAGTAGAGACAGGGTTTCTCCATGTTGGTCAGGCTGGTCTTGAACTCCTGACCTCAGGTGATCTGCCCACCTCGGCCTCCCAAAGTGCTGGGATTACAGGCGTGAGCCACCGCGCCCGGCAAACATGTAATTTTTAATGTGCGAGGTTTGAATACATTGAGGTTATCTTTGAATACATTGAGGTTACCTTACCTCTGCTGAATGGGTAAGGGGCAATTATTGTCCTCAGAAAACAATGTATTTTCGTTTTAAAATGGAGTACCAAAATAAGCACTTTAAAGGACATTTGTGTGAAAGGTTAAAAATAACATTCTTTTAATAAGTTTAAACTTTTAGAGAAAAGAGAAATATACTGAGAAAGACCCATATAACTGCTTCAACAAAGAAAACAACTTCTTCATTATCTTCATACTTTACTTCATATTACAAATTTTGTGCTACTGTTAGATGATATATTAATTTTATTTTCATTACATAAATTGAGGAAGAAATGCAGAATCAGATTCAAATATATTACAAGGCATTTAGGGAGGTGTGTCCTGTTGCTGAACAGTAAATTATCTGAAATCTACTTTTTTTTTTTTTTGGAGATGGTCTCATTCTGTCACACAGCTGGAGTGCAGTGTCGTGATCTCGGCTCACTGCAGCCTCCACCTCCTGGGTTCAAGCAATTCTCATGCCTTAGCCTCCCAAGTAGCTGGGATTACAGGCGCCGCCACCACACCCAGCTAATTTTTGTATTTTTAGTAGAGACAGGGTCTCACCATGTTGGTCAGGCTGGTCTCGAACTCCTGACCTCAAGTGATCTGCCTGCCTTGGCCTCCCAAAGTGCTGAGATTACAGGTGTGAGCCACCGCACCTAGCCTGAAATCTACTTTCAAAATGGAAATAGGCTTGTTCAAAAGCACTATCCTGCCTTCTTTCTTCTTTAGAATATAACCTGGTTTTCAGTAAAGTACCAATACATGGATTAAACATATTCTCTCTCACATGGTTAACATTCTGGATGTTCCAGAAAATCATATTCGATGCATTCTTCCAGTTGTTTTAAGATCCTTGGGCTATCTGTGACAGGAAAGTCCAAGAATGGAGTTCCTGGGCTATCAGCAGGCAGCTGTCTCTGGGTCTTAAATGCACCATTTAGAGTCATGAAGAATGGCATCAACTGCCTGATGCTGGAAACAGAATGTTGGCGCAGAAGCGGGAATTCACTCTTCATGGTGATCTCATCAGAGCTACTGATTTCCTGCAGAAAAAACAAACCCATAACAATGATATGGTTTTACTGAGGGCTCGAGATGGCTGGGAAGCACATGCATGTGGCAAAACCTAAGAAATAAGGTCCTTTTTTTTTTTTTTTGAGACAGAGTCTTGCTCTGTCGCCCAGGCTGGAGTGCAGCAGCGTGATCTTGGCTCACTGCAACCTCTGTCTCCCGGGTTCAAGCGATTCTCTTGCCTCAGCTTCCTGAGTAGCTGGGATTACAGGTACCGGTCACCATGACCAGCTAATTTTTGTATTTTTGTAGAGATGGAGTTTCACCATATTTGCCAGGTTGGTCTTGAACTCCTGACCTCAGGCGATCTGCCCACCTCGGCCTCCCAAAATGCTGGGATTACCAGCCTCATGAATATAATTTTTAAAAAGAAAAGCAGGCTGGACACGGTGGCTCTCGCCTGTAATCCCAACACTTTGGGAGGCTGAAGCAGGCGGATCACCTGAGGTCAGGAGTTCGAGACCAGCCTGACCAATATGGCGAAAACCTGTCTCTACTAAAAATACAAAAATTAGCCCCAAGAGTGGTGGCATGTGCCTGTAGTTCCAACTACTTGGGAAGCTGAGGTGCGGGAATTGCTTGAACCTGGGAGGTGGAGGTTGCAGTGAGCTGAGATCCTGCCATTGCACTCCAGTCTGGGCAACAGAGTGAGACTTCGTCTCAAAAAAAAAAAAAAAAAACCCAAAAACAAAAAAACAAAAATTAGCCAGGCATGGTGGCGTGCGCCTGTAGTTCCAGCTATTCCAGAGGCTGAGAGGAGAATTGCTTGAAACCAGGAGGCTGAGGTTGCAGTGACCTGAGGTTGTGCCACTGCACTCTAGCCTGGGCAACAGAGTGAGATTCCGTCTCAGAACAAAACAAAACAAAATTAGCCAGGTGTGGTGGCACATTCCTGTAATCCCAGCTACTCCGGAAGCTGAGGCAGGAGAATCACTTGAACCTGGGAGGTGGAGGCTGCAGTAAGCGAAGACCGCACCACTGCACTCTAACCTGGGTGGCCGAGTGAAACTCTGTCTCACCAAAAAAAAAAAAAAAGAAAAGAAAAGAAAAGCACTTACCCCAAACTTTAATTTTAGAAGTTCTAGAATCCTGACAGTGTGGGGTTTGCATTCTTGGTGATTCTCCTCTACATCCGACAGGAAGGCAGGGCCCTCTGTGTCCACTTCTGGAATAAATGCCCACCTATAACTGCAGGGAACAAACAGAAGGTCAGGTCTGCTGGTAAGAGGCCTTCAACGTCGTTAAAATTAGTTTTATTAAGATATAATTCACATACTGTATCTATTTAATATGGACAACTCAATGCCTTTTATTATATTCATAGAGTTGCACGTCTATTATCACAATCAATTTTAGAGTATTTCATTACCCCAAAAAGAAATCCTGCCCTGCTCAGCCATCACCACCCCAACCCCCTATACCCTTGAGACCTAGGCACCCACTAATCCACACTCTGTCTCATCGTGGACATTCCATATAAGCAGAATCATACACTATATGTTCCCTTGTTTCGAGCTTTCACTTAGCATCATATTTTCCGGTTCATCCAGATTCCAGCGTGTCTCAGTTCTTCAATTCTTTTTGTTGCTGAACCGTATTCCACTGTATGGATATGTCACATGATCTGCCTGTTCATCAGCTGATGGCCATTTGGGTTGTCTCTACTTCTTGCCTATTATAAATAATGTTGCTATGCACATTCACATATATCGGAACCCACTTTTTTGTTTTTTTGAGACAGTCTCGTTCTGTCGCCCAGTCTGGAGGGCAGTGGTGCAATCTTGGCTCCCTGCAACCTCCACCTCCCAGGTTCAAGCAATTCTCTGCCTCAGCCTCCCGAGTAGCTGGGATTACAGGCACCTGCCACCATGCCTGACTAATTTTTTTGTATTTTTAGTAGAGACGGGGTTTCACCATCTTGGCCAGGCTGGTCTTGAACTCCTGACCTCGTGATCCACCTGCCTCAGCCTCCTAAAGTGCTGGGATTACAGGCATGAGCCACTGCGCCTAGCCTCCACTTTTTTTTGGTTTGAGATGCAGTTTCGCTCTTTCGCCCAGGCTGGAGTGCAGTGGTGCGATCTCGGTTCACTGCAACCTCCGCCTTCGGTTTCAAGCGATTCTCCTGCCTCAGCCTCTTGAGTAGCTGGGATTACAGGTGCCCACCAATACAGGCAGCTAATTTTTGCATTTTTAGTAGAGACAGGGTTTCACCATGTTGGCCTGGCTGGTCTTGAACTCCTGACCTCATGATCCGCCTGCCTCGGCCTCCCAAAGTGCTGGGGTTACAGACATGAGCCACTGTGCCCGGCCTCTTTTTTTTTTGAGGGGGAGTCTCGCTCTGTTGCCTAGGCTGGAGTGCAGTGGTGCGATGTCGGCTCACTGCAACCTCTGCCTCTCGGGTTCAAGTGATTCTCCTTCCTCAGCTTCCGAAGTAGCTGGGATTACAGGCGCCCACCACCACATCTGGCTAATTTTTGTATTTTTTTTTTTTTTTGAGATGGAGTCTCGCTTTTGTTGCCCAGGCTGGAGTGCAATGGCAGATGGCATGATCTTGGCTCACTGCAACCTCTGCCTCCCAGGTTCAAGCGATTCTCCTGCCTCAGCCTCCCAAGTAGCTGGGATTACAGGCATACGCCACCATGCCCAGCTAATTTTGTATTTTTAGTAGAGATGGATTTTCTCCATGTTGGTCAGGCTGATCCCAAACTCAGGTGATCCAACCACCTTGGCCTCCCAAAGTGCTGGGATTACAGGTGTGAGCCATCGCGCCTGGCCTAATTTTTGTATTTTTAGTAGAGACAGGGTTTTTCACCATGTTGGCCGGGCTGGTCTTGAACTCCTGGCCTCAAGTGATCCACCCACCTTGGCCTCCCAAAGTGCTGGGATTACAGGTGTGAGCCACGGTACCTGGCCTAATTTTTGTGTTTTTAGTTGAGACAGGGTTTCGCCATGTTGGCCAGGCTGGTCTCGAACTCCCAACCTCAGGTGATCCACCCGCCTCAGCCTCCTAAAGTGCTAGTATTACACGTATGAGACACCACGTCCGGCCCAAACCTGCTTTTTAAAAACTAAAAGACTTTCTTTTGCAGAACAGCTTTAGGTTCACAGCAAAATGGAGTAGAAAGTAGTTCCCGTACATCCCATCCTACATACATACAAGCCTGCCGTATTATCAACATCCTGCACCAGAGTGGTACATTTGTTAAAACTGAAGAGCCTCTACTGACTCACTGTTATCCTCCCAAGTCCAGAGTTTACATCAGGGTTCACTCTTGGTGGTGTACATTGTATGGATTTGGAGAAATGGACAATGACATGGATCTACCATTATAGCTCTGTATGCAATAATTTCACTGCCCTAAAAATCCTCTGTGCTTCACCCATTCATCCCTGCCTCCCTCTCCCCAACCCCTGGCGACCACTGATCTTTTTACTGTCTCCATGGTTTTGCCTTTTCCAGAATGTCACATGGTTGGAATCATACAGTGTGTAGCCTTTTCAGACTGGCTTCTTTCACTTAGCAATGTGCATTTAAGAGAACCCGCTCTTTAACCACAAACATTTCTATATGATTACTCTCTTTGTGGGGGTAGGAGAGAGAGAAATAGCCTCTGGGGCTGGTCATGAAATTAAACAAATGAGCAGCTGTGCTAAGCCGGCAGGAAACATAAGCCTATGGGGCAAAGTGAATCGGAGATGGCAGGCTCCAAATAAAGGCATTTGTATCTAACTAAACACAGACAAAAAGGTCTACACAAAGGCAGTGAGGAGCACCAGTGGGTAAGCCCTGTTTTATAAGCATTCAGTAGCAAAAACCACACACACACACACACACACACACACACACACACACACACACACACACACCATAGAAACACATTCATAAACACTCCTGTGAGCCAAATTTGCAGAGCCACAGATGTTGCAAGTAATCTGAAACTTGGTATTCCGAGCTGGCTTAGCTGTCACTAGAAACCCAGATGGTGGTTTCCCATAAACTGTACATGAAAAACAAGTGAAAGTGCTTAAAAGGAAAAAACAAAATCTCTTACTTCAAAAAGGACACACGATCCTATCTGACTTACATTTGAAATAATGGCATCTTGTCAGGTGGAAAAGAAAGCGCTGTGTCCAAGAATTTGCAAGCTGATAAATACAAGATGAGTTCACTCTGGGGTATCTCCCCCACTGAGGGTCCATTTGCATCCGGGACTGAAACTTTCGTTCTGTTTACTTTGTTGGTGCTTCTATAAATTTGCAAAGAAACGCTTGTTATAAATTCATTCAGATCTGTTATAGTCCATTCACCTATGACCTGTCCCTCAGAAGAATTTTCTTTTTAAGAAATTTTTGGAATAGCTGGTCCTTTCACAAGTACTTCAAGATAACAGCATTTAACATTAGACAACTCTATATCTAAAGTGACGTGCTTTAATCGTGACTATCTTTTCCTCTTGTGTACAGATCTTGTACTGCTTACCTCAATGACTCATCTTCATCTTTTAGATCTTCTTCAAGCTGTGTGAATGTCTGAATCTGAAAAAAAAATGCATTCAAGTTACTATCTGAGACAGATTAAATCTACCCAAATATTTTTTTTTACTTATTTTTAAAAATCGATTAATTTATGAATGAATGAATAAGACGGGGTCTTACTCTGTCACCCAGTCTGGAGTGCAGTGGTACAATCATGGCTCACTGCAGCCTCAACCTTCTGCAGATGCAACTTCCCGCCATGCCGAATTAATTTTTGTATTTTTTTGTAGACAAGGAGTTTCACCATGTTGCCCAGGCTAGTCTCGAACTCCTGGGCTCAAGTGATCCATCCACCTTAGCCTCCCGAAGTGCTGGGATTACAGGCATAAGCTACCACGCCCAGCCCAAATTTATATGTATATAAAAAACTAGTAAGTATTATCAAATGGTACAAGTTAGTTGGAATAACTGACAGGGTGAGAGATCAAATATGATCATAGAGTAAAATATTCTCTGTTTAACCAAGAGCTAACCATGTGCTACCAACCTGATTAAAAATAACATTTAGATAAAATGGGATACATAGGAAATAGTACGTTATGTTACTGAAAAAGCATTTTAAAAAGCTCCAACCTTGCTTTCAAACTTACAATACTTGTACTCACCAATTCAGAGACCATTATTGGCCACAATGAAGTCAAATGTTGAGGAGATATTCTTAGCAGCAAAACTCTGAAAAAAAGAAACATCTGAGCAGCAACTATGGATGTCTGTCCAACTCTGAGATTGTCTGTCAGGCGTTCTAAGGAAAGAAGATTGTAAAGATGTTACACAAATATGCAGTTTAGGGTTTCTTATCAGACAAAGAAAAATAAAACTGTGACTGTTCTGACATTCTAGTAACAACCCAGTGTAAGGAATGAGTGTTACAGGCCAGGCTTGGTGGCTCGCACTTGTAATCCCAGCACTTTGGGAGGCCGAGGCGGGCGGATAACAAGATAAGGAGTTCGAGGCCAGCCTGGCCAATATGGTAAAACCCCATCTCTACTAAAAATACAAAAATTAGTCGGGCGTGGTGGTGGGCGCCTGTAGTCCCAGCTACTTGGGAGGCTGAGGCAGGAGAATCGCTTGAACCTGGGAGGTAGAGGTTGCAGTGGGCCGAGATCACACCACTGCACTCCAGCCTGGGTGACAGAGTGAGACTCCATCTCAAAAAAAAAAAAAAAAAAAAAAAAAGAATGTTAGGAGATGCTTTTGTGCAACTAGTCCACCCCAGCCCTCTTCTTTGTGAAATACAGCAGTTCATGGCTCTTGCCAAACCTAAGGAAATGATTCCCACAGGCCGTCCCCCTGCCACAGCTGAGTAGAAAGACATGAACATCTGTCACCAGAAATCCACTGGATGACCAACAGCCATTTCAATGTTCTTTTAAGAATATGAATGAGGAGACGCAGAAACCAAGCAGCCCATGGTGAGGAATGGACTTACACAATCATATGGACTGGCTGGCAGACAACACCATATTTTGAGGGTGGTGGGTGGGAAGCGGAGCAAGTAAATATAACAGATTTACTGAGTAAGGTTTAAACTTGATGGCCATGACAAAAACTTTCATTCCTATGGAGGGAAAAGTGTTTCAAATAACACTCTCTAGCCCCTAACACTCTCCCCTGCTTCTCCCCTGAAATGTCTTGTTTGTAGAATGAGACTTTTTTTTTCTTCCATAGCTTAAGGTTTCCTAGGAATGTAACAAATTGCTACAGCAAACAGCTGAATGGTAGTCATGCTAGCTAAGATCGGCTGTAGTACATTAGTACATTAGTATATTAGTAATAAATTTTTTTTTTTTTTGAGATGGAGTCTCACTCTGTTGCCCAGGCTAGAGGGCAGCAGAGCAGTCTCCGCTCACTACAACCTCCGCCTCCCGGGTTCAAGCAATTCTCCTGCCTCAGCCTCCAGAGTAGTTGGGATTACAGGTGTCTGCCACCATGCCCGGCTAATTTTTTGTATTTTTAGTAGAGATAGGGTTTAGCCATGTTGGCCAGGCTGATCTTTTAACTCCTGACCTCAGATGATCCACCTGCCTTGGACTCCCAAAGTGCTGGGATTACAGGCGTGAGCTGCCATGCTCAGTCAGTTTTGTGTGTGTGTGTGTGTGTGTGTGTGTGTGTGTGTTTTTGAGATGGAGTCTTACTCTGTCACTCAGGCTGGAGTACAGTGGTGCGATCTCGGCTCACTGCAGCCTCTGCCTCCTGGGTTCAAATGATTCTCATGCCTCAGCTTCCCGAGTAGCTGGGATTATAGGCACCCACCACCACACCCAGCTAATTTTTGGTATTTTTAGTAGATATGGGGTTTCACCATGTTGGCCATGCTGGTCTTGAACTCCTGACCTCACGTGATCTGCCCTCCTTGGCTTCTCAAAGTGCTGGGATTACAGGCATGAGCCACCGCGCCTGTCTTTGACCTTTCTTTTTTGTGGTAAGAGCACCTAAAATCTACTCTCTTGGCAAATTCCCAGTACATATGCAGTGTTATTAACGACAGTCCTCATGTTGTACATGCCTTTTCTAGACTTACTCATCCTCCATAATTGCACCTTCGTATCCTTTCACCTACATCTTCCCAGCCCCCAAAGACGTAAGACTGATGTCACTCTGAGCCGAGACATACAGAGCTGCTCAGCTCCCCATCTCCTTCTCTGCTACTCGATGGTGCAACAGTGTCCGGGGAAAAGGACCCCAAACGGTATCCCAGGAGAGAAGTGTTAGAAATTCTCCACTCCTGTCTCTTTTTTTTTTTTGAGATGGAGTCTCACTCACTCTGTCACCCAGGCTGGAGTGCAGTGGCGCGATCTCGGCTCATTGCAACCTCCGCCTCCAGGGTTCAAGCAATTCTCCTGCCTCAGCCTCCCAAGTAGCTGGGATTATAGGCGCCTGAAACCATGCTCAGCTAACTTTTTGTATTTTTAGTAGAGGTGGGGTTTCACCATGTTGGCCAGGTTGGTCTTGAACTCCTGACCTCAAGTGACCTGCCCACCACAGCCTCCCAAGGTGCTGGGATTACAGGCCACTGTGCCCAGCCTCCTGCCTCTTTTAATTGGGCCCAAACTATTTACTATGGGACACTTCTTGGGAGCTTCTGGATGCATCTACCTCTCTGAGGCAGATGTGGGCATCATCCCTCCACAGGGCATCTCCAGGCAAGTTCAGTGTCCCACAGCTCTGGCAGAGGACACTCTGAGTGCCATCAACCCAGGACTCAGGGGGGCTGGGCCTATCCACGAGCATCCTGGGGACAACGACAACATGTAGGAAAGTGCTCTGTAAACTGTCAGTTCATCAAAAATGAAAACAGGGCAAAAGGCTTATTTTTTAAAAACACGTAGTATTTTTAGAAATATAGCACTTGAGCTATCCAAAACGAAGCGTATTTATTTAGAAATTCTTTTTCCCGGCCAGACATGGTGGCTCATGCCTGTAATCCCAGCACTTTGGGAGGCTGAGGCGGGTGGATCACTTGAGGTCAGGAGTTCGAGACCAGCCTGGCCAACATGGTGAAACCCTATCTCTACTAAAAATACAAAAATAAGCCAGGCATGGTGGTGGGTGCCTGTAATCCCAGCTACTTGAGAGGCTGAGGCAGGAGAATCACTTGAACCTAGGAGGCGGAGGTTGCAGTGAGCCAAGATTGTGCCACTGCACTCCAGCCTGGGCAACAGAGTGAGACTCCGTTCCCCTCCCAACAACAACAAAAAAATTTCTCTTTTCCCAAGAGCCCAAAACCTACCTCCATTTTCAGTTAGCATTCTGCTGCCTTTATTGCATATTTGAATATATAATATAAACAAGTATATTGTTATATAGTATAATATTTAATATTACTATTTATATAATCATTACCTATTAGTTATTACAATCATGTCAATATAATACAAATATAATAATTACATGTTACAATGTCATATAATTATATAACATATTAATATATTATGTAAAACATGTTTTTTATATATATATTCTATTATATTGCCTGTGCTTGCTCCCTCTCAGAGAAATAATTTCTCAGAATTGCTGGGTGTTTAAACTCTACCATGGTCAAATTCTCCACACCCCTGTTTCAGAATGTTGTCTATCTTTTTGTTTTTTTGGTTCTAGCTTCTATACACCTAATGCTGTCTATTTAGCTATCTGGGCTTCCTCCCAAATTTGAGAGGAGTGTGAGATGGGGTAGAAAGAAGGAACAGGGCTGGGCGCAGTGGCTCATGCCTGTAATCCCAGCACTTTGGGAGGCCGAGGCAGGTGGATCACGGGGTCAGGAGTTTGAGACCAGCATGACCAACATGGTGAAACCCTGTCTCTACTAAAAATACAAAAATTAGCTGGGCGTGGTGTTGTGTGCCTGTAATCTCAGCTACTCAGGAGGCTGAGGCAGGAGAATTGCTTGAACCCGGGAGGCAGAGATTGCAGTGAGCAGAGATTGCACCACTGCACTCCAGCCTGGGCGACAGAGCGAGACTCCGTCTCAAAAAAAAAAAAAAAAAAAAAAAGAAAGAAGGAACAGGTGGTTGGCCACGGTGGCTCATGCCTGTAATCCCAGCACTTTGGGAGGCCAACACAGGCGGATCACTTGAGGTCAGGAGTTTGAAATCAGCCTGGTCAACATGGCGAAACCCCATCTCTACTAAAAGTACAAAAAAATTAGCTGAGTGTGGTGGCTGGTGCCTGTAATCTCAGCTACTTTGGAGGCTGAGGCAGGAGAATTGCTTGAACCTGGGAGGTGGAGGTTGCAGTGAGCCGAGATTGTGCCACTGTACTCCAGCCTGGGTGACAGAGCAAGACTCCATCTCAAAGGAAAAAAAAAAAAAAAAAAAAAAAAGGAACAGGTGTCTGCTCTTAGACTGAAAAGGCACTGAAAGGGTTATCAGGTACATTGCCCAATATGCTCTCCTTTTCATTTTCCTCCACTGAGAAAGTAGGCTTACTGCTTCCCTTAGGGCCACTGTCTAGTGGTTGGGTTCATAAAGAATCCTCCCCTATACTGCACATGAACTAAAGAAAAGGTGATTCCTGTTGTTCTTTTTCTCTCCAGATTTTGTAGGGAGGCAACAAAGTTCAGCTCTGACCTTGCATTTAGCCACAGTCTTTGGAGAGCTGACATTACCTTTACTGGTGCTCCTGGTTACCGTCTGATTAAATCATCCTCCTATCACAGTTATTCAAGCAAGGCACGCCAACTGGACTTGTTAATATTTGAAAGTTTTCTTTCATGTTTCTTAAGTGTTCAAGATATTACAAGGTAAAAATCTTATGTGCACTACATGCGGAAATTATGTCAGTTAAAGTGTAAAGGTGTTTTATTATTGCATATGTAAGTTATCATGACTAACGAGTCAACGCTGTTAATGCTTTGAACTAAAACAAGATCTTTCCGGCTGGGTGCGGTGGCTCATGCCTGTAATCCAAGCACTTTGGGAGGCCAAGGTGGGCAGATCACCTGAGGTCAGGAGTTCGCGACCAGCCTGGCCAACATGGTGAAACCCTGTCTCTACTAAAAAAATTCAAAAATTAGCCGGACATGGTGGTGGGTGCCTGTAATCCCAGCTACTTGGAGGCTGAGGCAGGAGAATCACTTGAACCTAGGAGGCGGAGGTTTCAATGAGGCGAGACTGCGCCACTGCACTCCAGCCTGGGTGACAGAGGGAGACCCTGGCTCAAAATGAAAACAAAAACAAAACAGAATGTCAACTTTGCCACCTGAACATTTTATGAGAAGGAAAAAAAAAAAAAAACCCTGACAATCACGTACGATGTTGGCAATAATAATAACAATTTATTTATTTATTTTTGCAATGGAGTCTCTCTCTGTCACCCAGGCTGGAGTGCAGTGGCACAATCTCGGCTCAGTGCCTACCAGGTTCAAGCGATTCTCCTGCTTCTGCCTCCCCAGTAGCTGGGATTATAGGCATGAGTCACCACACCAGGCTTATTTTTGTATTTTTAGTAGAGATGGGGTTTTACCACATTGGGCAGGCTGATGTCAAACTCCTGACCTCAAGAGATCCACCCGCCTTGGCCTCTGAAAGTGCTGGGATTACAGGCGTGAGCCACCGTGCCCAGTCAGCAATAATTATTTTTGATGCAGTCAAAGAATGTAGTGGGGATGAAAAAAAAATTGTTAAGGAAAAATTAGATCCTTCTCCAAAATCTTGCCCCTTCCCTGGCCTCAGCTGAAGGTGCTGATTAAGGGAGTACTGTAAACACCGAGTACCTTGACTGCAGGAGGACTCTAGCAAGAGACAGTGCTGAGGAAGTATTATTCCTATACTGTGGTCAGACTTTTAAAAACTAATACAAATTAATAACACTGTAATTGATTTTATTATGTATTTATTTAGAGACAGAGTTTCGCTCTTGTTGCCCAGGCTGGAGTGCAGTGGTGTGATCTTGGCTTACTGCAACCTTGGCCTCCTGGGTTTAAGTGATACTCCTGCCTCAGCCTCAAGTAGCTGGGATTACAGGTGCGCACCATCACGCCTGGCTAATTTTGTATTTTTAGTAGAGATGGGGTTTCACCACGTTGGTCAGGCTGGTCTTGAACTCCTGATCTCAAGTCATCCACCCACCTGGGCCTCCCAAAGTGCTGGGATTACAGGCATGAGCCACTGTACCTGACCTATAATTGATTTTAAAATAAAGTTTCAGATTTACCAATATACTTCTGAAGTTCTATAACTCTGCAGAATACTTGTTTTAACAAGTGACAATCATGCCAAAGCACGCAGTAGACCCCTCTAGTACTTAATCATCTCAGCCCCTCATGGGTCTATCTGTGTGTGGGGGCAGTGAGGGCAGGTCAGCTGTTGCTGTGGTTTGAATGTTTGTCCTGTCCAAAATGCATGCTCAAATTTTATTGTAAATGTAATGTTATCGGGAAGTGGGGCCTTTAAGAGGTGATTAGGCCACATCATGGATGGGATTGGTACTGTAATAAAAGGGCAGGTTCAGCCCCCTCTTGCTCTTTTGCCTTTCCACCTTCTGCCATAGGATGTTGCAGCAAGAAGGCCCTTGCCAGACGCCAGCCCTGGATATAGGACTTCTCAGCCTCCAGAACTGTGAGGCAATAAATTTCTGTTTTTATAAATTCCCCAGTCTCAGGTATTCTGTTATAGCAGCAAAAAACAGACTAAGACAGCTGTCTTACCTTGTATCAGTGGAAGGTAAAGGTGGTATTGATCAAGTTCTCCACTGAAGACAGCAAAAGCCTGGCGCTTTAACAGCATGGCTTTCTGTTCAAAACTTGAGAATAGTTTCAAAGAACTGCTCTGCATGTCTAGAATAAATACAGCAATGTTTTACTTAGTGAGAAAACCACAATTGGAGGGAAGTGATGGGAAATTCATACTAGTGTAATTCTATATTCCCTGGTGAAAAATCATGATCTTTATTAAGTAAGGACATGAGATTACTGTTCCCATGTATATTTAAAAAATAGTTATTTCTCTTTTTATTTCTTATTTGAGACAGGATCTCATTCTATCACCCAGCCTGGAGTGCAGTGGTGGGATCACAGCTCACTGCGGCCTCGACCTCCTGGGTTCAAGCGATCCTCCTGCCTCAGTCTCCCAAGTAGCTGGGACTACAGGTGCGTGCCACAGTGCCTGGTTAATTTTTTGTAGAGATGGGGTTTCGCTATGTTGCCCAGGCTGGTCTTGAACCCCTGGGCTCAAATGATCCACCCACCTCAGCCACTCAAAGTGCTGGGATTGGCGTGAGCCACTGTGCCCAGCCAATACTTATTTTTTTATTTTTTTGAGAAGGATTTTCGCTCTGTCGCCCAGGCTGGAGTGCAGTGGCACGATCTTGGCTCACTGTAATCTCTGCCTCCCGGGTTCATGCCATTCTCCTGCCTCAGCCTCCCGAGTAGCTGGGACTACAGGCGCCCGCCACTATGCCTGGCTATTTTTTGTATTTTTAGTAGAGACGGGGTTTCACCGTGTTAGCCAGGATGGTCTCGATCTCCTGACCCTGTGATCCGCCCATCTCAGCCTCCCAAAGTGCTGGGATTACAGGCGTGAGCCACCGTGCCCAGCCCAATACTTATTTCTTTAATGATACTTAATGATAGTGCATGAGAAGGGATCTGAGGTGTAGAAAAGTCCTCCTAGTAAATTATAGAAACTTATTACTTTCAGCACAAATGTCAAGATGTGAAGCTGGATGCTTTCGGCAGTATTTCTCCACTATAAAACTATGAAAAAGGTTGTCGTGGCGTTCTTGTCAATAAATTGCAACTGGAAAAGACTCATTGATTTAGTCCTGCCATATTATGAACATCACATTACAGTCTTTGTGGCGTAGACAGCACCATGAAAGTGTGAGTAGGGTTCGGAAATACATGATGAAAGCTGGTTATATTGGCATTGATCCTATCAAGTGTGAGTTATGCAAAAGTAACACAGAACTTACTCATTAAATCCTTAAACATTGTTTTCTCATGAGTCAAAAGATGGTCAATAATGGACTTCCAACTGGATATTAAAGAAAGCAAAATCAATTAAATTTGCAGTGGATGATAGTTTGATTCAAAACATTAAGAAAATAACATATCCTCTTAAGATATATTAAAAACTGCTTTCTGGGCCAGGTGCAGTGGCTCACGCCTATAATCCCAGCACTTTGGGAGGCCGAGGTGGGCGGATCACCTGAGGTTGGGAGTTCAAGACCAGCCTGAGCAACATGGAGAAACCCTGTCTCTACTAAAAATACAAAATTAGCAGGGCGTGGTGGCGCATGCCTGTAATCCCAGCTACTCAGGAGGCTGAGGCAGGAGAATCGCTTGAACCCGGGAGGTGGAGGTTGTGGTGAGCTGAGATTGTGCCATAGCACTCTAGCCTGGGCAACAAGAGCAAAACTCCATCTCAAAAACAAACAAACAAAAAAACTGCTTTCTGAAAAGAGGTTAGTGATAGAAATAAATAGTTTACATATAAAAGAAAGCTACGAAAAAGCTTTTCATTTATAACCCTAACATAGGGAATGAATGATGACTTTTTCCAGTTTACCACAAAGAAACAAACTGACAAGGCACTCTGGCTTTTTCAAGGGTTATTCTTAAATATGTTCATACAGGATGATATTCACACAGTTGTGTTGATGAAAAGAGTGGGATAGTGAAGACAAATACCACCCTTAGCTTTTCTTTCCAAATGAGCTACCCCAGCAGAGCAACAAGATCACGTGGAGGGAGGCCACAGGGCCACCAGCAGCCCTCTGGGGGTGGCCATGCTTTCATGCCATACAAAAAGGGTTCCCAATCTCTACCCTCTATCGCTAAGCCTTCCTGTCATTAATAAAGGAGTGGCTTTCTTTCTTTCTTTCTGGTTATTTTGAGACAGGGCCCAGGGTCGTGTGCTGTCACCCAGGCTGGAGTGCAGTGGCACAATCACAGCTCACTGCAGCCTCAACCTCCTGGGCTCAAGCGATCCTCCTGCCTCAGGCTTCCATGTAGCTGGGACCACAGGCATATGCCCGCATGCCTGGCTAATTTTTTTGATTTTTTTTTTTTGTAGAGATGGGGTTTCACTTTGTTGCCCAGGCTGGTCTCCAACTCCTGGGCTCAAGCAATCCTCCTGCCTAAGCCTCCCAAAATGTTGGATTACAGGTGTGAGCCACCATGACCAGCCCTGAGTGATTTTCTTTATCTCAGGAAAAGGCCCAGGAGCACATCTTGCATCTGAGTCTCAGTGGATCTCTGCTTGGCTGCTGCAAGATCTCAGTAAGAACTTGTGGAGTATCAGCCGAGAAGTGGGGTAAAGACACCCCCAGGGTCACCCAGTGGGCTCTGTCATCTTAACACTGGCCAATTATTTTGTGATTACAAGACAAAGCAGTATTAGATAGAACAAGTATCACTGGAACCCCAAGTTCTGCTGTTTATTTATTTGAGACAGAGTTTCACTCTTGTTGCCCAGGCTGGAGTGCAGTGGTGGGATCTTGACTCACTGCAAGCTTCACTTCCCAGGTTCAAGCGATTCTCATACCTCAGCCTCCCGAGTAGCTGGAACTACAGGTGTGCGCTGCCATGCCCGGCTAATTTTTGAATTTTTTTGTAGAGACGGGGTTTCGCCATGTTGGCCAGGCTGGTCTCGAACTCCTGGGCTCAGGTGATCCACCCACCTTAGCCTCCCAAAATGCTGGGATTACAGGCATGAGCCACCGTGCCCAGCCAGGAAATAACATGCTCTCTGAATTAAGTGATATTCCTCTTTGTACTTTAAAAGACTTGATCCCTTTCCCATGAACACATGGTCAACATGCGAGCCTGTGACAGGGACGTCCTGTTATTTGGGTTGATCCTATGGCTCTGCTTCTATTTCAGGAATGAGAATTCTGTAAACCAAAATGCCATTTCCACCTGAAGATTCAGAGCACGTTGTTATCAGGACAGCATATCTTACTGAACACAGGAAGTATCCATCTGAAAGAAAGCGGGGTCGAGAAACAGCTCCAGGACCTCCTTCCTCCAGGCTCGCTTTGTGTAGGCATAGCCACTCAGGGAGCTCAGCAGCTGAGCGCCAGCCCGGAAGCTGGGAGCATTGTAGGCACTGAGTGGGAGTGGGAAGAGAGAAGGGTCAAGGTCAAGGACTGTCCAAGGAAAACTACTTGATTCATTTGTGAAAACATATTTTTCTGCATATGGGTGGGAAGAAATGGCGAAGATGACGTTACCTGTGGTTGCGTAAGTATGGAAAAACATAGTAAAGCAGACGGGAGATTAACGGCACAGCTTTCTCCTTCTCATCACTTCGATAAACCATGTCCAGGAGGGAAGCCAGTACCTAAAAGAACAAGGCCCTAAGAAAACAGAAACTGGCCAGGTGCGACGGCTCACACCTGTAATCCCAGCACTTCGGGAGGCTGAGGAGGGCGGATCACTTGAGGCTGGGAGTTTGAGACCAGTCTGGCCAACATGGTGAAACCCCATCTCTACTAAAAATACAAAAATTAGCCAGGTCCTGTAATCCCAGCTACTCAGGAGGCTGAGGCAGGAGAACTGCTTGAACCCAGGAGGCAGAGGTTGCAGTGAGCCGAGATCACGCCACTGCACTCCAGCCTGAGTGCAGACTCCAGAGCGAGACTCCATCTCAAAAAAAGAAAACAGAAAGAAAAAGAAAAAAAAAAGAAAGAAAACAGAAACCCTTGGAAGCGAGCAACAATAAGAAAAGCAGTTATGGCTGGGAGCGGTGGGTCACGCCTGTAATCCCAGCTCTTTGGGAGGCCAAGGTGGGTGGATCACGAGGTCAGGAGATTGAGACCATCCTGGCCAACACAGTGAAACCCCGTCTCTACTAAAATACTAAAAACTAGCTGGGCGTGATGGCGCGCACCTGTAGTCCCAGCTACTCAGGAGGCTGAGGCAGCGGAATCGCTTGAACCCGGGAGGTGGAGGTTGCAGTGAGCTGAGATCGCGCCACTGCACTCCAGCCTGGCAACAGAGCAAGAATCTGTCTCAAAAAAAAAAGTGCAGTCCTTAAAGCAAAACCTAACCCAAAACTCCATGGTGCAGCTTGAGGCCAATGCTGCCTGATGGACGAGCTCACCTGGGAGGGTGCGGCCCACGCTCACTGGCACCTGGGAATGAACAAATGTCTTTGCAACAATTCGTGATGGCGCTCATTTCCATAAAGGACGACAGGTCAGGTGTGTATTTACCTCTGCCAGGAGAGAGAGGGCTTGCACGCTGTACACCGACGGGGCGGATGAAGACACCATTGCTGAAGCTGCAGCAGCATCTGTGAACAGAAAGAGCCATTTGTATGTTAACTATGATGGATGGGTCACCATTTACTGTCCCCAAAAGCCCTGCATGAATGTGAGCCATCAGCTCCCGCCTTTCATACCAATTGTGTCCATATGACTCAGGTATTCCTCTCTGTTAACTTTCAGCTTTTTCTTTTTTTTTTTTTTTTTTTGAGATGGAGTCTCACCCTGTCACCCAGGCTGGAGTGCAGTGGTGTGATCTCGGCTCACTGTAGCCTCCACCTCCCAGGTTTAAGCAATTCTCTTGCCTCATCTTCCCGAGTAACTGGGACTACAGGCATGTGCCACCATGCCTGGCTAATTTTTGTATTTTTAGTAGAGACGGGGTTTTGCCATGTTGGCCAGGCTGGTCTCGAACTCCTGGCCTCAAGCGATCCTCCTGCCTTGGTCTCCCAAAGTGCTGAGATTACAGGCGTGAGCCACCGTGCCTGGCCATCATTCAACTTTTTTATTTTTATTTTTGAGACAGGATCTTGCTCTGTCACCCAAGCTGGAGTGCAGTGGCATGATCATGGCTCACTCTATCCTTGACCTCCCAGGCTCAAATGATCCTCCTGCCTTAGCCTCCCGAGTAGCTGGGGGCACAGGCACACATCACCACGCCCAGGTAATTTTAAAATTATTTATAGAGACAAAGTCTTGCTATGTTGCCCAGGGTGGTCTTGAATTCCTGGGCTCAAGTAATTTGCCTGCCTTGGCCTCCCTAAGTGCTAGGACTATAGGTGTGAGCCACTGCACCCTGCCAACATTCAGTTTCAACAACTAAGAATCTGGATATTTTGATCAAATAAATTAGCACTAACTCACTAACATCCTCTCCATTTCCATTCTCATCATCGTTCTTGAAACTGCACGACCCCTTTGGATGCTCCCTCCTACATCCCAGCCTCTAAGCCCCTGGCCTTCTTCTCTTCTAACCATCCCCGACTCCGCTCCAGCTCCACCACTGTCATACCCTTGACCTCACCAGCTTCTCAAATCTCCGTTTCCAGCATCCTCCTCTGACCACCCCTCTGGCATTTTCCTGCATCCTAGGACAGCTTTCCAGTCCCTGAGTCCTACTGCCTAACTACCCAGCAGCTGCTACAGGTCCTCACCTCCCACCCACACCCAGGGTCAGTCATCTACCCTTCACTCCTTTGCTTCTTTCCCTCGGAAGGACTCACCTAGAAGAATGCACTGCTGGGTACACCCAATGATCTGTCTACGTAGTTATGTGTAGCTAAATGTTCCAGAGCAAACCAGACCACCAAGCAACTGATCTTACTTTATGTCATGACCATGAATCTCTCAAGGGACTTGATGCTACCACATGTTCCCAGGTGGGGTGCTGGCTTTCCCACTCTCCAACATAATTCTTTTTTTTTTTTTTTTGAGACAAGTTCTCGCTTTGTTGCCCAGGCTGGAGTACAGTGGTGCAATCTTGGCTCACTGCAGCCTCCGCCTCCTGGACTCAAGTGATCTTCCCACCTCAGCCTCCTCAGAAGCTGGAACTACAGGTCCCATTACTACAGGCTGTAATTTTTGTAGAGATGGGGATTTTTCACTGTGTTGTCCAGGCTGGTCTCGAACTCCTGGGCTCAAGCAAACTGCTAGCCTCAGCCTCCCAAAGTGCTGGGATTACAGGCGTGAGCCACTGTGCCCAGCCTCATCTCCTGTTTTAATAGATATGTTCCTGACTCCTATCAAATAACAATAATTCCATTTATGATCCCAATCCTGGCCCTGTGGCCATCAAGGACTCTGCTAATTATCCTTCCTCTCTCTTGAATTAATTTCTTCCTCTCTGCTGTACTGTTCTGTCACCATGCAAATAGGCTTTGATATCCTCCATTTAAAAACAAATCAGGCCGGGTGCAGTGGTTCAGGCCTGTAATCCCAGCACTTTGGGAGGCCAAGGCGGGCAGATCGCTTGAGGTCAGGAGTTCGAGACCAGCCTGGCCAACATGGTGAAACCCTGTCTCTGTCAAAAATACAAAAATTACCCAGGTGTGGTGGCGTGCACCTGTAATCCCAGCTACTTGGGAGGCTGAGGCAGAAGAATTGCTTGAACCCAGGAGGCAGAGGTTGCAGTGAGCCAAGATCACGCCACTGCACTCCTGCCTGGGCAACAGAGCGAGACTCCATCTCAAACAAACACACAAAACAACAACAACAAAACATTCTCTGGTCCTTAATTCTGCTTGGCTACTGCCCTATGGACAACTAGCCTCAAAGAGTTACCGACCTCCACTGTCTCCCCTTGCTCCATTCCCATCCTCTTCTCCACCTGTTTCTCAAGTGTCCCCTCACCATCCTGACCACCCACCCCGATGAATTCTACATTGTCAGCTCCTGTTGCCCCTTCCTGTTGCACTTTGCTTCTCAGCGGCCCTCCACCGTGTGTCTGCCCCTGGGGCCTTCGGACACATTGTCTCCTCCCAGACTCCAAGGCTCTATGCTCTCTTGGTTCACCCACCTCAGTGACTGCTTAATCATCTTTGCTGGGTCCTTCTCTTTTCCATCATTTCCGACTTAACATGTGCAAAATCAAGCTCAATTTTTCTCTACGAAATGTTTTTTCTTCTGTTTTTTCCACCTTGGTAAATTGCTTAAGCCAAAAACCTGTCATCCTTGGCTGCATTTTCTAAAATAACTACATCCGATCCATCAGCAAATCCTGCTGACTCTGCATTTAAACTGTCCCTTTCTGTTGACCCTGCCTCCAAGCCAGAATCATCTTCTGCCTTAACCAGCGCAAAATCCTTTTACCTGGACTTCCAGTTTCTGTGCTCATCCAATACACACTGTACTGATCACAGCAGCCAAAGTGATGGTTTTTAAAGTTTGACTAACATGTGGCTGCTCTAAGTACTTTAAGGCTACCTGTGGCAAGTGGGATGAAATCCAAGCTCCTTAGTGTGCTTTCTTTCTTTTTTTGAGACAGAGTCTCTGTTGCCTAGGCTGGAGTGGAGCGGCGCGATCTCGGCTCACTGCAACCTCCACCTCCCTGGTTCACGCCATTCTCCTGCCTCAGCCTCCCCAGTAGCTGGGACTACAGGTACCTGCCACCACACCCGGCTAATTTCTTTTTGTATTTTTAGTAGAGACGGGGTTTCACCATGTTAGCCAGGATGGTCTCGATCTCCTGACCTCGTGATCCGCCCGCCTCGGCCTCCCAAAGTGCTGGGATTACAGGTGTGAGCCACTGTGCCCGGCCCCTTAGTGTGCTTTCTACCAAGCCCGACAACCATCAGTCTCATCAGTCTCCACCCTTTCTCTGACCTCTTCCCACCACTTTCATGAAGCTCCAGAGTCCTGGTCTTCAGGTCGCTGGGTCTAAGCCCACTCCCGTGGCCAAGGCCTGCAATCCCCTCGGGGCAGTGCCTTCCCAGACCTCTGCAGGGCTGTCCCCTTGTCTTTCATCTCTCAGCACAACTGTCACCTCCTTGGGGACATGTTCTGTAACACTCACAGTGGCCCTGCCCCACTACCAGCCACTCCTTATCACATTACTCTTACTTTCCTCGCAGTACTAAGTCCCACCTGAAATTCTCTTGGTAATTTACTTTCTTTTAGTCATTAAAAAAACTTTTTTTTTTTTGAGATGGAGTTTGCACCCTCTGTTGCCCAGACTGGAGTGCAGTGGCACGATCTCGGCGCACTGCAGCCTCTGCCTCCCAGGTTCCAGTGATTCTCCTGCCTCAGCCTCCCGGGTAGCTGGGATTACAGGCACACACTACCATACCTGGCTAATTTTTGTATTTTTAGTAGAGACAGGGTTTCATCATGCTGGCCAGGCTGGTCTTGAACTCCTGACCTCAGGTGATCTGCCCACCTCAGCCTCCCAAAGTGCTAGGATTACAGGTGTGAGCCTCTGCACCTGGCCTTATTTTTATTTATTTATTTTTTTGAGATGAGTCTTGCTCTGTCGCCCAGGCTGGAGTGCAGTGACGCCATCTCGACTCACTGCAACCTCTGCCTCCCCTTTTGTAGAGATGGGGTCTTTTTTTTTTTTTTTTTTTTTTTGAGATGGAGTTTTGCTCTTGTTGCCCAGGCTGGAGTGCAATGGTGCGATCTTGGCTCACAGTAACCTCCGCCTCCCAGGTTCAAGCCATTCTCCTGCCTCAGCCTCCGGAGTAGATGGGATTCCAGGCATGCGCCACCACACCCAGCTAATTTTGTATTTTTAGTAGAGATGGGGTTTCTCCATGTCGGTCAGGCTGGTCTCGAACTCTGGACCTCAGGTGATCCGCCCACCTCGGCCTCCCAAAGTGCTGGGATTACAGGCGTGAGCCACCGCGCCCGGCCTGAGATGGGGTCTTGCTGTGTTACTAGGATAGTCCTTTTTTTTTTTTTTTTTTGAGATGGAGTTTGGTCGCTCTGTCACCCAGGCTGGAGTGTAGTGGCACGATCTTGGCTCACTGCAACCTCCACCTTCCGGGTTCAAGTCATTCTGCCTCAGCCTCCTGAGTAGCTGGGACTACAGATGCCCGCCACCATACCTGGCTAATTTTTGTATTTTTAGTAGAGATGGAGTTTCGCCAAGTTGGCCAGGCCAGTCTCGAACTCCTGACCTCGGGTGATCCACTCACCTTGGCCTCCCAAAGTCCTGGGATTACAGGCCTGAGCCACTGTGCCCGGCCTGATTTATTTTTAAATGGAGTATATCCCAAAGTGTTGGGATTACAGGTCTGAGCCACCATGCCCGCTAACCAGGATAGTCTTAAACTTGTAGCCTCAAGCCATCCTCTCACCTTGGCCTCCCAAAGTGCTGGGATTACAGGTGGGAGCCACTACACCCAGCCCTGCTAACAATTTTCGTAGAAGTAATAATGAAAGATAACAATATTTGAACATTACTCTGTGGCAGGTACTGTGATAGTTTACACTGAAAACTGAAATGTAGTTTCTTGTTCCTGTATTAAATAAAACTGGGACCAAACATCCTTTCTCACGTTGTATTAAGCTCTACTGGCACTGGGCATACTGTCCTTCCCTGTGTTAAATGACACTGACAGTAGCAAAGAAAATCACTTGCCCCAAGATATGCTTAATCCTGAAAAAAAAAAAAAAAGGATCATTTGTAATCACCTCAGGCGACCCGCCCACCTCAGCCTCCCAAAGTGCTGGGATTACAGGCATGAGCCAACCCTCCCAGCTTGATTTGCTAAATTCTCTTTCCATAGTTCTGCAAAAAGAAACACACACATTCTCATCATCTTTATCCCACACAGATTTCTATCACCATGTCCAGGTAAATGGTCTTGGGGTGTTACTTTCTGGAGCCCCACTGAGGCTCAGTGAAGGTCAGCAGGATGGCATACACATGGTGGGACACCAGCTAAGGGGTCCCGGTGTTTAGCACACACACATAGTATGTTGTAAAAAGTCAAAACAGACAGTTCAGTCATCTGGCTATGGATACAAAGGAAGAGTCTGGGCCGGGCGCAGAGGCTCACGCCTGTAATACCAGCACTTTGGGAGGCCGAGGTGGGTGGATCACCTGAGGTCAAGAGTTTGAGACCAGCCTGGCCAACATGGTGAAACGCTGTCTTTACTAACCACAAAAATTAGCTAGGCATGGTGGTAGATGTCTGTAATCCCAGCTATTCGGGAGGCTGAGGCAGGAGAATGGCTTGAACCAGGGAGGCGGAGGTTGCAGTGAGCCAAGATGACGCCACTGCACTCCAACCTGGGTGAACTCCAACCTGGGTGAACTCCAACCTGGGTGAACTCCAACCTGGGTGAACTCCAACCTGGGTGACAGAGCGAGACTCTGTCTCAAAAAAACAAAAACAAAAAACAAAGAAAGAGTCTGGGTGAATGAACACAGACTTGAGAAGGTAGTTTGCTTTTTCCTATGCCTAAACTTTTTTTTTTTTTTTAACTTTCCAACATCTTTTCCCTTACCAGTTTTAATTAGATATAACTGACAAATAAAACTGGTATACATTTCAGGTTATAACATGATGTTTTGATATATGTTTTCTTTTTTCAATATTTCACCATCCCTGCTGATATATGCATACATTGTGAAAAAACACAAGTTAAGACATGCATCACCTCAGGTACTTTCTTTCTTTCTTTTTTTTTTTTTTGAGGTGTAGTCTCACTCTGTCGCCCAGGCTGGAGTGCAGTGGTACAATCTTGGCTCACTGCAACCTCCTCCTCCCAGGTTCAAGCAATTCTCTGCCTCAGCCTCCCATGTAGCTGGGATTACAGGCGCCCACTACCACGCGCGGCTAATTTTTGTATTTTTAGTTAAGATGGGGTTTCACCATCTTGGCCAGGCTGGTCTTGAACTCCTGACCTCAGGTGATCCACCCACCTCGGCCTCCCAAACTGCTGGGATTACAGGCGTGAGCCACCATGCCTGGCCTCAAAGTGATGTTTTCTAAAGTTTGACTAACATCTTGTCACTGCTCTAAATACTTTTTTTTTTTTTTTTTTTTTTTTTTGAGACGGAGTCTTGCTTTGTCGCCTGGGCTGGAGCGCAGTGGCGTGATCTCGGCTCACTGCAACCTCCGCCTCCCAGGTTGAAGCGATTCTCCTGCCTCAGCCTCCCAAGTAGCTGGGACCACAGGTGCTTACCACTGTGCCCAGCTGATTTTTTTACTTTTAGTAGAGACGGGGTTTCGCCATGTTGGCCAGGCTAGTCTCAAACTCCTGACCTTGCTTTATCTGCCCATCTCGGTCTCCCAAAGTGCTGGGATTACAGGCGTGAGCCACCGCACCCAGCCTACCTTAAGTACTTTCTTTCTTTTTGTGGTGAGAACACTCAAGATCTCTCTTAAGGAAAAGCCAGAACCACGCGCTGACCAGAGGCACTATCAGCCAACCCATCTCCACCTACCATACAGGTCCTCCTCAGCATCAGATTCTTCTAGAGAGGCCTGAGGTTGGGCCTTCACTTCCAGGTTTCTGCTTAGCCAGCTGGTTTGCTCCAAGGAAGAGCCGGCAATGTTCCCCACAGCTTCTAGGATTTTCTGAGTGATTTCCTGAGAATTATCAGGAGGAGGGGGAAAGGAAGTTAATTAAGGAAAAGAATGTTAAGTGCCTAAAACAGCACTGTCCAGTAGAAATAAAATGCAGGCCACAGCTGTGAGCATATACGTACCATTAAGCTTTCTAGGAGCCACATTGAAGGTAAAAATAAACAGTTAAAGTTAAATTAATAATATAGGCTGGGTGCAGTGGCTCATGCCTGTAATCCCAGCACTTTGGGAGGCTGAGGCTGAGGCAGGGGGATCACTTGAGGTCAGGAGTTTGAGACCATCCTGGCCAACATGGTGAAACCCTGTCTCTACTAAAAAAAATACAAAAATTAGCTGGGCATGATGGCACATGCCTGTAGTCCCAGTACTCGGGAGGCTTAGGCAAGAGAATCGCTTGATCCCAGGAAGTGGAAGCTGCAGTGAGCTGAGATCATGCCACTGCACTCCAGTCTGGATGACAGAGTGAGACTTCGTTTCAAAAAAAAAATTAATAATGTATTTTATTTAACCCAATATATACAAAATATTATCAACATGCACTCAATATAAAAATTATTAATACGCTAGGTGTGGTGGCTCATGCCTATAATCTCAGCATTTTGGGAGGCTGAGGCGGGCGGATCACCTGAGGTCAGGCGTTTGAGACCAGCCTGACCAACATGGTGAAACCCTGTCTCTAGTAAGAATACAAAATTAGGTGGGTGTGGTGGTGCATGCCTGTAATCCCAGCTACTTTGGAGGCTGAGGCAAGAGAAACACTTGAACCCGGGAGGTGGAGGTTGCAGTGAGCCTAGATCATGCCATTGCACTCCAGCCTGGGCAACAGGAGCGAAACTTCGTCTCAAAAAGAAAAAACAAAAACAACCTATTAATCAGATTTTGCATTCTCTTTTGTGTGTGCCCTAAGTCTGAAATCCAATGTGTGTTTTGCACTTACAGTGCATTCAATTCAGACTACCACATTTTTCTTTTTAGGAGGTGGTGGGCAGGACAGGGTCTTGCTCTGTCAACCAGGCTGGAGTGTAGTGGTGCAATCAAGACTCACTGCAGCCGGGCGCGGTGGCTCACGCCTGTAATCCCAGCACTTTGGGAGGCCGAGGCAGGCGGATCACAAGGTCAAGAGATTGAGACCATGATGGCCAACATGGTGAAACCCCGTCTCTGCTAAAAATACAAAAATTAGCTAGGCGTGGTGGTGCACGCCTGTAATCCCAGCTACCTGGGAGGCTGAGGCAGGAGAATCATTTGAACCCAGATGACAGAGCTTGTGGTGAGCCAAGATAGTGCCACTGCACTCCAGCCTGGTGACAGAGTGTTGCGGGAAGTCAGCGACCCCGAACAAAGGGACCGACTGGAGCCGCAGCAAAGGAACATAAATTGTGAAGATTTCATTTTAATATGGACATTTATCAGTTCCCAAATAATACTTTTGTAATTTCTTACACCTGTCTTTAATCTCTTAATCCTGTTATCTTCATAAGCTGAGGATGTACATCATGGCAGGACCACTGTGATAATTGTGTTAACTGTACAAATTGATTGTAAAACGTGTGTTTGAACAATATGAAACCAGTGCACCTTGAAAAAGAACAGAGTAACAGTGATTTTTAGGGAACAAGGGAAGACAACCATAAGGTCTGACTGCCTGTGGGGTTGGGAAAAAAGAGCCATATTTTTCTTCTTGCAGAGAGCCTATAAACAGACGTGCAAGTAGGGAAGATATCGCTAAATTCTTTTCCTAGCAAGGAATATTAATATTAATACCCTGGGAAAGGAATGCATTCCTGGGGTGAGGTCTATAAACAGCCACTGTGGGAATGTCTGTCTTATGCGGTTGAGATAAGGACTGAGATACGCCCTGGTCTCCTGCAGTACCCTCAGGCTTACTAGAGTGGGGAAAAACTCCATCCTGGTAAATCTGTGGTCAGACCGGTTCTCTGCTCTCCAACGCTGTTTTCTGTTAAGATAAGATGTTTATCAAGACAATACGTGCACCGCTGAACATAGACCCTTATCAGTAGTTCTGCTTTTGCCCTTTGTCCTGTTCCCTCAAAAGTATGTGATCTTTGTTAGACCCTTATTATTAGTTCTGCTTTTTGCCCTTTGAAGCATGTGATCTCTGTACCTACTCCCTGTTCTTACACCCCCTCCCCTTTTGAAACCCTTAATAAAAACTTGCTGGTTTGAGGCTCAGGAGGGCATCACGGTCCTACTGATACGTGATGTCACCCCTGGTGGCCCAGCTGTAACATTCCTCTCTTTATACTGTGTCCCTTTATTTCTCAGCCGGCCGACACTTACGGAAAATAGAAAGAACCTACATTGAAATACTGGGGGTGAGTTCCCCCAATAACAGAGCAAGACTCCATCTCAAAAAAAAAAAAAAAAAAGTCTCACTGCAGCCTCGACCTCCTGGGCTCAAGCCATCCTTAGGCTCCCAGGTAGCTGGGACTACAGGTGCATGCCACCACATCTGGATAATTTTTAAATTTCTTGTAGAGATGGGGTCTCCCTATGTTGCCCAGGCTGCAGACTAGCCACACTTCAAGTGCTCAACAGCCACCTGTGGCTAACGGCTACTATACTGGCCAATGTAGGTAAAATATACAGAGAACACAAGTCATTGCAGCACGCTGATGAAAAAACCATAAATTGTATTCAGTGGATTGGCTTTCTGGTTTCTCTAGGACCACGGGTTCTTCCTAGAAATGCATCTTTCAATAATATACAAGAAATAAAGGTCAGTAAGTTAAACTGACTCAGTGGGGTGAAGTGAGGAGTCATCCACTCTCAGGAGTATGATCAGTAAAGAATCTGGTTAGTAGCTGGAGAGACAGAAACTCGAAGCAGGCTTCTCAGCCAGTGTCATCAAGTGTCACCAGCTACGAGTGGCTATAATCCTTGACATCCGAGAATTTTATAATCCTGACCTCAACTGTGCCACACGGTTCCTAGGCTCAGCAGTTGTGTTGAGGTGTGAAGCAGGGCACACCTGCCTGCTGGGTGAGAGAAGGGTGCGCTCGAGGGAAGTGGCGAATTGGCTAACTTAGGCAGGGCAGGGTGTGAAGGGCACAAGGAAAGTCAGGAAAAGGGATTAGGGGCTTAGAGGAGTTCCCGTAAGGACTGATGAAAGCACTGAGTGGACGGGTGTGATATTGTGGAAATGTTTTTGGCCTTTCTCCCCATTTCCCAGCTATAACTCCTAAATTCCTTGGATTCTCCAAAGTAATACGTGTCTTAGATGGTTGTGGCTGGGGGCCCCCAGAGAACTTCAGCTCCCCAACCTCCAGGAAGGGGAGAGGGGCTAAAGGTTAAATTGATCACCAATGACCAGTGATTTAATCCATCATGCCTATGTAATGAAGCTTCCACAAACCCCAAAGTAACTGGGTTCGGATGAGCTTCTGGATGGCTAAACATGTGGAGGTTCCTAGAGGGTGGTGCCCTAGGAGGGCATGGAAGCTCTGTGCCCCTTCCCACGTACCTTGCCTGATCATCGCTTCATCTGTATCCTTTCTAATCTCCTTTATAATAAACTGGTCAGCCGGGTGTGGTGGCTCATGCCTGTAATTCCAGCACTTTGGGAGGCTGAGGCGGCTGGATCACGAGGTCACGAGTTCGAGACCAGCCTGGCCAACATGGTGAAACCCCACCTCTACTAAAAATACAAAAATTAGCTGGCATTGTGGCGGGCACCTGTAATCCCAGCTACTCGGGAGGCTGAGGCAAGAGAATCGCTTGAACCTGGGAGGCGGAGGTTGCAGTGAGCTGAGATCGTGCCATTGCACTCCAGCTTGGGCAACAAGAGCAAGACTCTGTCTCAAAAAAATAAATAAATAAATAAAATAAACTGTTCAATGTGTTCCCTGAGTTCCATCAGCCACTCCAGCTAATTAACAGAACCCAAGGGGTGGGTAGTGAGAACCCCAGTTTAGAGCTGGTCTGTCAAAAGCACAGATGAAACCACTTGGGGCTTGTGATTGGCATCTGAGGGGGTGGGGCAGTCTTGTGGGACTGAGCCCTCAACCTGCAGGATCTCAAGCTATCTCTAGGTGGGGAATGCCAGAATTGAATGGAATTGGACGGTGCCTATCTAGTGTCCACTGCAGAACTACTAGCTTGGTTGCTGGTGGGAAGCAATTCCCACACATTTTGGTTACGAGGTCACAGAAGGATTCTATGTTACGAGAGTGTGGTAGGAAAATCACACTTTGTTTTTTTCTATATCCTCAGTGGGGAAGAAGCATAGGGTGTCGCTCAAAACAGTAGGAAGGAATTAGTGGCGGGGAGGCCAGGTGTCATGAGACAGAAAGAAGCAGATGCCACCTGGTCCCCGCAACCAAAAGGAGCAGAGAAGAGGCATGCCAGCTGCAACAACGGAGGGAATGCCTGTGGCCAGAGCCCTGTCCAGGCTGGCTGAAGACAGAGGGGCCTGCTACAGGCAACAGGCCACGAAAGCAGGGAGGGCTTAGGTGAGCAAGTGCTATCCCAGCACCTGGACGTGCAGCATCGGCATTGTAACGTTTTCTTCTCTGGCTACAAGTCAAGGCCAAAGGAGGAGGCACTGGAATTTTCTAATTATGCTTTATGGTGTTTTTGTTTTTTTGTTTTTTGTTTTTGAGACGAAGTTTCACGCTTGTTGCCCAGGCTGGAGTACGGTGGTGAGATCTCGGCTCACTGTAACCTCTGCCTCCCAGGTTCAAGCGATTCTCCTGCCTCAGCCTCCTGAGTAGCTGGGATTATAGGCATCCGCCACCAGGCATGGCTAATTTTTGTATTTTCAGTAGAGGTGGGGTTTCACCATGTTGGCCAGGCTGGTCTTGAACCCCTGACCTCAGGTGATCCGCCCACCTTGGCCTCCCAAAGTGCTGGGATTGCAGGCGTGAGCCACCGCACACGGCCTACTGCACTTTATACAGTACTCTTGTGGTTCAGAACTGTGGACCTGAGGCTGTTTCTGGATATACCTTTCACAAATGCCAGGGATCATAAAGATTAGCAGTAGTATCGCCAAGGCTATAAATGTGATAGAAAAGCCAACTGAATCAATGTCTATAATGGTTTGCAAAACAGTGATTTTTCCAACTTCATCATAACTTCCGTATTTATTAGTTGGCATTCCACTCTGAGTTTTCCTTCTCCTATGATGAGTTTTATTTTTCAGTATTAAACAAATTGTTATGAGCATATATTACTGTTATAATGGGGGATAAGGCGTTTAAGGAAAGAAATCCATGTATGGAGGCTGGGTGTGGTAGCTCACGTCTGTAATCCCAGCACTTTGGGAGGCCAAGGTAGGAGGATCACCTGAGGTCAGGAGTCTGAGACCAGACCAGCCAACATGGAGAAAGCCCGCCTCTACTAAAAATACAAAAAATTAGCCGGGCGTGGTGGCATGTCTGTAATCTCAGCTACTTGGGAGACTGAGGCAGAAGAATCGCTTGAACCCCAGAGGTGGAGGTTTCAGTGAGCTGAGACCGTGCCACTGCACTCTAGCCTGGGTGATGGAGTGAGATTCTGTCCAACCCCCTGGCCCAAAAAAAAAAAAAAGAAAAAAAGAAATATCCATGTATGGAGATAGCTTCCTTTTTTAAAAAATTTTTTTGAGACAGGATCTCTCTCTGTTGCCAGGCTGAAGTGCAGTGGTGTGATCACAGCTCACTACAGCCTCAACCTCCCAGGCTCAAGGGATCCTTAGCCTCCCAAGTAGCTGGGACTATAGGTGTAGCTATCACACTAGGCTAATTTTTGTACTTTTGTAGAGATGAGGTCTCACTATGTTACCCAGATTGGTCTCAAACTCCTGAGCTTAAGCAATCTGCCCGCCTCAGCCTCCCAAAGTACTGGGATTACAAGTATGCGCCACCGCGTCTGGGGGGAAATAAGATTTCTTATTCCATTTATGTTTTACAGTGAGATCCACATACATCTGCATACAGTGTGGAGGGTGAGGGGTGCAGCTGTCAATTCCACAATCGATTGCTCAAGCATTACACAAGAACCTTCATCAGAAAACCCGGGCCCCGGGACTGTCCGAACTCTCTAGAGACAGTGATGGCAGAAGTAAGACTTGAGAACAAGTGCAAAGCTAACCTCAGATTCTGTCCAATGTCTCTTGTCTACCTGCTATCTGATATCCCCCAAAGGAGGACAGCACTGCTGGGGTAATATCATTTGGCTGAACCTCTTTCATATACAAACCTGCAGGTCTTTTTGGTCCTTCTTGTTTTCCAGGTTGGGAGTTCTTGTTACAAAGTCATTCAGCATGCTGTTGGGAGACAATCAGCTTCAGATTAAAAATGCTGCAGAAATAAAATATGTGCCAAGAGAAAATATTACACAATGACAATGTGGTGACATGATACCTGAGAAGCAGAAAATACCCAGGTGGGGCTAGATTCAACTGTACAGACTCTTTCAATACTCCCAACAGTGAAGAAAAGTTCTCTTGCAAGGCTGGTACTGGGAGCCTGTTTTTTTAAAAGATAGGAAAAATACTCAACCACGAACAAGTCAAAATACATTTATTTATAAGCATATTTAAGATCCTGGCAGTTGGAAAGCAAAGGGTAAACAGCATACCTCACTGACCTTTTTCTTTTTAAAAACTTACAATGTACATGAGCTAAACTTTGGTATTCTGGCAAACACTTGGAGTTTGAGAACCTGAAATCCTACTGCTGGCAGGTGAGATACTCCTGGTTTCTTTGTCTCTAAAATAAAAGCCTTAAATTAGATGATCGACCTTGACCTCTCAGGCCTTTTTTTTTTTTTTTTTGGTGAGACGGAGATTTACTTTTGTTGCCCAGGCTGGAGTGCAATGGCGTGATCTCGGCTCACTGCATCCTTCGCCTCCCAGGTTCAAGCGATTCTCCTGCCTCAGCCTCCCGAATAGCTGGGATTACAGGCATGTGCCACCACGCTCGGCTAATTTTGTATTTTTAGTAGCGACGGGGTTTCACCGTGTTGCCCAGGCTGATCTCGAACTCCCGACCTCAGGTGATCCACCCGCCTCGGCCTCCCAAAGTGCTGGGATTACAGGCGTGAGCCACTGCGCCCGGCCTTTCTTCTATTTTATTTTATTTTATTTTATTTATTTATTTATTTATTTTATTATTGTTTTTTAAGATAGAGTCTTGCTCTGTCACCCAGGCTGGAGTGCAGTGGCACGATCTGAGCTCACTGCAACCTCTGCCCCCCGGGTTTAAGCGATTCTCGTTCTTCAGCCTCCCAAGCTGGGAGTATAGGCGCGGGCCAACACACTGGGCTAATTTTTTGTATTTTTAGTAGAGATTAGTAGGGTTTCACCATGTTGGCCAGGCTGGTCTTGAACTCCTGGCCTCAAGTAAATCCACTTGCCTCGGTCACCCAAAGTGCTGGGATTACAAGCGTGAGCCACCGTGCCCGGCTGATCTCTCAGGCCTTTCTAGTGCTAATATTCTGCTTCCCTGAAGTGGCTGGTAACACAGCATCACCTGTCAGAAGGCTGCAAAGCATTAGGTCCCAGGACACTCACCAGGAAACTGGCCTACCCCGCTCTGTAGCTCTCAGGATGAGGATTCTGAGATCACCGCTCCAAAGCGAGGAAGCACAGTCCAGGCAGTGAAAGCTCAGACTACAGTCAGAGTGTCCCAGGTCCAAGTCCTGGTTCTCCAACTTACTACCTATTGTGTGACCTAGGCGGTTTCTCCTCTGCAAAAGGAGGATGACCAAATCTAACCTGCAGCTCCTGGGAAAGCTCAGCTGTCCCTCAGGCCACTACACTCAACATTCGCCAGCAACGCAATATATATTCGCTGTCACAGGAGGGAAGTGACCGGCTCATCTTTAACTCCTGGAGGAAAGAACAACAATGATGCTCACAAGGGAAGTGGTCTGAATTTAACCCCACCCTGGTCATCTACCAGGAGGCCTCAATTTACCGTCCTGCAACTTCAGAATGTGGTGAGTGGGAATAACTATGTAATGTTAACTGTGTGAATCAAGGAGCCTGTGCCTGGTTGTTGGAGTTATTTACAGTGAGACTCCTGATGGCTATGTAGGCATAGTGAGGCTTCCCTGAGAAGTGGTCTATACCCTTCCCACCCCCATTTTTTTTCCTTTTTGAGATAGAGTCTCATTCTGTCCCCCAGCCTGGAGTGCAGTGGTGTGATCTCAGCTCACTGCAACCTCTGCCTCCTGGGTTCAAGTGATTCACCTGCCTCAGCTTCCCGAGTAGCTGGGACTACAGGCATGCTGCCACCAAGCCCTGGCTAATTTTTTGTAGTTTTAGTAGACATAGGGTTTTACCACGTTGGCCAGGCTGGTCTCAAACTCCTGGCCTCAAGTGACTCACCCACTCTAGCCTCCCAAAGTGCTGGGATTACAGGCGTTGAGCCACCGCACCCAGCCACCTCACCCTCATTTTCTGCAACACAGAGCTGCACCTGGGATGCAGCCATTGTAAGATCTGAATGAGGTCCAGTAAAGCTTCTTTTTCATCCATGGGGAAAAACCTGCGGAATCCCCTTTAATGCTCTCTTAGCTGAGACACCTAATACATATATTAACTTAGCAAATCAAAGCAGATACCTCTCCACATAAAACATGGGAAGGCACACTGAGAACGCCACCAGAAACAATCATTTTGCCTTTTTTTTTTTTTTTTTTTTGAGACAGAGCCTTGCTCTGTCACCCAGGCTGGAGAGCAGTGGTGAGGTCTTGGCTCGCTGCAACCTCCGCCTCCTGGGTTCATGCAATTCTCCTGCCTCAGCCTCCCGAGTAGCTGGGATTACAGGCGCACGCCACCATGCCGGACTAATTTTTGTATTTTTAGTAGAGATAGGGTTTCACCATGTTGACTAGGCTGGTCTCAAACTCCTGGCCTCAAGTGATCCGCCTGCCTCCACCTCCCAAAGTGCTGGGATTGCAGGTGTGAGCCACCGCGCCTGGCCCATTTCTCCTTTTTCTAAAAGAGGTCTTTAACACTTCCCTATATGTGGTTTTTTTCTTTTTCTGTATCAATTTAATGCAAATCCAAGCCTTTTAAAGTTTAACAGGCCTCACATAAAGCTTCGCTCATATAAAGTGTTCAAAGTACGCTGCACAGATTTTAAGATGTTAACTCTCTGGAGAAGGAAAAGCATAGATCAATACCTTGGGAAGAAATTATGACAACTTTAAGATATTTTCTGAACAATGGCTCTCTAGTAGTCTAGAAATAAAACCAGATATTTATTATGCATGCTCACTGCAATAGCATCTGTATTTAAGGAAGTTTTTGGAGGACGGGGGACTGTATTACCTTTGGAGAAAAGCATAGCAAAACTGCAACACAGGAATGTCCACTAGGGGCGATTTCTGAAAATGAAAGTAAAACCAATTACTCCGAGTTGGTGGGAAATAAGGCTAAAAGAATTCAGATACAAAATGAAACAGATCTATAGCCTAACAAAGCAAAGGTTTTTGACTAAAGAATCTTTCAGATATAACAACAGACATGATAGTGCCCATCATGTACAATTAAAACAAGTGTGTCCTATGAGTCCCCAAATCATTCACATCCCCTTAGACTTCTACAGTGATCTCCCACCCTGTGCACCTACTTTACATTCCAGGCGTCAACAGGCATTTCGGGAAAATTGGCACTGTAACCGAACTTCCCAAACAGAAAGCTAGGGCCAGTGTTGACTCCAGTGAATGCATATGATTACCAAGAGGCAAGAAAAAATTCTAATTCTTCTTTCTTTCTTTCTTTCTTTCTTTCTTTCCTTCCTTCCTTCCTCCCTCCCTTCCTCCCTTCCCTTCCCCTTCCCTTCCCCCTTCCCTTCCCTTTCCTTTTTCTTTCTTTGCATTCCTTCTTTCCTTTTTTTTTTTTCTTTTTACAAGAGTCTTGCTCTGTTGCCCAGGCTGGAGTACACTGGTGCAATCTCAGCTCACTGCAACCTCCGCTTCCCAGGTTCAAGCGATCCTCGTGCCTCAGCCTCCCAAGTAGAACCACCGCACCCGGCCAAAAAATTCTAGTTCTTAGTTTAGAAGATGACTCCAAGCCCAGCTCAGACAGCTTCCCCAAAAACCCTGTGGCTGGAACTACTTGGAAACAAGTTCTAAAACACATATTTTACCCCCTCCTTGCTTGTAAAAAGCTATTTGCAGCTATTAATTAACTAAACTAACCACAAAATGTAGTTTTGTTATTTGAACCGCCAAAAATCAGTCAGCTAGATAAAATCCGGTTCCTTTATAGCCCAGGAAAGACTAGAAATTGCAGGTATTTGTAGAAATTCAAGTAATGTGAAGGAATACAACCTAAACACACTCGCTCTGGCTGTCATAGCCTCTGCAGAGCTGTCTTCAGGACCTCGAAGAACCCCTTGGTTCTACGGCGACCAAGCCTGCAGCAGCACAGACCGCCCTGTGGAGCACCATTCCCACTCCTAACATTTATGGACAAGAATGAAAGGAGGCCAGGCACGGTGGCTCACACCTATAATCCCGGAAGTTTGGGAAGCCAAGGCGGGTGGATCACTTGAGGTCAGGCATTCAAGACCAGCGTGGCCAACATGGCAAAACCCCATCTCTACTAAAAATACAAAAAAATTAACTGGGCATGGTGGCGCAAGCCTGTAATCCCAGCTACTCAGGAGGCAGAGGCAGGACAATTGCTTGAACCCAGGAGGCAGAGGTTGCAGTGAACCAAGATCACGCCACTGCACTCTAGGCTAGGCAACAGAGCGAGACTCCATCTCAAAAAAAAAGAAAAAAAAAAAAAAGCCCGGGCGCAGTGGCTCACGCCTGTAATCCCAGCACTTTGGGAAGCCGAGGCGGGTGGATCACGTGGTCAGGAGATCGAGACCATCCTAGCTAACACGGTGAAACCCTGTCTCTACTAAAAATACAAAAAATTAGCCGGGCGTGGTGGCGGGCGACTGTAGTCCCAGCTACTAGGGAGGCTGAGGCAGGAGAATGGCATGAACCTGGGAGGTGGAGCTTGCAGTGAGCCGAGATTGCGCCAGCCTGGGCGACAGAGCAAGACTTCGTCTCAAAAAAAAAAAAAAAAAAAAACAGTGAAAGGCAACAGGATGACCATACGTTCTTGGAAGATTGGGAGACCTGGGCCAGATCCCCAAGAAATACTGTGGAAGTCATCCGGGTCCTTTTACATTCGAAGCCTTAAGCACTGACTGAGCTCGCTCCATAACCTGGCCTCGCAGTGCTGTTATTTTTTAGGATGGCTTCTCTTCTCTTCTCTCTTCTTTGCCAACCTAGAATATAGGAGGACTGAGGGCAGGAATTGCTTTTTCCACTATTTAGCCTCCACGACACCACTCAGTGCACATAGAGCATTGTCGATTAACACTGGAACGAAGGAAGAGACCAGGAGCTGGAGGATAACTGACTGGGTGACGCCCAACGGCCAGGCCCTCGGGGCCTGGACATTTCTATAGGGGGCTGCCCCGTGTCATATGTGAGGCTGAAAAAAATGGCTGAAAAAAAAGTCTTCCGATTCATCTGCAGTTCATTAGTGTGATGATTGGGTGTTCACGCACATGCGTGATATGTGCCACCCTCAAACTTTGTTACAATGGTCGGCACATTGTCTGATGTGAAAAAAAAAAAAAGTCTTTCTTTTGTTTTCAGACAGGGTCTTGCTCTGTACTGGAGTGCAGTGGCGTGATCTTGACTCAATGCAGCTTCAACTTCCCTGGCTCAAGTGATTCTCCCACCTCAGCCTCCCAAGTAGCTGAGGCTACAGGTGCATACCATGCCTGGCTAATTTTTTTTTTCTTTTTAGAGTCAAGGTTTTACTTTGTTGCCCAGGCTGGTCTTAAACTTCTGGGCTCAAGCAATCCCCCTGCTTCGGCTTCCCAAAGTGCTGGGATTACAGGAGTGAGCCACCCTTTAACACTCTAAAATCATAATATCTATCTACCTACCTACATCTATCTATCTATCTACCTACATCTACCTACCTACCTACATCTATCTACCTACCTACATCTAACTACATCTATCTCTCTACCTATCTACCTACCTACCTACATCTACCTACCTACCTACATCTACCTACCTACCTACATCTACCTACATCTATCTCCCTATCTACCTACGTACCTACATCTATCTACCTACCTACATCTACCTACCTACCTAACTACATCTACCTACATCTATCTCTCTACCTACCTACCTATCTACATCTACCTACCTACCTACATCTATCTACATACCTACCCTACATCTACCTACCTACCTACCTACATCTCTCTACCTACCTACCTACATCTACCTACCTACCTACATCTATCTACCTACCTACCTACCTACATCCATCTCTCTACCTACCTACCTACATCTACCTACCTACCTACATCTATCTATTTACCTAACTACTTCTATCTATCTATCTATCTATCTATCTATCTATCTATCTATCTATCATCTATCTACGTATCAACCTATGTTTTTACGTGTTTGTCTGCAGTTCTTGGTTCATAACTCCTGCCCTCCTTTGACCTGCCCCAAGGCAGGACTCTAATCTGACTACGGTTCATAAGACCCTCATTCTGGAGAGGGTCCTGTCCCACACCCTGGAGGAAGCAGTGCTGTGCAGACAGGCCAAGAAGAATCTGAACAGGCAGGCCCTGCTAGGTTTCCCCAGTCACTGTATTAAGTATTAGATCACACTCTTTTTGTCCAATCACACTTCGACACGGTTGTCCATGCTTTAGTCATACCCATCCAATGAAGTTTCCATAAAAGGCCCAAGAGGACTGGGTTTGGTGAGCTTCCAGAGAGCAGAGCACATGAAGGTTCTGTGCCCACGGAGGGCACAGGAGCTCTGCACCTCTTCCCCCATACCTTGCCCTACGCATCCCTTCATTTGTATCCTCAGTAGTAGCCTTTATAATAAACCAGTAAACGTGTTTCTGGAGTTCTGGGAGCTGCTCTGACAAATTAACTGAACCCAAAGAGGGGGTTCGTGGGAATCCCAACTTGAAGCTAGTCAGTCAGAAGTTCCAGAGGCCCAGACTTGTGACTGGTGTCTGAAGTGAAGGGTGCTCTTGGGGACTGAGCCCTCACCCTGTGGGATCTGACACTATCTCCAAGCAGATAGAGTAGGAATTGAATTGGAGGACACCCAACTGGTGTCCACTGCGGAATCAATTGCTTGCTTGCTGGTGGGGAGAACTCCCCGCATATTTGGGGTAAGAGAAGTCTTCTGTGTTGATTGTTATGTTGTTGAGTGAGGACACAGTTGTTTTTTTTTTTCCAGATATAGAACTGTGTTAGTCCTCTTGTGACTGGCTTATTTCATTCAACTTAATGTCTTCAAGGTTCATCCATGTTGAGGATCTGACATCCATGTTGTGTAGCACGTGTCAGAATTTCATTCCTCTCGAGGCTGAGTACTAACGCGCTGCACGCACAGATCTCACTTTGTTATCCGCACACCCACTGAGACACACAGGGATTGCGTCCACCTTTTGGCTGCTGTGAATAATGCTGCTATGAACATCGGTACACAAACACCTGTTCAAGTATAGCTATATTTTTTAATAATCACTTTTTCCATTGCACGAATTTTCTTTTTTTTGGACAGGGTCTCACTCTGTCACCCAGGCTGGAGTGCAGTGGCTCAATCATAGCTCACTGCAACCTCGAACTCCTGTGCTCAACTGATCCTCCTGTCTCAGCCTCCCAAGTGGCTGGGACTACAGGTGTGCACTACCACACCCAGCTAATTTTTAAATTTACTGTAGAGATGATGTCTCCCTACATTGCCCAGGCTGGTCTCGAACTCCTGGACTAAAGTGCTAGGACTACAGGCATGAGCCACCATGCCCGGCCCCCCTAATTTTCATTTAGATTATTCTTAAATTTTTGCTAACTGTATGATTTTAAACTGTTCGACAGAAGGCAATTATTTCAAGATTGAAATAAATCCCTGGTTTTTATTAAATTAGTTAATTAAGAGCAAAACAGCTCTGCTGCTTTCAATGATGAAGACTGCTTTGGTAAAAACAGAAATAGAAGACTCTAAGGGAATGCAAATATTAAACCACACAGCTTGCCCTGTTTTAAATCCACCGTGTATAATTGAAGAAGCTCTCTAGACAACATGGGCCCTCCAGGCTGCTGTAATGAAATTGAGCAGAAAAATTACAAGGAACTTCTCGGTTCAATGACATCACCCTGAAGGTTTCTGTTTCACAGCAGCCAGATGAAATCTCCTCTTTCTCAGAGTGTCTATCATTAGTTATGTTCTCTGACATTTATTTTCTACCTTTATAAAAAATTATGCAGCCAGGCATGGTGGCTCTCGCCCGTAATCCCAGCACTTTGGGAGGCCGAGGCAGGAGGATTGCTTGAGCCTAGGAGTTCCAGACCAGCCTGGGCAATGTGGCAAACCCCGTCACTACAAAAAATATAAAAATTAGCCAGGTGTGGTGGTGTGCATGTGTGGTCTCAGCTATTTGGGAAGATCATTTGAGCCTGGGGAGGTCGAGGCTATGGTGAGCTGTGATTGTGCCACTGCACTGCAGCCTGGGTGACAGTGAGATCCTGTCTTAAAAAAAAAAAAGTTTTAAAAAAAATTATGCAAATTTTGGCCGGGCACGGTGGCTCACGCCTGTAATCCCAGGACTTCGGGAGGCCAAGGCAAGTGGAGTTCAAGACCAGTCTGGCCAACATAGCAAAATCCCGTCTCTACTAAAAGAAAAAAAAAAATACAAAAATTAGCCGGGCTTGGTGGTGCGCACCTGTAATCCCAGCTACTCAGGAAGCTGAGACACAAGAATCACTTGAACCCCAGGGGCGGGGTTGCAGTGGGCTGAGATTGCACCACTGTACTCCAGCCTGGGCGACAAAGTGAGACTTCATCTCGAAAAAACTAAACAAAACAAAACAAAACCAAAAGTTAGCCAGGAGTGATAGCATGCACCTGTACTCCCAGCTACCCAGGAGGCTGAGGCACAAGAATCACTTGAGCCCAGGAGGTGGAGGTTGCAATGAGCTGAGATCGCACCACTGCACTCCAGCCTGGGTGACAGAGTGAAACTGTGTCTCAAAAAAAAAAAAAAAAAAAAGTTACACAAATTTTAATTTGCCCTTGACAAAGACTCTCTCCTTGAGCTGATTCTAGCTAGGCTCCTCTGAGCCCTCTGCTTGACAAATGATTCTGTCCACCCCCACAGCCCCAAACAACACTAGCATGGATCCCTAGGATGGGGACACCAGTCCTCTTCAAACACTTGTCCGAGAAAGCTCAAGGTTGCCAAATAATTTACTGTTTGTTCCTGCGAGACCCCTGACCTCCCTTTCTTAGAGCATTTTCTTTTAAGTTTACAATGATAAATACTTTCTCTGTCCCTTTGAGATGTGTATGTGTCTCCCACAACCTAGGAATGTGTTTCTCAAGGACCTGGGAGCCATCCCTTTGAAACAGAATCATCAAGAAAGACAGAGTCTCGATCTCCCAGCCTCTGTGGGAGGGTAGGAGCCTCATTTGGATAAGCCCCAGTTAGCAAACCCAGATGGCCTAATCACATCTATGGACTGAGCAGCCTCCCCACCTGCTCTTTTGTAATTTTCTACTTCTCCAACTCTCCTTAAACTTCCTGCTCCTTCCCCCTCCCTCCTCCCTCATCCTTTCCCAGTCATCTCCACACAAATCTAAACTGAACCCAACACTTTCCCTTACCGCAGTGGTTATTGAATCACATCTGTCTTTACCATCTTTCACTAGAGTCTGGTTTTGTTTATCTTTGGCATCTTTATGGCTGCGAGCTCCTTGAGGCAGGTGCCATTTCCTCTTTCTAAAGATTTTATTCCACTTGGTGCCCAGAAGGCGCTAACCCATGTACCAGGCAGTGTCCTCAGCAGCAGGGTACAAGGAATGAGAGCCCCTGACCTCAGGCAGTTCCCAACTTAAAAAAGAAGCACCAGATCTTCATAGGTCTCCCCCAAAGCACAGCAAACAGCACCTCCACTTCACTACCCCAAGCATTCCCACTAGCTCTTGTTACCTATCCTTCCCTCCCAAACACGATTTATAAGGAAGTAGAGTTATGACAAATGCCACCCACTAATCTGCAGAAGCCCAGAGGCTTCCCCAGGCTCCTCACCTCATCACCCCCTTTGACTTGGGGTGGCCTCTTCACCACCTCCTTCACCAGGTGCAGCAGCGTGTCAGTCTGCAGGGTGCTGAGTGCACACACCAAGTCGACAAGGGTTAGCTGGGATGCACTTGCCGTTGGGATAATCTGCCAAGAAAAAAAAAAGTTCCTTGAAAGCTTATAGAGAGAAAGTAAAAATAAGGATGACACATCCTTATTGTATTCTACAGTAGTCGTCCCTGGAGAAATCAATCTGTTTTCATCTCTTTTTTTTTTTTTTTGAAACACGGTCTCACTCTGTCACCCAGGCTGGAGTGCAGTGGTGCGATCTTGGCCACCACCACGCCCAGCTAAGTTTTGTATTTTTAGTAGAGATGAGGTTTCGCCATGTTGGCTAGGCTGGTCTCAAACTCCCGACCTCAGGTGATCTGCCCGCCTCGGTCTTCCAAAGTGCTGGGATTACAGGCATGAGCCGCCACCGCGCCCGGCCTGTTTTAATCTCTTAAACAAACATTTCCTATTGAACTAGGTAAAGGCTCCACCCAGGGGAACAACATAATTTGATACAAATTAGGAATAAAAGGTGCAGGCCATGATGGGGCTGTAATAGTGGTATGTTTGAATTTAGTAGAAAGCATTTTAGAAACAAATATACTAAATTTGAAGGAAACAAGAGATGGAATCAAAAATACGAAGACAGGAAGTAAAAACAGATAAACCAGGCTCCCATTTGCTAGCCTTGGAAGGAAAGCCCTGGTATGGGAGGCATATTTTTGATGACAGAAGTCTGCATACCCTGGTCATGGGCATTTGGAAGAAAAACAACTAGCACCAGGTTCCTCACCAGGGAAGGAGCCGACAGGCGCTCAGGAGGGTGGCCTTGGACACTGACCACTGACTCTTCCTCAGAGAACAGGCGCCCATGTCTGCCACAAAGGCTGAGCACTGGGGGAGTGTCAAGGAGGTGCAGCAGCAGATCCCGAGCAGGGGATGGAGCAGGGGTGGGAGGGAACAAAGGAAGAGGATTGAGGTTGAAAAAGGTAAGCCGACCCCTGCAGGACTTCATCATGGACCAGTCAAGTGGATAAAGAACGGGCAAAATACAAACTGATATTATCTTTGGGCTCACGCCTGTAATCCCAGCACCTTGGGAGGCCGAGGCAGGCGGATCACGAGGTCAGGAGTTTGAGACCAGCCTGGCCAACATGGTGAAACCGTCTTTACTAAAATTACAAAAATTAGCTGAGTGTGGTGGCATGCACCTGTAATCCCAGCTGCTCAGGAGGCTGAGGCAGGAGAATTGCTTAAACTCAGGAGGCAGAGGTTGCAGTGAGCTGAGATCGCTCTGTCTCAATAGAAAAAAAAAAAAAGAAATTATCTTTGGGCATAGAAATATGATTGGTGATTTCAATTTTCTTTATTATCATGGACAAATGTAATTTCCTTTTTTTTTTTTTTTTTTACATGAAGTGTCACTCTGTTGTCTAGGCTAGAGTGCAGTGGCACAATCGTAGCTCACTGCAGCTTCATATTCCTGGCTTCAAGTGATCCTTCCATCTCAGCCTCCCAAGTAACTAGGACTATAGGCGCATACCACCATGCCCAGCTAACAAGTGTGATTTCTACACATTAAAAAAGCAATAAGATGGTACTACAAATAAAAAAAGGCCCACAGTGCTAGGATAAGTGACCATTTCTTAAGCCAAATGGGTGGCATGTTCTTAGGTAAAGTTTTTTTTTTTTAGATAGGGACTTGCTTTGTCGCCCAGGCTGGAATGCAGTGGCACAATCATGGCTCACTGCACCCTCCACCTCCCAGGCTCAAGTGATCCTCCCACCTTAGCCTCTTGAGTAGCTGGGACTATAGGTGCACAACACCACGCCCGGCTAATTTTTTGCCATATTGCCCAGGCTGGTCTCAAACTCCTAGACTCAAGCGATCTGCCCGTCTTGGCCTCCCAAAGTGTTGAGATTATAGGTGTGAGCCACTGTGCCATTTTTATTCTTTAAAAATGTTCATGTTATATATACTCTTATATGTATTTTAGATTTAAAAAGATTAAACACAAGTACTATATACTCATTACAGAAAAATTAGAAAACAGAAGTCAGGTGCGCTCTTCCCTACCTGCCCAATACACATTCTACTTGTACTGAGACACAGCTATATTATCTCATGCATTTCAAATGATGAAATCGGCAAGGTGTGGTGGCTCACGCCTGTAATCCCAGCACTTTAGGAGGCCGAGGTGGGTGGGTCACCTGAGGTCAGGAGTTCAAGACCAGCCTGGCCAACATGGCGAAACCCTGTCTCTACTAAAAAATACAAAAATTAGCCGGGTGTGGTGGCGGGCACCTATAATTCCAGTTACATGGGAGGCTGAGGCAGGAGAATGACTTGAACCCAGGAGGTGGAGGGTGCAGTGAGCCAAGATCGCACCACTGCACTCCAGCCTGGGTGAAAAGAGAGAGACTCCATCTCAAATAGATAAAGAAATAAAATAAGATAAAATGATTAAATCAACTCAATAGTTTCCCATGCTGGCTTCCAATGTCACCTTTGATTCCACATGATTCTGTGGTATTTCTTTGTCACAGTAAGTTTAACCACTCCTGTAACTTTTTAAACTTTACCTTCATCTTACTGTGACGCTGGGCTTTCTTTCTGCTCCACACTGCCGCAACAGCCGCTGTCAACTGAACCCCAAGATGGGCCGTCAAGGGGTTTAAGAAGTCTAAAATTTTTTGTCTTATGGTCTAGAAAATAGGGAAAAAAAAGTTACTGCAGAGTAATATTGGGGCTATGGCATCATATACATTGAACCACCACTGCTGTCCATACCGAGAGCAAGGACCCTGTCATGTTTGTGCCCAATGTTGTGCTGAGGTGCTTCCCTGATGGGTGGATCCCAGCAATGGGAGGAATCAAACCCTTTCCGCAAGGAGCTAGATGTGTGATGTTGGCGTGTCATGCCGGCGGGGGGAAGGGGCAGTGAGCAGCCAAGGTGGAGAGACGGATGGCCAGCTCGATTGGCCAGGAGCATCTCGGGAGACGATGAATATCACCCTTGCTGCTGTGAGCACAGTGGGGGTCTTGCAGGAAGCCGGGCAAGGCTTTGCAGCACTGCTTCCATCTGGAAACCCCACAGCCTCAGCCTGACTCCATCTGCTGCGGAAGGGCTTATATTCATTAGGAAAGTTGTTGCTCAATTTCCAGAAATAAGCACCATTTAACTAATTTTATCAGGTAATCAATTTAAACCTGTAACATGGTCCTGATGTCACTCAGCACCCTCTGTTTTGCTACTTATGAATTTCTCTGTGTTCCCGCCACGTTTCTCGCTCTGTAAATCCTACCGCTCTCTCAGCCTGCAGTGCCCACCGTAGTTAAATCCTCTCCGCCTGGGGCCTCAGCTAAGCCATGCCGCCTCAGGAACCCCAGGTCAGGCCAGGCCTCCTGTTCACACACTCTCAGGAAACCCTGTGTTTCTTTGAAGCCCTGCTCACATCGTTATTACACTGCCAGTTAATGTCTGCCTCTGCCACAGGGGCAGGGACTTCATCTCTCTTGTCCACCGGTAAAGCAAGAGAGCCTGGTGCGTGGCAGCAGGCACAAAATGTCTGTCGAAGAGACGGATTTACCCAGCGCTTCCTGTGACAACCGCCCATGTTTATTTCACATTAGATACAACTGAGCCAGCAATGGAGCTGTCCCCTCTTTTCCACCATGGCTTCTGCTCTAGAGGGACTAATGTGGGGTCCCGCTCCCCGGCCCTGGGTTCCTCAGGGAGGGCTAGGAGTTAAGTGCCTAATGAGCATCGGCCTTTATCGTAATTACTCTTTCCCTCAACCCATGAGGACAGGATGCTAGCCACAGCCTGGTTTAACAGACGAGGAAATGGAGGCTCAGAGAGGCTGAGTGCTACAGGAAGCTCCCCTAAAAAAGGTTTAGAAAATCTTTTTTTCTGAGTGAGAAAAAAGGTTTTCTGAATCTTTTTAAGAGCAGGTTCTTATAGGAGCTTGAAATACAGAATTCCCTTGGCACCCTAGGAACCGACAGAATGTCTGGAGGCCAACAACGCACCGTGGTACCTAAATGCAGGATGGCAAGGCTCATCCCTGCGGCCACATCTGGCACCTGGGGGCTCTCAACTGATGTCAGATGTGGCAGATAATTCTGAGATGCCACACACAGTAACACAGATGGTGAGCGACCGAGTCCTGCGCCTACAGCCTTCTGAGGCAGACACTGAAAACCAAAGACTAAACTATAATATAAATATTCACAGTTGTGCGTTTTTGGTTTAAGAACTCAAAGGCACCCTGACATTCCACTCTGATGGGGCCATGTTTGACAGGCACCGCTAAAAGCAGAACAGAGATGAGCTGTCTCGCAGAAATGCTTTAGAGACTCAAGGCTGGGGTCTCTAGATCATTTAGAGGTGAGGATCTAGGTATCCCCGCTTTGAACCACTAGAGACTATTGTTTTTGAGACAGGGTCTCACTCTGTCACCCAGGCTTGAGTGCACTGGCGTGATCTCAGCTCACTTCAACCTCCACCTCCCAGGCTCAAGCAATCCTCTTGCCTCGGCCTCCTGAGTAGCTCGGACTACAGGTGCCTGCCACCATACCCAGCTAATTTTTGTATTTTTTGTAGAGATGGGGTTTCGCCATGTTGGCCAGGCTGGTCTTGAACTCCTGAGCTCAAGCAATCCACCCCATCTTGGCCTCCCAAAGTGCTGGGATTACAAGCATGAGCCACCGCGCCTAGCTCTAGAGACTTTATTTATTTTAATTATTTTTATTTTTTTTTGAGATGGGGTTTTGCTCTGTTGCCCAGGCTGGGGTGCAGTGGTGCAATCTTGGCTCACTGCAACCTCCGCCTCCCAGGTTCCAGCGATTTTCCTGCCTCGGCCTCCTGAGTAGCTGGGATTACAGACACGTGCTACCACACCTGGCTAATTTTTGTATTTTTAGTAGAGATGGGGTTTCACCATGTTGGCCAGGCTGTTCTTGAACTCCTGACCTCAGGAGATCCATCCGCCTTGGCCTCCCAAAGTGCTGGGATTACAGGTGTGAGCTACCATGCCCGGCCAAGACTTTATTTTTAACTACAAAATAAGGTGAATGGAAAATAAGAAGAAAACAGGCTGAAACCACTCAGACTCCTCCATTTCAGGTATAGGAAACTTACTGATAACAAATGAACTAGAGATTTCTACTTCTGATCTCTGACTTGGGTTTCATTGAGCACATCTGTTTATCATGCACACTTTCCTATACACATTTATTTTGGGTGGAACAATACAAGACCAAGTAAATGACAGAACTACAGAGACATCCTCTTACTTTGGTGGTTTTAAAGTAAACGGAAGAGGATCCCTTCGTGGCCCCTAGGAGATCGACAGGTCTCTTTTGAGTCTCCTCCTTTCTGAGAACATTCCAGAGAAGGGCCATGGTGTTAACAGTTCGAGGCAGCTCTTCCAAAATGGCATTTCTGGCATTCCTCAAGTTGGCAGGATCACCTGCAGCCATGGTCTAAAAATTAAAATGAATACATGAGGCAGGCTGTGTCTGTGGAATGGTTTTTCTTCCCACGAGGGCAGCAGTGCTAGCGGGATTAGGTCTGGGCTGTTGGACTCTCTTCTAAGCAACTCATACATGTGGTGGTCTGGGAGCAATAAGCTTCTCTGTGCATTTCAACCCATGGTTCTCTTTCACAGAGACAGCTGTGAGTCTGATGTTCTAAATTACAAACTTTTCAACCATTCAACCAAAGTGTTAGATGTATTCTAAGACTTAATCCCAGGGTATTCTACAGGGTAGAATAACCAACAGCTAAAATGTCTGCCTACTCAGATTTCATGAACACCATGATAGCAAGTAAAAAATACATGGAAAAAGATGACTATAAGCCTAAAATCAAACAAGTGGCTTTATAAGTTATCTCACAGGCTACTGATGGAACAATGGGCAAAGGGCTGGCACAGGGAGTGCCAGCAGGAAGAAAACTATGTTTGCATGGCTGACATACATACTTATGCATTTGCGTTAATTATATACATGCATTTGCATATGCATTTGCGTAGGCACTTGCATTGCTAACACACATGCATTTGCATACGTGTGTACGTGACTTATGTAATATTTGCATTCACATTTGCATCACCTCCATACGCATATTAGTTACAGACATTACATACATACGTTACTTATTTGAAACAGTCATAGCCCAAAGACAAAACAATACATGAAAATTGCCTTGAACTCAGGAAAAAAAAAAATTTACCTTTTTGTTTTGGTTGGCTTGTTCCAAAAGACAAAAATGACTAATGGTCGTTAGACCTTCTAGAAGGGTGAGTGGATAATCTGGAGAAATGTTTTCCCTCTTGGAGGTTGTGCTGTGGTGAAGAAAAGAGAAACTGGTTTGAGAATTTTTAAAGAATGAGGCCATAAGGGTTTCTAATCCTATATATAAACACAGGAACTAGGGAGAGATCACCATCCCAAATAAACTGGAGCTCTCGTCATAGAATATCATTATAATAATGTTAACCATCCTTTGTGTGATTTTACATTCATATAGTCACTTTGGAAAAATGGTTTCAATGTTTTAGAATTTCTGTGAAGATGATTCACATTTTTATTTCTGTTTTGCAAAAATAGTAGAGAGTAGCTGACATGCCCTGCAACACTGAGCTAGACTGGGTACCTGTGCGGATTTGAAATAAAGGATCAGGGCTGGGCGCAGTGGCTCCCTCTAGCACCCCAGCACTTTGGGAGGCCGAGGCAGGGGGATTGCCTGAGCTCAGGAGTTCAAGACCAGCATGGGCAACACGGTGAAACCCCGTGTCTACTAAAATACAAAAAATTAGCCAGATGTGGCGGTAGGCACCTGTAATCCCAGCTACTCGGGAGGCTGAGACAGGAGAATTGTTTGAACCTGGGAGGCAGAGGTTGCAGTGAGCTGAGGTCATGCCACTGCACTCCAGCCTGGGTGACAGAGACTCTGTCTCAAAAATAACATAACATAACATAACATAACATAACATAACATAACATAACATAACATAATGGATCAGAACATTTAGTTGCTTGTTACCCCTCTTGATAATGCTAAACAGGCTTCTCATTGGGATGAAATTATCCTCCAACCGACATCCACATCCGTGGCAAAACAGTCATTCGTTATAAAAACCATCACTAAAGCAATAAAGATGTCACAAGGAGCGTAACGCACCTGACAGAGAGCTTCACAGATTCGCTTTCATACTGCTTGACCAAGTCATCCAAGTTTTTGCAAATCTGGACAACAAAGGGTGTCACCGTCCAGCCCAGGGACTTTCCGAAGTAGGGCAAGGAATGCGTGACCAAGCTCACCCAGGCCGGATGCATGCCGTAACCGTAGGCGGGCTGCAGACCCCTCACCACCGCAGAGACCAGAAGACCCTGGGAGGTGAGGGGGTGGGGCTGCACGTACTGCAGGGCGCTGATGGCCTGCTGGAAGTTCAGGGCTCTCTGCCACTCCCGGGACAGGTCGGGCTGGTTTTCCGCCTCCTCATGGGCCCGACCCAGGTGGTGTTCCAAGACAATCAGCACCTGCAGCAGCTTCAGCAGCTCAATCTGCAGCGGGTGCTCACTCCAGATCTGGTCCTGACCCAAGTTAATGAGACTCTCCTCAAAGAGGCTGTCCTCTGGCAGGGCCCTGCCGTGGTGGGCGGTGGCCAGCCCGTAGCGCTTCTGGCTCGTGTACATGGACGCCGACAGGGAGAGCAGGACAAACTCCTGAACTTTGCACCTCTGCAGCAAGCTGTGGATGAACTCCACGTTCTTCCCTTCCGAAGACTTGGCCACTGAGACCAGCTGCATCATTATCCTGATCAAAACCTCGACACTTTTGACCTGCACGTCCCGGTTGCCGAGAATGTCTCGGTGCGAGACCTTCAAATAGCAAGGGTAGTAGGAGCGCAGGAAGCTCAGGCAGAGGTAGGTGAGCAGCTCCAGGAGCAGAGAGTGGGGGCACACGTTGGGGACCTGGGTCTGGAGCTTTCCGTAGAAACTCTGGCCAATGAGGGCCTCCTGGTGGCGAGCGAGGAGGTTGGAGATGAGGTTGAGGTGCGCGGTGGAGCTGGTATCCATGCTAGTCCTGGACACAGCCTCGATGAATTCCTTAGGGTTGGTTTTGAGCACAGCCTCCAGCACCGAGAAGGCATAGAGGACCCGCCGAGAGTCGTAGGGCTGCAGGTAGAGCAGGATGTGCTTGAACAAGGCCTCGACGGCCTCCTGCCTTTCCCGCTGCTGCTTTAGCAGCCTGGATGTGGTGAGGGCCTGGAGCTCCAAGTCCGCCTCCTCGTCGCTGGAGAACGACTCAGAAGCCTGCGTCTTGTCCGAGTCCACCCGCACCAGGCTTAACTTGGCCCCAGCCTTGAAGCTTTCTGACTGGAAGGCCGCCAGCAGGGCCGAGCGCTTGGGGTACGCCCTGCCCCCCATGGGGATGGGTGCACAGCAGTTCTCTTCGTTGCTCAGCTCCTGCAGGTCGTGGGAAGGGGAGGAGAAGGAGGACGTGTTCTCGCTGTCCGTGTGGCAGGAGCTTGTATCTGCAGACTCGGTGTGCTCGCTGCTGTCCGGGGCGCCGTGGGCCGTCCTGTCTGGAAGCTCCACGTAGTAGGGCAGCTCTTCCTCGCTCAGCTCGCCTCGCAGCGGGTACTTCTCGGGCTCCTTCTCCACTTCGGCCCAAATGGCTTCACGGTCCACTGTGGTGAACTGGCTCAGAGGCAGGTGCTCTTCAGAGCCGCTCTCCTGAGGCTCGGGCACTGCGCATGCCTCTCTGAAAGAGGTTTTCTTCCTGTTAAACCAACGGTGCAAGTCATCTGAAAATTACAAGATGACAAATGACTTTAGACAGAAGGGTCAGCTATGATACATTAGCTGTAGGGCGGTCTTTGTCTTAAAGCCAGACAGAAAGATCAATATTCCTAAAATTCTCACATGAAACACCACCACCAGAGTCCGGTTTACATTACAGACAAAAGTAGACAAAGGAAGGTGGATAGGTTTTACAGAATGTTCAAGGATGGGATCATTTAGTTACATTGTTATAGTAAACTTAAGTATTTTAATTTTTTGGAGGGGAGCAATTTTTAAAAATACGTATTATTTTTTCCTAGGAATTCTCTTTCAAGAAATGTCTCCTGGCCGGGTGCAGTGGCTCACACCTGTAATCCCAGCAATTGGGAGGCCAAGGCAGGTAGATCACCGGAGGTCAGGAGTTCGAGATCAGCCTCGCCAAAATGGTGAAACCCTGTCTCTACTAAAAATACAAAAAGTTAGCTGGGCGTGGTGGCAGGTGCTTGTAATTCCAGCTACTCGGGAGGCTGAGGCAGGAGAATCATTTGAACCCAGGAGGCAGAGGTTGCAGTGAGCTGAAATTGTGCCACTGAACTCCAGCCTGGGCAACAAGAGCGAAACTCCGTCTTAAAAAACAAAAAAACAGAAATGTATCCTGCAGAAATGTCAGCAGAAGACTTTCAAAGCCATAAGGATGTGGATATTCACCGAAATGTCACATGTGTATAAAGACAAACTGGAGGCTGGGTGTGGTGGCATGGTGGCTCATGCCTGTAATCCCAGCACTTTGGGAGGCCTAGGAGGACAGATCACCTGAGGTCAGGAGTTTGAGACCAGCCTGGCCAACATGGAGAAACTCCATCTACTAAAAATACAAAAATTAGCTGGACGTGGTGGTGCGTGCCCATAGTCCCAGCGTGGGAGACTGAGACAGGAGAATCACTTGAACCTGAAAGATGGAAGTTGCAGTGAGCTGAAATCATGCCACTACACTCCAGACTAGGCAACAGAGTGAGACTCTGTCTCAAAAAAAAAAAAAAAAAAAAAAAAAGGAAAGGAAAAATCAGGCCAGGTACAGTGAATTATGCCTGTAATCCCAATACTGTGGGAGACCAAGGTAGGAGGATTGTTTGGGAGGCCAAGGCCAAGGTAGGAGGATTGCTTGATCCCAAGAGTTCCAAACCAGCCTGGGCAACATGGAAAAACTCCATCTCTAGAAAAAATTTAAAAGCTATCTAGGTATGGTGACACACACTTGTAGTCCTAGCTACTCGGGAGGCTGAGGCAGGAGGGTCTCTTGAGCCCAGGAGTTCGAGACTGCAGTGAGCTATGATGGTGTCACTGCACTCCAGCTTGGGCAACAGAGTGAGACCCCTGTCTCTAAAAAGAAAGGAAAAAAAAAATCAAGCAGCAGAAGAGTATTATGTAGAATGAGCCCAGTTAGGAGAGAGTATGTATAATACACAGCCACTAGGAAAGTCTGGGAGACTACCTGCAAGCCATTAACAATCCCTAGTTCTATCAACTAGCATTACAAAGGACTTCCACTTAGGTTTTTATGTCCTCATTATTTCCATTTTAAAACTAACCATGTTAGTACTTCTATAATCAGAAAACGTATGACACTTTAAAATATTGAAGTCTTTTTTAGGAGAAGTCAAATAGGCCACTGACCACTGCCTATTTAAAAAAAAAAAAAAAAGAAGAAAAGGAAAAAAAAATTAGTGAGTCAAAAGTCTTTGATATTGCCAAACATTTTAAATAAGCAGTGTTCAATAAATCTATGCCATGAGCCGGGCATGGTAGCTCATACCTGTAATTCTAGCACTTTGGGAGGCTGAGGTGGGCGGATCACTTGGGGCCAGGAGTTCAAGACCAGTCTGGCCAACATGGCGAAACCCCATCTCTACTAAAAATACAAAAATTAGCTGGGCGTGGCGGCGCGTGCCTGTAATGCCAGCTACTCAGGAGTCTGAGGCAGGCGAATGGCTTGAACCTGGAAGGCAGAGGTTGCAATGAACCAAGATTGCGCCACTGCACTCCAGCCTGGGCCACAGAGTGAGACTCCATCTCAAAAAAAAAAAAAAAAGAAAAGAAGAAATCTGTCATTCTCATAAGGTTTTTAGGATGATCAAACAAGATAAAGGCACACAAAAGAGCTTTAAAAAAACTCTATGCCATGGACATTAAGCAAGATCAAGAAATGAAGAAGAATCAGACATCAGAAATTGATGAGCTGCTTGAAGTGCATAGCAGTATTTTAAAAATAGATTTCTACAGGATTACAGAAATAGGGTGGGGTAAGCAGGACACTTATCATTTTTTTCAGAGAAAGAAAATGGCAGAGCAAAGATGTTCTCTCCTATTCGGAGGTAGCAGACCATTTCTGTGGTCAGCAGGAAACACAGATTAGAGGAAGCAGCAAGGTAGTGCTGGGGAACTTTTAAAGCCCAAGGAAGGCCAGGCGTAGTAGCTCATGCCTGTAATCCCAGCATTTTGGAAGGTTGAGGCGGGTGGAACACTTGAGCTCAGGAGTTCAAGACCAGTCTAGCCAACATGGCGAAACACCCATCTCTACTAAAAATACCAAAACTAAGGCTGGGCATGGTGGCTCACACCTGTAATCCCAGCGCTTTGGGAGGTAGAGGCGCATGGATCACTTGAGGTCAGGAGTTAGAGACCTAACCTGGCTAACATGGTGAAACCCCGTCTCCACTAAAAATACAAAAAATTAGTTGGCTGTGGTGGCCAGCGCCTGTAATCCCAGCTACTTGGGAGGCTGAGGCAGGAGAATTGCTTGAACCTGGGAGGCAAAGACTGCAGTGACTTGGGATCACACCACTGTACTCCAGCCTGGGCAACAGAGTGAGACTCTTCTTCAATAATAATAATAATAATAATAATAATAATAATAATAATGCCCAAGGAACTGTGGAGATAGAGCTTTCCTCTTAAAACAGAAAGAAAAAGAAATACTAAAAAATGTAGCTGCCATGAATAGTAGCCAAACTTTTAAGAAGGTTCTTTGTTTACACTTCTTTCAGTTTTACTTTCTTACAATGTGGAACAATAAAATGTTTCCTATTTGATAGGGCAGCCAGCTTTTCCCCTAAAGGAAAACCAGAGGTTAGAGGTTTAGGCCAGGAGCCTTATAAAGACAGGAAACCATTTCACACACCTCTGCTTACTTAGCTAATGGGTTGCTTTTCTCTGTAAGATAAGATTGAGATAGCCAGGCGTGGTGGCTCATGCCTGTAATCCCAGCAATTTAGGAGGCTGAGGCGGGAGGATCATTTGGGGTCAGGAGTTCGAGACCAGCCTGACCAACATGGTGAAACCCTGTCTCTACTAAAAATACAAAAAAAAAAAAAAAAAAAGAAAGAAAGAAAAAAAAATTAGCCAGGCATGGTGGTGCATGCCTGTAATCCCAGCTACTCAGGAGGCTGAGGCAGGAGAATCACTTGAACCCGGGAGGCGGAGGTTGCAGTGAGCCGAGATTGCACCACTGCACTCCAGCTTGGGTGACAGAGCGAGACTCTGTCTCAAAAAAAAAAAAAAAAAAAAAAAGATTAAGATAAATACAGGATAAGAAAAAACAAGAACTGGCTAAATACAGACATTTGTCCTTTTTTTCCTTCACCCTTGATCTGGAGAGGGGGGTGTCTGGAGCTTATTCCTTTGGTTTCAACTTCTCGAACAGCGTTAGCTTATAACTGTCTTTGAAGTGAGCTTGCTAGGCAGAGGAAAACTTGTTCTTCTTTTCTTTCTTTTTTTTTTGAGATGGAGTCTCACTCTTTTGCCCAGGCTGGAGTGCAGTGGTGTGATCTTGGCTCACTGCAACCTCTGCCTCCTGGGTTCATGCCATTCTCCTGCCTCAGCCTCCCGAGTAGCTGGGATTACAGGCCCCTGCCACCATGCCTGGCTTATTTTTTGTATTTTTAGTAGAGATGGGGTTTCACCGTGTTAGCCAGGATGGTCTCGATCTCTTGACCTCACGATCTGCCTGCCTCAGCCTCCCAAAGTGCTGGGATTACAGGGGTGAGCCACCGTCCAGCCCTTCTTTACTTTTTAACCCTTGTCTTGCCACATTCTGGGCCTTGGTTTTTACTTCTTAGACTAGGTCACTACAACCTTCTTATAGCCTTGTCTGTTACTTTTCTTGGAATGAATGAATGCAGTACTTCTTCTTATTATTATTTTTAAATTTCTGCCTCAAGCTAAACAAACTCACTCAAAGTTTGCAAACCATCCCTTAGAAAATTGTGAAGTCATTAAATACAGCTATTGTAGGAAGTAATGTTAGTTCATAAAATGCATTAGATATTAATCACTGAAGTTTAATTGACTCATCAGGCTTATTTAGTTTTTCTTTTCTTTCCTAATTTCTACCTATATTCTTTTATGTTTGTGTTAAAGATGCCTCTGGAAGTTCTCTGAACTGAAAGGTTTATTTCTTCTTCATTTCTGATAATCTGATTAACAAGATTTTATAGTCTAAAAGAATCTTAGAGCACAGATAGAAAATAAACCACTTACCTTGTAGTTGAAGGTTCACAAATAAGTTATTTTATTTATTTATTTATGTATTTATGAATGACAGTCTCTCTCTGTCACCCAGGCTGGAGTGCAGTGGCACCATCTCAGCTCACTGCAATCTCTACCTCCCGGGTTCAAGAGATTCTCCTGCCTCAGCCTCCTGAGTAGCTGGGATTACAGGCATGTACCACCACGCCCGGCTAATTTTTGTATTTTTAGTAGAGACGGGGTTTCACCATATTGGCCAGGCTGGTCTTGAACTCCTGACCTCAGGTGATCCACCTGCCTCAGCCTCCCAAAATGCTAGGATTACAGTTGTGAGCCACCGTGCCTGGCCAACTTTCCTTTTTTAATAACAAAACAATCTGGTTTTTCAGTGAAAACAGCAAACCCACTCCCTAATAGTTCTAAATGCTAGATCACTAGGTCCTTAAATTGCCGAAGTCCTCACAATTTACAAAGTACCATTTGCATCTAACAAAACCCCCTAGTGGGCCTCAGTCTCTCAGCTATCACTGCTGAGGTCCAGTCCCCCCACCCATTCCTCCCTCACCCTCGGGTCCTGTGCAGGCTGCTCACCGGCCGAGTTCTCCTGCTTGAGGCAGTGGATGGAGGTTCTCTGGGTTTTTGGCTGCAGCAGCAGCAGGAGCACGGGTTCGAGGATGCGAGCCACGTCCCCGAGGGAGAGCGCACGCACCAGCCAGCCCTGGGCTGCCGCACCGATGGCACCATCCGTGCAGGCCAGGCTGTCCAGCACGACAAACAAGGACCTGCAGTGGGAAACACACCAGTGAGTTCACTCGCAGCCACCCCTGTGCGCCAGGCACCGTGGCAGACACTGGGCATAGGGCGTCACCCAACACAGGTACCCTAGGACCTCCACCCAAGCTGGACTTCCAGACCCAAGTAGATGAGCACAATGGGGACTCAACTTTGGTTTCGCGTTGGAATCACCAGTGGGAGCATTTAAAATCCCAATGCTCAGGCCTCACCCCAAATGGGTTATATATCTGAGTCTGGGCCTGGGCCTCAGGCATCAGAATCAGCTGGTGTCTCTAAGGCCGAGTGCCTGGCCTCACACCTAGAGTTTCAGAGGCACTCGGGAAAAACAATGTGGAATACAATGGGCTGCAATCAAGTTCACCTCTTAAGCATGAGACAGTGATGGGACAAGCACACACACCAAGTATGGTCACTGCTCCAGGGGAGGTCTAGGCCATCTGACCTCCCTGCAAAGTCCCCTCATAGGGGCATGCCGTAAAAGCTGCACAGGTGATCCCGGGGCATGCCAGGATTCCTCACATCCCAACCAAATTAAGAAAATTCCTAACATGTGTTCACATGTGTCTGGCCTAAATTCACTTAGGGGTTTATGGGAACCACTGGCTGTGCTCGGAGGGGTCATGTGCAGGGGTCAGCTTTTCTTTGTTTGAGATGGAGTTTCGCTCTTGTCACCCAGGCTGGAGTGGAGTGGCGCAGTCTCGGCTCACTGCAACCTTTGCCTCCCGGGTTCAAGTGATTCTACTGCCTCACCATCCCAAGTAGCTGGGATTACAGGTGCCCACCACCACGCCCAGCTAATTTTTGTATTTTTGGTAGAGATGGGGTTTCACCATGTTGGCCAGGCTGGTCTCTAACTCCAGGCCTCAAGTGATCTGCCCGCCTCGGCTTCCCAAAGGGCTGGGATTACAGGCGTGAGCCACCACACCCGGTCATATGGGTTCATGTTTTCAACTGCACGCTCCTCTCCCTCCCCAGCCCCACACGTTGGGCAGGCACCTCTGTGGAGTTTCCTCGTGAGTTAACGGTAGATCATAACGAAGGCCGCCTCACCTATCAAAGGAGCGATTGTGAGATGTTACTCGACTGCCTTGGATCTCTCTTGTCAGATGCCAGATCACGGAAAATCTAAACAGAGCTTCCAGCCTTGTTCCCTTGATGAGGAGATACATGGGAGTGAGGAACTTGGTTTTGTAACTGACCACTGTCTTCAGTCACCATAAACCCCATTTAAACAATAGATCAAAGACTTCAGCAGAACTGACAGCAACCACAGCAAAGACGCTGCATTCTCCTTTGACTGATTCGGCCAGAAGGAAAAGGAGAACCTGCATCCTCTCTCTCTGATTGTTCACTTTAACACAGCGGCACATTCAGAACTCAGTATTAGAGTCCAGGGTCACCCCTGTGGTCTGCAGCCAAAGGAAAACACAAAGGAGCATGGCTTCCTTGCAAGTGTCAGGCCCAAGTGTCTTAAAGAACGAGGAGACACAACAGACTGGAAAGGAGACCCAGGACGATAAATTCTCAATAAAATATATTCTTTTAAAAAAATTGGTTTATTATTATTTTTATTTATTTATTTTTTGAGACGGAGTCTTGCTCTGTCACCCAAACCAGAGTGCAGTGGCGCGATCTCGGCTCACCGCAACCTCCGCCTCCCAGATTCAAGTGGTTCTCCTGCCTCAGCCTCCCGAGTAGCTGGGATTACAGGCATGTGCCACCATGCCCGGCTAATATTGTATTTTTAGTACAGACAGGGTTTCACCATGTTGCCCAGGCTGGTCTCAAACTCCTGACCTCAGGTGATCCGCCTGCTTTGGCCTCCCAAAGTGCTGGAATTACAGGCGTGAGTCACTGCACCTGGCCTTATTTATTTATTTATTTTTGGTAGAGATGGATCTCACTATGTTGCCCAGGCAGGTCTTGAACTCCTGGCCTCAATTTCTCCCACCTCAGCCTCCCAAAATGCTGGGATTACGGGTGTGAGCCACCACGCCCTGCTTCAATAAGTTCTTAAAGGGACAATAAATTCCCTACAACTGCCTATTTTGCCAACACCTGCAGAAGCCCTGCAAGTCCTTCCAGCAAGTTTGGGCAGGTTTCCCTGGTGAGCCTCAATATGGTCACAAACCACATTTCCAGGGCTGTAAAAAGAATGGCTCATGCTTCTAGTGGCCTTCCAGTACTGAAATCCTAGAACACCTCTGCTTATTTTATTAATCACGATGTCCACTCAGCCCCAGAAAGACTTCGACCGAATGGATGTCAGTTGGCTAAGGGCACGTACAGCAGGGGCCGGGGTGCTGCAGGATGGAGGTGGCGGCCAGAAAGGCTCACCTTGTCAGGGTCCAGGAGGGCATGGCAGATGATGTCCTCGCAGATGTTGGCCGTAGGGGCCAGGCAGTGCAGCCGGTAGAACAATTCTACGCAGGTGACGTGATGCTCCCGGGTCTCTTTGTTCAGCTGATTCCAAAGCACACGAGCCACCCTCTGGGACAAGGAAAAGGCAGGCGGTGGGGGACCAGGTCAACACAGGCAACATCCGCTCACATCCTCACTCAGTCAGTCCCAGCCCCGACATACTGGATCTCACCTATACTTGCCATGTGAGAATCCTCCATGCTCAGAGACAAATCACCAACAAATAAAGCAAGAAACCTACCAAAGGCTGGGAGCGGTGGCTCATGCCTGTAATCCCAGCACTTTGGGAGGTCGAAGTGGGGCAGATCACCTGAGGTCAGGAGTTCAAGACCAGCCTGGTCAACATGGCAAAACCCCAACTCTACTAAAAATACAAAAATTAGCCAGGTGTGGCGGCGGGCACCTGTAATCCCAGCTACTTGGGAGGGTGAGGCAGGAGAATCACTTGAATCCAGGAGGCGGAGGTTGCAGTGAGCTGAGATCCTGAGATCATGCAACTACACTCCAGCCTGGGCAATAGAGTGAGACTCTGTCTCAAAAAAAAAAAAAAAAAGAAAAAGAAAAAGAAAAAAGAAAAAAAGGAAAAACCCACCAAAGTCATCCAGGCAGCAGGCAATGTTATAGGAGGTCAAACCTGGAGGTTTCTGGCCGACTAAGAACACTGCAGCTCTTGCCTCAACCTCAACATTACTTTCAGAAAGAGAATTAACTGGAAACTGGACCAAAGGGGTTGAAGCATTCTTTCAACAGGCAGGTGCCGAGCAGGCACTGGGGAATGCACAGATGTACCCTCTGGGGAGTTTGGTGAATTTACAGTGGTTGTCAAGATCACTCATTCTGGGGTTCAGCTCCACAGCACTTGGTCACCTCTGGGGTCTGCTCGAATTGGTTACCACGCAGCATGGATAAAGAGCCACGCCTACCAGCTTTAATTCCACTAACTTGACTCTTCCCTTTTCCCTGCACAACGCTGTGGCAGGTGCCTGCCTCACTTTCAAAACACTATTATACCCCCAAATCGTGTCCTCCATCTTCCCAGCCCTGAACTGAGCTCATTAAACATGCATGGTCTGCAAAGGGCTACAGCCCCTTGCCAAGTGGCAGGGAGCAGGAGCCAGTGTGCCTGCCCCAACAAGGGTGAGACCCAGAAGGAGGGCTGGTCCCCACTTCCGGGAGGGAAATTTCTAAATTTCTAAAGACATTCTTATACTTCATAGACTATATGAAGTTTATATCTCATAGACTGGAGTATTTTAGGCATAACTTAGATCAAATAACTTCTTTGGCCCATTTATTTCTACTCAACAAAACCGTCTTTCTCTGCATAGATCAAGTTAACCACTGACTGGCTCAAACTCCTAACCATTATTTTGTTACTTTTTCTCTAAGGGAAAGTGATTTCCAACAATCACATTACAATTGAATTCTGATATATAACTTTTTGACTACGTAGACCGCCCCCCCCCCGACTTCCTTGCTGTCACTATGGCAAATATATATGCAAGAGACTCCCTTCCGGAAGGTTTAAAAAATTTTTTTGCAAGGTTTTTGAGAGTTGATGCCGATCACAAATCCATACCTACTCCCTCATATATATTTTTTTGAGGCAGGGTCTCACTATGTGCCCCAGGCTGGAGTGCAGTGGCACGATGTCAACTCACTGCAACCTCTGCCTCCTTGGCTCAAGTGATCCTCCCACCTCAGCCTCCCAAGTAGCTGGGACTACAGGTGTGTGCCACCATGCCAGGTTAATTTTTGTATTTTTTTTTTTTAGACATGGGATTTTGCCGTGTTGGCCAGACTGGTCTCGAACTCCTGAGCTCAAGCAAGCAGCCCTCAGCCTCCTAAAGTGCTGGATGCTGGGATTACAGGCGTGAGCCACCGAGCCGGGCCTTCCTTCACATGTTTAAACCTTACTCTACTCCTCTGTTCTGGGTGTTGTCTTAGTTATCTGAAATCTGCCAACACTACCTGATAAGAAAGGTCAGGGCACCCTTGGGCTATCTGACCTTTTCTTGTTTGCACTGTGGGAAGCAGGAACTCTGGTATGTGAGCTGTTCCCGCAGGATTAAAAAAAGGCTGAAAGATCAGACAACAGCCCTGTCTGGAGTCTGAGAATTGGGGGCACGTCCTGGCTATGGGTAAGGTTGCTGTGTCTCTAGTTCCAGCATCTGCAACAGGGACAGGCACTAGCTGCCGCTGTCCTCAACTCTCAAGAACTGTACAGTACATAAAAGTGTGCTCCAAGGAATAAATCTTGGTACTCTACTGCACAGTAGGGTGACTACTGCTAACAATAATGCATTGTGTATTTCAAATTGCTAGAAGAGAGGGTTCTGAATGTTTTCACAACAAAGAAATGATAAATGCTTAAGGTGATGGGTATGCTAATTACCATGATTTGATCATCATACAATGTATAAATGTGTCAGAATATCAAATTGTACCCATATATATATACAATATTACATGTCAATAAAAAAAGTATGCTCTTGGCCGGGTGCGGTGGCTCACGCCTGTAAGGCACTTTGGGAGGCTGAGGTGGGAGGATCACTTGAAGTCAGGAGTTTGAGACCAGCGTGGCCAATATGGTAAAACCCCGTCTCTACTAAAAATACAAAAATTAGCCAGGTGTGAGGGCGCACATCTGTAGTCCCAGCTACCAGGGAAGCTGAGGCAGGGGAATCGCTTGAATTCAGGAGGCAGAGGCCAAGATCATGCCATTGCACTCCAGCCTGGGCAACAGAGCAAGACTCTGTCTCAAGGAAAAAAAAAAAAGAAAAGTATGCTCTAGTGCCAGGCAAATGGTAAGTACTTGAATATGTACTACATGAAAATGAAAGTAAAAATCAAGGCTTCAGTAAGAACTTGGAAAAGCTTCCCTCACTGCCCCAAAATAAAAGGAATGTATTTAATGCTGCCACTTTTATTCTATGAGTACCTTTCCAAAGATTCATGATCTCAATTCTTTCTTCTTTTTTCTCCCCTGTGCCTATATATAGTGTAAATATGCCAAATTTTCTGATCTCTGATCTATGTAGGGCCAAGATGACACTTGCTTAATCACTGCTGCTTATAGCGGTTCCAGTCCTGGTTTCAAGTTCTGTCTATTCAAGATCTAATGTGACTCAACTCTAGCAGGAAGAAGAAATGTGGTACAAAAGTCAATAAGCAGCTGGGCACGGTGGCTCACACCTATAATTCTGGCACTTTGGGAGGCTGAGGCGGGCCTCCCAAACTCCTGAGGTCAGGAGTTTGAGACCAGCCTGGCCAATGCGGTAAAACCCCATCTCTACTAAAAATACAAAAATTAGCCAGGTGTGGTGGCAGGTGCCTGTAGTCCCAGCTACTCGGGAGGCTGAGGCAGGAGAATTGCTTGAACATGGGAGGCAGAGGTTGCAGTGAGCCGAGATCGTGCCACTGCACTCCAGCCTGGGTGACAGAGCGGGACTCCGTCTCAACAACAACAACAAAAAAAGTCAATGAGCAATTAAGTAAAAGCTCCCCCAGGACCTGACACCGTAGATGGTGTCCCACATGGAACCAAAGCTGAGCGGTGTGAGGAGTTCCACAGACAGACCCTCTCCCAAGCAACACAACCATAACTGGTGAAAATTATTTTAAAACCAACAACAACCAACCATTTAGAGTCTGGAAATTATCCAAAGGACATTCAGGAAATAAAGAAACATTTATTCCGGAAAACCTACGACATTTCGGTCAAAGCAGCAAGAGTCATGGCACTTGAGCCATGACCTGCTCATCATCTCCTTCCTTCCCCAGCTTAGCTCCATGGAAACGTCACTATCCACTCTGGTGCATGTGGCCAAGCAAAAGGGTGCTCTCTTTCCCCAGCTCCCAGTCAAGGGCTTTTGCACCTCCTGGGAGGGGCAGGCCACCAGCACGTCACCTTCCCACCCCTCTGCTGGATGTGGCAGAGGCTAAATCCAGGTGAGTGCAGTGGAGGAGTCATGGGCTCCCTGCCTCCACCCAGACCCCACTCCCAGGCAGGGGTTCCACTCAGTCCTGGCAGGCCCAGAATACTGGGGCCCCAGTTGCTCTCACTGTAGCTTTCCTGGAGGGTGAAAGTTACATGCTGGGAGAGGAAGACCAAAGGCTACTGCCTCTGCCCAGTGCCCTATAGAATATCACTCTCAGAGAAGTGGGCCACTGCCCCCATCCCCAGCAATACGGTTCTGAGTTTTGCTCAGGGGGAGAAGGAGGCCATAAGAAGAGTGTTCCCAGTGGGAAATACCTGATAGAAATCTGTTTTCTCTGCAATGACTTTCAATATCCCTGGAGCAATGGGAGGAACCGTCACCATCTGCAGCTTGCCAAAAAAAGGGTTGTGTCCAGAGCTCTTATAGCGTTTCATCTTGTCTTCAATGACAAGCGCCAGGGACTGGGAATGGTTTATCACTTCCAGCAGAGTGGAAATGGCCACGTTCTGGAGGTAGCAGTCAGTCACACAGCAGCAAATAGTCATGAGGGACTTCAGCCAAGATGGAAAACTGGAATCACCGGCTCCTGAAAGGAAGCCAGCCGGAGAGGCAGAAACAAGCAGAACCACGTGAGAATGGGTCCCCAGTCTGCAGATTCTACAGCACCCTAGATCTGGGAAGTTACCTGAGAAATCCACCTGGACAGCAGTGCGCTAACCTCCCGCTGGTGAGACTTATTTGGAAATAAGGTCCTTACAGAGGTAATCAAATTAAGATGAGGTTGTTAGGGTGGGCCCTAATCCAATATGACTGGTGTCCTTGTAAGAGGGACATGTCAAGGGAAGACAGGACATACAGAGGACACCCTGTGAAGACAAAGGCAGAGACGGGACTGATGCAGCTGCAAGGTGAGGAGCCCTCCAAGGGTTGCCGGCCAGCACCAGAAGCTGAAGAGGCCAAAAAGTATTCCATCCAGGGTCTCAGAGGAGGAGTATGGCTCTGCTGACACCTTGATCTTGGACTTCTGGCTTCCAGAACTATGAGACAAATTTCTCAGTTTATGGTACTTTGTTAGAGGAGCCCTAGCAAACCAATATATAAAATATTGGCCAGGCACGGTGGCTCATGCCTGTAATCCCAGCACTTTGGGAGGCCAAGGCGGGCAGATCATATGAGGCCAGGAGTTTGAGACCAGCCTGGCCAACATGGTGAAACCCCATCTCTACTAAAAATATGAAAATTAGGGGGCCAGGTGCAGTGGCTCACGCCTGTAACCCCAGCACTTTGGGAGGCCTAGGCGGGTGGATCGCGAGGTCAAAAGATTGAGACCATCCTGGCCAACATGGTGAAACCCTGTCTCTACTAAAAATACAAAAATTAGCTGGGTGTGGTGGCGTGTGCCTGTAACCCCAGATACTTGGGAGGCTGAGGTAGGAGAATCACTTGAACCCGGGAGGCGGAGGCTGTAGTGAGCCAAGATCGCGCCACTGCACTCCAGCCTGGCGACAGAGCAAGACGCTGTCTCAAAAAAAAAAAAAAAAAAAATTAGCTGGGCGTAGTGGCACGTGCCTGTAGTCCCAGCTACTGGGGAAGCTGAGGCAGAAGAATCACTTGAACCCAGGAGGCGGAGGTTGCAGTGAGCTGAGTTGGTGTCACCACACTCCAGCCTGGGCAACAGAGCCAGACCCTGTCTCAAAAAAAAAAAAAAAACAAAAAAACCCAACACAAAAAAAACTTTATCAACAGGCATCATGAAATAGTCTATTTACTATCACTGAATGCCACTCATGTTCTAGGTCTTCTGATGGGCTGTGCTGGACACCCAGGGTTTAAAAACATAGGCCCCACCCTTACCACTTTGCCATGTGGTGAGACACAAGTCAAAAATGTACTAATTACAAATGAGGAAGGGAACAAATGAGGCCAATAGCACCTTCTTGGCTTACACAATTTGAGCTAGTCTTTAAATATAGGTTGAGAATCTCTAATCTGAAAATTCCAAATCCAAAACCTGAAACCTTATTAGCACTGACATGATGCTCGAAGGAAACAGTCACTGGAGCTCTTGGATTTTGGATTTCTGGATTAGGAATGCTGAATCGGTAAGTGTAAGGCAAATATTCCAAAAATCTGAAAAAAGTCCGAAATCCAAAATACATTTGGTCCCTAGCATTGTGGATAGGGGATATTCCACCCACGTCAATCGCCTCATCGTATGATTCCCAAAGAGGGACTTCGGCAGGGCTGCCTCTCACCTGGCAGCTGGAAGAGCGTTGCACAGAGCTGCTCGGTCTCTTCCTCGGACAGGTAGACAGGGAAAGTGGCACAATCCAGCAGCAGGTGGCAGGCGGCGGCAAAGGCCTCCCTGCGTTCCTCCCTGGAACCCCCCAGGTCAATGACCACCTTCTCAACATCCCATTCTCCCCCGTTTTTCCTGGCAGGGCTGCTGGGCGAAGACGATGGTGACTCTGAACTTTTTGTCTTGAATGGAGACCCTCGTGCTGTGAACAAGTCTGACAGCATCTGCTTGAACTGAGGCACAGTGATGGGCTTGGGCTCCCAAGAGTTCTTCCTGCTGGAATCATTGGCTGCCAGGCTCTGCGTCCCATCCCTGTCCCTCTTCCCTGCAGGCTCCTCGGACTTGCTTTCTTCTCCTGACGCTGTCAGCTGTACTCCAAAAATGTTCTTGCTGGCAAAGTTGGCGATTAGCTCTTGGATGCAAAGAAACGTCCTCTGCATGCTCCCGCCCTTCTTCCAAACGTCGTCCCTTTCCAGAGAAACTCGAGGAACCCTCAAGTGCTCAGAGAGCTCCGGTGACGAGGCACTGAGCCCGATCCCACTGTCCTCAGACTTCAGAGGGGGAAACGAAGCATCTTCGTCACCGGGAATCACTGCCTTTGTTTCCAAAATTATTTTGCCGTTTTCACCTTTTACTGGACTCTGTAAAAAATAAAAAGATGTGAATTGTGCATCTCTTAACACCAAGCTATTTAAGTATCAGTTGAAATCATGAATGTATTTCAATTCTGTTTTTCAAAATCATCACTCTCCAGACTAGAGAATCCCTGTGTTAAGTGTATAATGAAATTTAGGAGGCACCCAAAGCAGGAGAAGGAGAGCGGTGGGTAGCAAAGAGGAGGCTGGTACACCCACATGCTCTCTGGGGAGGCTGGCTTTTGGGCCTATTTTTCTTGTGTTTTTGTCTAAATATATAACCCCTTTAGAGTTCAAAAAAGTTGTTTAAGAATTGTTTCTGCCAGGCGTGGTGGCTCAAGCCTGTAATCCCAGCACTTAGGGAGGCTGAGGCGGGCGGATCACCTGCCACAATTCTCTGGACAACAGAGCGAGAACTGTTTCCGACAAATTAACAAATATGAATGAGGAAACTGAGCTGAGGGTAAAATAAAGGTATGAAGAAATAAAATAAGGCCAGGTGTGGTGGCTCATGCCTGTAATCCCAGCACTTTGGGAGGATGAGGTGGGTGGATCTCCTGAGGTCAGGAGCTCAAGACCAGCATGGCCAACATGGTGAAACCCCATCTCTACTAAAAATACAAAAAATTAGCCAGGCATGGTGGTGGGTGCCTGTAATCCCAGCTACTTGGGAGGCTGAGGCATGAGAATCGCTTGAACCCATGAGGTGGAGGTTGCAGTGAGCCAAAATCATGCCACTGCACTCCAGCCTGGGCGACAGAGAGAGACTCTGTCTCAAAAAAAAAAAAAAAAAAGGTAAAGCAAGTCAGAGAATAGTGTACGTTATGGGTTGAACGGTGTCCCCCAAAAATAGGTTGAAGTCCTAACTCCCAATACCTGTGAATGTGACCTTAATTTGAAAATAGAGTCTCTGCAGATGATCCAATTAAGATGAGATCATTAGAGTGGGCCCAAATCCAGTAGGACTGGATTTATAAAAAGGAGAGATCTGGACACAGAGACAGACATGCACACAGGTTGACAGCCAAGTGAACATAAAGGCCGAGACTGGGCTGATGCCTGGACAAGCCGAGGAATGCTGAATATTGCCAGCAAACCACCAGAAGCTCGGGGGAGGCATGAGACAGACTCTTTTTCCCCAGTGCACTCAGGAGGTGCCAACCTTGCTGACACCTTCGTGTCAGGCCCTGGCCTTCAAAACCATGAGAAAACAAGTGTCTGTTGTGGAAGCCACCCAGTCTGTGGTACTTTATTATGGCAGTCCCAGCAAACTAATCCAGTACCTCATCTCGCTTATATTCGAAATAACCAAAATCACATGCCACAAACACACACATAAAACAGTGCAGGGCTAGTTATAACTAGCCCATTAACTGTAGTTACATAGTTATTAACTGTATCTAACCATTAACTGCAGTTACAGAGCAGGCAAGTAGCATGAGAATGGGTGAAACAAAGGGTGCTAAACTTAAAAATTTTTTTTTGTAGAGACAGGGTCTTGCTCTCACTCAGGCTGGAGTGCAGCCGTGCAATCATGGCTCACTGCAGCCTCAACCTGTTGGGCTCAAGCGATCCTCCCACCTCAGCCTCCTGAGTAGATGGAACTACAGGTGAACACCACCATGCCTTTTTATTTTATTTTATTTTATTTTATTTTATTTTATTTTATTTTATTTTATTTATTTATTTTGAGACAGAGTCTCACTTTTTCGCCTAGGCTGGACTGCAGTGGCACTATCTCGGCTCACTGCAAGGTCTGCCTCCTGGGTTCACGCTGTTCTCCTGCCTCAGCCTCCTGAGTAGCTGGGACTACAGGCGCCCGCCACTGCACCCGGCTAATTTTTTGTATTTTTAGTAGAGGCAGGGTTTCACCATGTTAGCCAGGATGGTCTTGATCTCCTGACCTCATGATCTGCCCGCCTCGGCCTCCCAAAGTGCTGGGATTACAGGCGTGAGCCACCGCGCCCAGCCCTTATTTTTATTTATTTTTTTTTTTGAAACGGAGTCTTGCTCTGTTGCCCAGGCTTAAGTGCAGTGGCGTGATGGCTCACTGCAACCTCCGCCTCCCAGGTTCAAGAGATTCTCCAGCCTCAGCCTCCCAAGTAACTGGGACTACAGGCATGTGCCACCATGCCTGGCTAATTTTTGTATTTTTAATAGAGATGGGGTTTTGCCATGTTGGTTGGGCTGGTCTTGAATTCCTGACTTCAGGAGATCCACCCGCCTCAGCTTGCCAAAGTGCTGGGATTACAGGTGTGGGCCACTGTACTTGGCCTAATTTTTATTTTGTAGAGAGATGAAGGCTTGCTATGTTGCCCAGGCTGGTCTCGAACTCCTGGGCTCAAGCAATCCTCCTGCCCCAGTCTCCGAAAGTGTTGGTATTACAGGTGTGAGCCATTGTACCATGCCAGGTGCTAAAACCTTTTAAAGTGAGGGTTTTACAAGCATATTTGACATATCACCTGGGTATCTTCTCATCTTTATTCCTATCCTAACCAACCCTAAAGACTTTCTACTCCCAGGAAGGCATAAGCTGCTTTTAGCCCCCAGAACCATTTCTGCCCCTCAGAGTACACACCGAGGTTCCGCTGGTGGACTCCGTGTCGAGGTAGGAAGGAGGCATCTGGACTTTGCTGAGCACCTTGAAACACGTCTTCAAGGCATGCGTGAGTTCAGGTAAACTTAAGGCCTCCATGTCCTCAGCAAGAGGCTGCACCAGGCAGCCGAGCACCTGAGGGAGATACTGGGTTTGCACCTCAGAGTAAAGTTCCTGTGAAATAAACGTGTAGGTTAACCCCACAATGTTGGTTCACAATCAGAAAAACAATGCATCTCAAAATGGCATCTAATTCAATTTTTTAGGGCATAAATTTCACACTAATTTTCTTTCTTTCTTTCTTTCTTTTTTTTTGACAGAGTCTTGCTCTGTAGCCCAGGCTGGAGTGCAGTGTCGCGATCTCGGCTCACTGCAAGCTCAGCCTCCCGGGTTCACGCCATTCTCCTGCCTCAGCCTCCCGAGCAGCTGGGACTACAGGTGCCCACCACCACGCCCGGCTAATTTTTTGTATGTTTAGTAGAGATGGGGTTTCACCGTGTTAGCCAGGATGGTCTCGATCTCCTGACTTTGTGATCCATCCACCTTGGCCTCCCAAAGTGCTGGAATTACAGGCGTGAGCCACCGTGCCTGACCCACATTAATTTTCTTTTTTATTTTATTTTATTTTATTTATTTATTTATTTATTTTTTTGAGATGAAGTCTCACTCTGTCACCCAGGCTGGAGTGCAGTGGTGTGATCTCGGCTCACTGCAAGCTCTGCCTCCCAGGTTCACACCATTCTCCTGCCTCAGCCTCCTGAGTAGCTGGGACTACAGGCGCCCGCCACCACACCCGGCTAACTTTTTGTATTTTTTTTAGTAGAGACGGGGTTTCACCGTGTTAGCCAGGGTGGTCTCAATCTCCTGACCTTGTGATCCGCCCACCTCGGCCTCCCAAAGTGCTGGGATTACAGACGTGAGCCACCATACCATATTAATTTTCAAATCAGAAAACAAAAGAAGACTAGGCGTAGTGGCTCATGCCTATAATCCCAGCCAGCACCTTGGGAGGCTGATGCAGGGAGATTGCTTGAGCTCAGGAGTTCGAGACCAGCCTGGGCAACACAGTGAGACCCCATCTCTACAAAAAATACTAAAACTATCCAGATGTGGTGGCACATGCCTGTGGTCTCAGACACTTGGGAGGCTGAGGTGGGAGGATTGCTTGAGCCTGGGAGGATGAGGCTACAGTGAGCTGAGATCATGCCACTGCACTCCAGCCTGGGTGACAGTGAGGCTCTATCTCAAAAAAGAGAAAAGAGGATGGGCATGGTGGCTCACATCTGTAATCCCAGCACTTTGGGAGGCCGAGGCTGGTGGATCGCCTGAGGTCAGGAGTTCAAGACCAGCTTGGCCAATATGGTGAAACCCTGTCTCTACTAAAAATACAAAAAATTAGCTGGGCGTAGTGGCAGGTGCCTGTAATCCCAGCTACCTGGGAGGCCGAGGCAGGAGAATCACTTGAACCCCAGAGGCGGAGGTTGCAGTGAGCCGAGATCACACCATTGCACTCCAGCCTGGACAACAAGAGCAAAACTCTGTCACAGGAGAAAAAAAAAAAAAGAGAGAGAGAGACAGAGAAAAGAAAAGAACATTTCTATTGTTTTTGTTTGAGACTGGATCATGTTATGCTGTCCAGGCTGGTCTCAAATTCCTGGGCTCAAGCAATGCTCCAATCTCAGCCTCCTGAGTAGCTGGGAATTACGAGCGCATACCACAGAGCTAGGCTCGGTATTTCAATTTGATCTAGACAAATCAAGGATGTTACTCCTCTCCTTGCAAGTGGCTTTACACTTTCTAATAAAAAATAAAATTGGCACGTTTCTACATTAAGGAAATTAGTTTCCTTTGAGAAAATTAGCCAACAGCACAATTTTAACTAGGAAATGTATTGACTCTTTCCCTAAAGTAACTGTAGTACGGGAATGATACCCAGTTCTTCAGCTGGTTGACCTAACTTCAGCTTTGCCCACTTACAACTGGCCCAAAAGTTATAGCCCCTTTTAAATAAGACATTAAAAATTTAAGAGATTACATCCAGCTATATCTTTTATGCCAAAACAAACATCAAAACAGTGTTGCATATTTATGTAAAACATTTTCAGTAATGTGAGGTTGATAAAGCAGGCCATCACCACCAGTAAGAATGTAAATAATAGCAGGCGTTGAGATGTCCCTTCCCCAGCACTCACCAAAGGAATGACATCCAGCAGGAAGACCAGGAGGGCGCAGAGCTCCGAGACCGTGGGGGGAGGGCTGACGCTGTTCCTCACGCTGTAACGCTGCTTCACTGGTCTATAAATCACAGCAAAGAAAAAATCCATTCTTTGGCCAGGCATGGAGGCTCACACCTATAATCTTAACACTTTGGGAGGCCGAGATGGGTGGACTGTCTGAGCTCAGGAGTCTGAGACCAGCCTGGGCAACATGGTGAAACCCCATCTCTACTAAAGTACAAAAAAATTAGCCAGGTGTGGTGGCCCACGCCTGTAGTCCTAGCTACTTGGGAGGCTGAGGCATGAGAATTACTTGAACCCGGGAGGCAGAGGTTGCAGTGAGACAAGATCGCACCACTGCACTCCAGCCTGGGTGACAGAGCAAGACTCTGTCTCAGAAAAAAAAAAAAAATCAATTCTTCTTCCTGCGGTAAGTCCAAGCATTTCTTACAATTTCCAGTAACGTTATTCTACTTCAAACATAATGGAAGGCAGCTTTTGTAGTTCTCATAACTAAATTTTGGTGACTAAAAGTATCTAACATGTAGAAGTGTCAATAAGTGTCCTGAATCTGTTGGTGTCCAAACAGATTCCCTCTGACTTGAACTCTACCAATTCAGGTGTCTCCCAGGAGACCTGGAGTACCATCGACAGATGTAATCCCAAGTCCCCAGTCCAAGCCCAAAAGCACGATCCAAGGGAACGAGGCTGGGCTGGAGAACACCACAGTCCACATGGCTGTTCACCCTGCTGTAGGAGTGGCCTGGGACTACTCCTCTCCAAGTAATTCCAGGAGTTTATCAGCACCTGAGTTGCCTAGAAAGTTTCAGCTTCTGTAGAGAAGTGTAACCCCACCAATCAACTATTGTTAGTTGCTTATCTTATACTGAAATTCAAGACTTCTTTTAAAATAAACAGGCTACTAGATAAATGGGTAAGTTAAAAAGTATCTATTGCTTTTCATCTCATAACCCTGGGATGAATAAATTAACTGTAATAGGATCCACAGGCAACAGCAAAGCCATGTTACACTGAAGACAGACATTAATCTCAGGACAGGGATTAACTCTGGGATGAAAAGAGGACAAAATGTTGCAAAGATGGAGAGTCAGCTCTATCTGGGTAGAAACATTTTATTCTTTTTTTTTTTTTAATAACCAGGATGGCCAGATGCGGCGGCTCATGCCTGTAATCCCAGCAATTTGGGAGGCCAAGGCGGGTGGATCACTTGAGGTCAGGAGTTTGGGACCAGCCTGGCCAACATGGTGAAACCCTGTCTCTACTAAAAATACAAAAATTAGCTGGGTGTGGTGGCGTGCACCTGTAGTCGCAGTTACTTGGGAGGCTGAGCCTGTAGTCTCAGCTATTTAGGAGGCCAGGATGGGAGGATCGCTTGAACCTGGGAGGCAGAGGTTGCAGTGAGCTGGGATCGTGCCAGTGAACTCCAGTCTCGGTGAGAGACAGAGACTCCGTCATAAAATAAAAAATAACATAACAACCAGGCTGACCAAAGCATACTCTAACCTCAATATAATATGGCCTTGCTGTTGCCTGTGGATCCAATTGCAATTAACTTATTTTTCCCAGGGTTGTGAGCTTATTTGGGCAGAAAAGTGTAGTGGTAGCAGCTGAGAAGTAAGACTCTGAAACAGCCAAGAGCATTACAGTGGAGATGAACAAGAAATAAGTTTTACAGCATGCCTCAGGACAAAACAGGGTTTGAGACATGACCTTATTCCTCCCGTAAAGAAAATGGCATGGGAAAGGGCTCTCCAGGAAAGCTCGGTATTCCTGGGGTACGCCACTGCAAACAATTTAGGGGTGGTGCAATTCACCCGGTTAAAAGAGATGGTAAAGCTGATTATAGTAGCTTAAAACATTAATGCTTTTATCTGACCAGTTACATTCATTTCAGCAAGAGTTTCAAAAACACTCTATCCAGTCACAAAGCCACAAAACTAAGCTGCTTTCAATAGATCGGGCAGCCAGGAGAGGAAAGCTGATTTGATGAATGTAACCAGAAAATGCGCTGAGGATTTTCTAAAGTTAGACTTTTAAAGCAGCTTCAGAATTACATGGCAAAGATTATGTGAACCTTCTTATTGGAGATGTTTTTATTCTGCTAGAATCTTAAGTGAATTCTTTCCAATCCTGTTTTAGTTGAATTTTAAAACTCAGGAAAGACTACTCAGCTTCAGCTACTTATATATAATCTGATATTCTAAGCAGCTACAAAATTATTAAACCCTCTCATCCTTCCTAAATATTCTGCATTCTTGAACTGCATACTTACCTAAAGCATTCCTCAAAACACCTTGTCATATAATCCCAGAGAAAGTCTGTGCTTAGAGAAGTTATCAGCAAATTTACCGTTTTGACAATCTCAGAGGCATTTCTGTTTTCCTTGATTGCACTGTAAAAGGGGAGGACATGAATAAATATGTCTATAAAAAAATCCTGAATTACAAAAAGTGTCCAAAAAACTGTAATTGATTTCACCATCTGCAACTTATTTCTAGAGAAGCTGACACACCCTGATAAAAATGAAAATATTACTGTTCTTATAATGTGTTTGCATAATGCCATCGTAAACAATATTTATATTGATACAGTCTCTTAAAAATAAATTTCAGAGCTGGGTGCGGTGGCTCACACCTGTAATCACAGCACTTTGGGAGGCTGAGGTGGGTGCACCAGCTTGACCAACATGGTGAAACCCTGTCTCTACAAAAATACAAAAATTAGCAGGGCATGATGGCGGATACCTGTAATCCCAGGTACTCAGGAGGCTGAAGTGGGAGAATCGCCTGAACCTGGGAGGCGGAGGTTGCAGTGAGCTGAGATTGAGCCACTGCACTCCAGCCTGGATGACAGAGTGAGACTCTGTCTCAAAAAATAAAAATAAAAATAAAATAATAATAATTTCAGAGCTACTGTAAAAAGAATTTGTACAGAAAATCAGTTTTAGTCCATACTCTACTGGTGGAATAACATGGTACATGGATATTCAGCAGGGAAATTCAGCCAAGATTTTAAATGTTTATCTTCTTTTTTTTTTTTGAGACACAGTCTCACTGTTTCCTAGGCTGGAGTGCAGTGGTACAATCTCGGCTCACTGCAATCTCTGCCTCCCAGGTTCAAGCGATTCTCCTGCCTCAGCCTCCCGAGTAGCTAGGATGGATTACAGACGTGCACCACCACGCCCAGCTAAGTTTTGTATTTTTAGTAGAGACGGGGTTTCACCGTGATGTTGGCCAGGCTGGTCTCAAACTCCTGACCTCAAGTGATCCACCTGCCTCAGCCTCCCAAAGTGCTGGAATTACAGGCATAAGCCATAGCATCCAGCCTTAAATTTTATCTTCTATGGCTCAGGAAATTTATTCAAGAAATTTATCCTACCGAAATCCCTGCACAGCTACATAGATGTGTGCAGAAGTGTACCACTAAATGGCCATTAAAAAATACTGAAAAAGGCCGGGTGTGGTAGTTCACACCTGCAATCCCAGCACTTTGGGAGGCCGAGGCAGGCAGATCACTTGAGGTCAGGAGTTTGAGACCAGCCTGGCAAACATGGCAAAACTCTGTCACTACTAAAAACATAAAAATTAGCCAGATATGATAGTGGGCATCTGTAATCCCAGCTACTCGGGAGGCTGAGGCACGAAAATTGCTTTAGCCCAGGAGGTGGAGGTTGCAATGAGCCGAGATGGCGCCACCGCACCCCAGGCTGGGTACAGAGCGAGACTCCGTCTCAAAAACAAACAAACAGGCTGTGCGCAGTGGCTGATGCCTGTAATCCCAGTGCTTTGGGAGGCTGAAGCAGGTGGATCACGAGGTCAGGAATTCGAGGCCAGCCTGGCCAACATGGTGAAAACCCCATCTCCACTAAAAATACAAAAAATTAGCCAGGAGTGGTGGCAGGTGCCTGTAATCCTAGCTACTCAGGAGGCTGAGGCAGGAGAATCACTTGAACTTGGGAGGTGGAGTTGCAGTGAGCCAAGACCACATCACTGCACTCCAGCCTGGGCAACAGAGCAAGACTCTGTCTCAAAAGCAAACAAACAAACAAAACTGAAAAAGCAGAAACTGTCTAAAAGTCAATCAATAAGAAATTGGTCAGTCAGGATTTATTATTTTTATTTATTTTTTGAGATGAAGTGTCGCTCTGTCGCCCAGGCTGGAGTGCAGTGGCACGATCTTGGCTCACTGCAGCCTCCACCTCCCAGGTTCAAGCAATTCTCATGCCTCAGCCTCCCAAGTAGCTGGGACTACAGGCATGGCCCACCACACCCGGCTAACCTTTGTATTTTTTTTGTAGAGACCAGGTTTTGTCATGTTGGCCAGGCTGGTCTTGAACTGCTGACCTCAAGTGATCCGCCTGCCTTGGCCTCCCAAAGTGCTGAAATTACAGGCGTGAGCCACTGCACTTGGCCTTAAATAAATGATAAATCCTTAACAAATATCTAAGGCAACTAATCCCATAGGAGAATAGTGTAGAGCTACTCACAACTTGCATTTTAAAAAACAAGCAGTGGCCGGGCACAGTGGCTCACACCTGTAGTCCCAGCAGTTTGGGAGGCTGAGGCAGGAGGACTGCTTGAGGCCAGGAATTCAAGACCAGCCTGTGCAACATAGCAAGACCTTGTCTCTACAGAAAAATTAAAAATTAGCCAGGTGTGGTTGTGTGTGCCTATAGTCGTAGCTACTTGGGAAGCTGAGGTGTGAGGATCACTTGATCCCAGGAGTTCAAGGCTGCAGTGACCATTGATGGTGCCACTGTGCTCTAGCCTGGGAGACAGAGTGAGACCTTGTCATGCTGGAGAGTGACACTCCAGAGAGTACCAGGCATGGCGGCTCACACCTATAATCCTAGCACTTTGAAAAGCTGAGGTGGGCAGATTGCTTGAGCTCAGGAGTTTGAGACCAGCCTGAGCAACATGGTGAAACCTCATCTCCACAAAAAAAAAAAAAAAAAATTAGCTGGGCATGGTGGTGCATGTCTGTAGTCCCAGCTACTTAAGGGGCTGAGGCGTGAGGATCGCTTGAGCCCAGGAGACTGAGGCTGCAGAGAGCCATGTTCACGCCACTGCACTCCAGCCTGGGTGACCCTGTCTCAAAACCAAACAAACAAACCAACAAGAAAACAAAAAGAAAACCCCAAGCAACTAAATAACTGGTGTAATTCTACCTTTAAAATAAAAGACAGGCATCTATGTATTTATGTATGTAGTAGAAATCTAGAAAGAAGTAAAAATGTTTTATGGTTTTCTCTGAAGAGTGCTAGGATTACGTGTGACACCTTTTTTCTTGATCTTTCAAATATCAGTAAATGCAACAATGAGCATGTATTACTTTCATACTCAGAAAAACAATAAACCGCTTTCATTCTGGGAGAAAAAAGCAAACACTAAGAACTCTTAGTACACTTACAACTAACAAACCAGAAAAATATTAACATTGATTTAAATTTTCAATGTACCCAATGCTAGTTCAGGCAGAAGGAAATTACATTAAGAGTAAAGCAAAAAGGAAAAAGTTGTATTCCCTTAAAAGGAACAAAATAAACAAACAAAACAGGGTTTGTGTGTAACTGCGCACGTGAGGCCAATGTGCCCGCTGTCTTCCAAACACCACTCACTCTGCCTCTGGGGGAATGGAGCCTGTGCTCTCCGGTGCCCTGCCTGGGTCTCCCCCAATCTCCCCCAACACCCCCTGGACTCCTGTCCTGAAGACTCACATCCCCTTTCCACTTGCCAGGTGCCCTCCCCTCCATTTTCTCTGTTCTCTCTGCCCTGTAACTCACCACTTGGGTATACTAGATCAAGCTGCCTTTGTTAAACGAGTTTCATACTTGATCAATACATACATTTCATTGTTTCATACTTGATCAAAAAATCAATAAATACCTGTCCATCCCAGGCTGGGGGAAAGACTATATCAAACTCCCTTTAAACTCTTCACCGTACTCAGTAGGGAACAGTCAATTCCCATGGACTGACTTCAACGCATTGATTATTTTCACCAATGGTCTCACCTGCTGCATCTCTGCTTTCTCTACCACTTCACAATTTATAGTAAGCAAGAGAGGAAAAAAAAAATCACAGTACCGGGGAGGGAGAGAGATGCGTGAGGTTCAAGGCCAAACCCATACCTTATCAGCGAATTTCCACTCTGGGTGTAGCTAAGTTTAAGATCAGAGCCAAGGGCATCTCTGCAGTAAGAATAAAAGGCCCTGATGACTTCGAGAAACAAATTCCCAACCACTTGAGGCCCTGTAATTAGAAGGAAGATGGTCAGAGACAGATTAACAATCCCCTTTAAATCAGTAAGTGACATATGTATATACATAAGACATATATACAGTAAACCTGTGCAGACAGACATTTTATATAGTCTAAAATATACAGAAACTTAACTTTACTGGTGACAACTTTAGCTGGGGAAACAACATTCATGAAAATAGCCAACATTTTTGTAGAACTTCCTGTGTGCCAGACACCCTTCTACGCGTTTTACATCTATTAACGTATTAAACCCTCGTAACAGCCATGCAGACAGATCCTGTACTGCTGATTACACATAAGGAGATGGAAGCACAGAGAGGTTAAGTAACTTGCCCAAAGCAGATTCTGCTAGATAGAGGCAGAGCGCAGACTACGTGTGTTAAGTGTGCATAAACTGCTGGCCAGGGACGTTACTCAACAGAAATATCCAGAGAGCAGGGCAACTTCTTCAATTCCTTTAGTCATGAGCTGGAGCAACACAAAAGAAATGATGGCTATCCTGAAACGCTGAGAAAGATGGCACAAAAGAACTGGACCAGCTGCATGTTAGAGAAGCTTCCCTGCAACCAGGCAGGGGATGGGCAGGGCATTGCTGCTCCGCAAACCGCAACCCTCAGGCAGCTGAGGGCCTGACTTCTTACCCATGTATCCAAAGGCAGAAACACACAATCAATTCAGAGAAAATGAAAGCTCTGTCAACACTGGCAAAAAAGCAGATTAATCCAATCTTTTACACTTCTTTTCACAAAACCAAAAGATGTGCCTCTGAGAGAATTATTTTCATGCTAAGTTTCCTGTGTATTTTTTTTAAGATAGAATTTATTATTATTTTTTTTGGAGACAGAGTCTTGCTCTGTTGCCCAGGCTGGAGTGCAGTGGCATGATTTCAGCTCACTGCAACCTCCGCCTCCCGGGTTCAAGCAATTCTCTCGCCTTAGCCACCCAAGCAGCTGGGATTACAGGTGTGTGCCACCACGCCCAGCTAATTTTTATATTTTTAGTAGAGGTGGGGTTTTGCCATGTTGGTCTTGAACTCCTGACCTCAGGTGATCTGCCTGCCTCGGCCTCCCAAAGTGCTGGGATTACAGGTGTGAGCCACCGCACCTGGCCTTGGCTTCCTGTGTATTTTATCTACAGCATAAGAATGCTAAATGCTTGTTACAAAAATGAAGGCAATTTTGTTGCCTTGATTGATGGAGGAGGAAATGAGGTATGGCTAAAGCCCAGCCACAAAAAGTATGGACTGGACTGAATGGCCGTCCTGTGCCTTCTAGTTCTGTATAATCACCTCCTTTGCCTCCTGAGTGTGATTTCTTGCAGACAGCTAAAAAATTGGAAAGAGTAAATTAAGTGACTGTTATGATTGGGCAGGAGCGTGATATTCATTTGCTTCCAGAAAATACGACCTGGAGCCAAGTTAGCAGCAACGTTTACTTGGCTCACCAAGGTGCATGGCTTTGACATAAAACACACATCTCCAGAATGCTAAGTTATATTTTCTTCTTTTAATACTTCCCTGAAGTTACACAGCAAGCTCCCAATACATTTATATAAGTGTTCCACTTTTTGGACTAAATCATGATTTTTCAGAGCTGCAGTTACTCTACACTAGCAGGAAAATCTATTTGGTTTAAGGTGGGAGCGGGCAGATGGGAAGAGGAATCTGAACAAAGTGCAGACACCCTGAGGCAGCACATCATGGGCAGAGCCTGGAAGAACAAAAGCTTCATACTTGGACTTTCGTTAAGAATGACGAGAGCTGCACAACTCTTGGAATAAAGTTCACCTGGTGACAGAGGCAAACATCTCGGGTAGGACTTCTCTGAGTGCAATCAGGCAAGCATCGGGGGGTGCTGACAAACCCAGCTTAGGCTCCTGACTGGCCCTGGGCAAATTACCTACTCCCACCCAACCTTAGTCTTTCCATTTGTAAAACAGGCATAGTGGGAGAACCTACCTTGGGGTTGTTGGAGGGACAGAGGTGTGTGTGCAGACAGATATAAAAGGATGTATGTAAATCACTTGGCACAAAATAATTGCTCAAAAAATGTCAGCCATGGTTATTATTAATGAACAGTAAAAACACTCCAGGAACATGGAGTCTCCCCTTCCCTCTAACTTCATGAGAAGCTGCTCCCCTTTTGTCCCCCTAGAGCTGGCACCATCCCTGCCACATGGCAGATGCTCTGTGCTTTTGAATGGATAAGCGAAGGGCCTCCATCCCAAGGCCAGAGAGAGGCCACTTCACTAATGCCCTCAGCTCTCTTTTTTTTTTTTTTTTTTTTGAGATGGAGTCTCGCTCTGTCACTCAGGCTGGAGTGTAGTGGTGTGAACTCTGCTCACTGCAACCTCTGCCTCCCAGATTCAAGTGATTCTTGTGCCTCAGCCTCCCAAGTAGTTGGGATTACAAGTGTGCACAACCATGCCTGGATAATTTTTGTATTTTTAGTAGAGATGGGGTTTCACCATATTGGCTAGACTGGTCTCAAACTCCTCACCTCAAGTGAGGCCCACCTTGGCCTTCCAAAGTGCTGGGATTACAGGCATGAGCCACCACACCCGGCCAGCCCTCAGCTCTCTTGTCCTCTGCAAACAGCTACCAGGAGGTAGGTACACCTGGAGCACTGAAATGACATTCTTAGGCTTGCAATCCTATGGAAGACATGGGGATCTTTTCCCTGGTATAGGGCTCACATAAGCAGATGCAGACCTTAAAGTGAGCTGATATGGTAGCAAATTTCTTTTTTTTGAGACGGAGTCTCACTCTGTTGCCCAGGCTGGAGTGCAATGGTGCGATCTCAGCTCACTGCAATCTCCACCTCCTGGGTTCAAGCAATTCTCCTGACTCAGACTCCCAAGTAGCTGCGATTATAGGTGTGCACTGTCATGCCTGGCTAATTTTTGTATTTTTAGTAGGAATGGGGTTTCACTATGTTGGCCAGGCTGGTCTTGAACTCCTGACCTCAGGTGATCCACCTGCCTCAGCTTCCCAAAGTGCTGGGATTACAGGTGTGAGCCACCACACCTGGCCGCAAATTTCTTTTCTTTTTGAGATGGAGTCTTGCTCTGTCGCCAGGCTGGAGTGCAGTGGCGCAATCTCGGCTCACTGCAACCTCCACCTCCCTGGTTCAAGCGATTCTCTTGCCTCAGCCTCCCGAGTGGCTGGGACTACAGGCACGCGCCACCATGCCCAGCTAATTTTTGTATTTTTAGTAGAGATGGGGTTTCACCATCTTGGCCAGGCTGGTCCTGAACTCCTGACCTCATGATCCACCTGCCTCAGCTTCCCAAAGTGCTGGGATTACAGGTGTGAGCCACCACACCTGGCCGCAAATTTCTTTTCTTTTTGAGATGGAGTCTTGCTCTGTCGCCAGGCTGGAGTGCAGTGGCGCAATCTCGGCTCACTGCAACCTCCACCTCCCTGGTTCAAGCGATTCTCTTGCCTCAGCCTCCCGAGTGGCTGGGACTACAGGCACGCGCCACCATGCCCAGCTAATTTTTGTATTTTTAGTAGAGATGGGGTTTCACCATCTTGGCCAGGCTGGTCCTGAACTCCTGACCTCATGATCCACCTGCCTCGGCCTCCCAAAGTGCTGGGATCACAGGTGTGAGCCACCGTGCCTGGTCGCAAATTTCTTTTTAAAGTGAGGGAGAGGGCCAGGTGCAGTGGCTCACACCTGTAATCCCAGCACTTTGGGAGGCCGAGGCAGGTGGATCACTTGAGGTCAGGAGTTTGAGACCAGCTTAGCCAAGATGATGAAACCCTGTCTCTACTGAAAATACAAAAATTAGCCAGGCATGGTGGCACATGCCTGTAATCCCAGCTACTGGGGAAGCTGAGGCAGGAGAATTAATTGTTCGAACCCAGGAGACAGAGGTTTTAGTGAGCCGAGATTGCGCCACTGCACTCCAGCCTGGGCAACAGAGCGAGACTCTGCCATTCATTCATTCGTTCATTCATTCATTCATAAATAAATAAATAGTGAGAGAAGGTCACTTTTCTCAACCTATGCTCATAGGACCATAGTATCTAAGAAGGGAGCCTTTGGTGACCAGAGTCTAGTTCAACCCTCTTCATTTTACAGTGAAAATGTTTTTACTCTCCACAGTGAAAAGAAGTGGCTTGCCCAGGATCCCAAGGCAAAAAGATGGACGGGGTCCCCTACTTAATTGAAAATCAAACCAAAGCTCATTTTAAGTATGACATTGAAAAAATAGGCTTAAAAAGGAAATACCACATGTTCTGTAGACACTATAGGAGCTCAAAGGTATTTTCCTAACAAAAAATGTTCAAATTATTGTGCAAAACTTTTTTTTCAGACTGGGTCTCACTCTGTCGCCCAGGCTGGAGTGCCGTGGTACAATCACAGCTCACTGCAGCCTCGACCCCCTGGGCTCAGGTGGTCTTCCCACCTCAGCCACTTGGTAGCTGGGACTACAGGGAAGCACCACCACGCCTGGCTAATTTTTTTGTATTTTTTTATAGAGATGGGGTTTTTCAACATGGCTTTTCAGCCATATTACCCAGGCTGGTTTCAAATCCATGAGCTCAAGTGATCTTCCTTCCTCTACCTCCCAAAGTGCTAGGATTACAGGCATGAGCCACTGCGCCCAGCCATGCAAAACTTGTAAGTGACCACAGATATGATCATTGAACCATATAACATGACTTCAAAGTTGTGAAATTCCAAATATTAAATTATATTCAAAATAACGCTTTGGTTGTATCTCACCATGTTGTATTTCCCTGAAAACAGGTAATCTGTATTCAGCATAGGATAGAAGCAGCATTTCTAACATTACCTATTTCTGGCTTGTCAAGCAGACTGATGAGGACGCGAAAAGGCTTCAGGTATGCATGATGGCGTTCCTCCACGTCAGCATCTATGAACTTCTGATGCAATATCTCAGCCAAACCCTATTATTTAAAAAAAGCCACATATTAGAATATCGTATATCATAAAGTGTAACAACATTACTGGCTATTCTAATTGTTAAATACTCTGGGACAGAAGGAAAACCAGTCACCCAGCATGCAACAAATACCCTGCAGTTCCCCAAACCAGGGGCCAAGGAACGTGCTCACTGCCTATGTGGAAGCCTCCCAAAGAAATCCACTGGAGAATCGTCACCAAGGATACCCTGAACTTTCCGGAAATGCTCCTTTACCTCAACTAAAAGATCCTTGGAGTATTTTTCAAAAAAATAAGACGACTGGTCTTCATAAGAATTTGAGATTTCAGATTCTGGCACAACGGTATTTCCTTTTATGTCTGAGCCTACAAAAGAACAAGCGCCGAGCTGTAAAGAGAGCTGTGCTTTTAAAGGACATCATATTGTGCAAAAGTCTCATGCTCCAATATTTTTAAAAATATCATTCTTCTGATGGAAAACCAAAATCAGATCCAGAAAGACCACGTCAGATTTTCTTCTTCTGACAGTGGTGTGGCTAATGATCAGACAGGCAGAATTCCACCTCAATGGGTATCAATTTAGTTTGTTCTAAGAATTCACCCTGTTGGCTGGGCGCGGTGGCTCACGCCTGTAATCCCAGCACTTTGGGAGGCCAAGGTGGGTGGATCACCTGAGGTCAGGAGTTCGAAACCAGCGTGGCCAACATGATGAAACCCCGTCTCTACTAAAAATACAAAAAATTAGCCGGGCGTGATGGCGCACACCTGTAATCCCAGCTACTTGGGAGGTTGAGGCAGAAGAATCACTTGTATTTTTTAGTAGAGAAGGGGTTTCAGCATGTTGGCCAGGCTGCTCTTAAACTCCTGACCTCAGGTGATCCACCTGCCTCGGCCTCCCAAAGTGCTGGGATTACAGGCATGAGCCACCATGCCTGGCTGAGGATCACTTTTTAAAACCAGTGTTTTTTTGTCCAGCATTATGTGAGATCAAGGTATTCTCATGCACATGCTCCCATCAGCTGGAGCCCTGGATAAGTCTGCAAGGTTCTCAGGGCAAGAAAGTGCATCCTCATGGTATGGGCAAAGAATATGGGGCTCCTGGGGCCGCAAGTAAGTGAGCCAGAGCTGGCACTGTGGTCAGGCCCAGTGTCCTCCACACAGCATATCAAGTCCCGTAGGAGCAGAGCTGTGCCCTTGACAAAATCATCCTTTACATACAAATCCTTAAAGAGCCTACAAATAGTCTTCTTAAAATCCTTAGTAAGCTTCCATGCAATGACTTTCTAAAGTTTTATAACTAGGGAGAACAGCAGGAAGGACTGAAGAGGACTTCTTGACTTTGGTAAGATCTTTGATAAGATCTGAATGCTAGGCTGAGTGTGGTGGCATGTAATTCCAGCACTTTGGGAGGTAGAGGTGGGCAGATCACCTGAGGTCAAGAGTCCAAGATCAGCCTGGCCAACAGGGCGAAACCCCATCTCTACTAAAAATACAAAAATTACCCAGCCGGGGTGGTGGGTGCCTGCAATCCCAGCTACTTGGGAGGCTGAGGCAGGAGAACCACTCCAACTTGGGAGGCCGAGGTTGTAGTGAGCTGAGATTGCACCACTGCACTCCAGTCTGGGCGACGGAGTGAAACTCCATCTCAAAAAGGAAAAAAAAGATCTAAATGTTGAGAGTTGATCAGAGCTGTTAAGTCCTGTCACAATCGTTTTGTATACGTTTTCTTAGGTACGTGAATATGGGACTTTAGAAAATTCATGAACGTGTTATCTTTAAAGTTGCAATTTCCTAGGCTCTGTCCCTGGGAGGCCTTCCAACCAATAGTCAAGGGCCCTTTGCCAACAAATTTATAGGCAGTCCACACACTCTGACACACAGAAACATGGCCCAGGGGCTCTCGTGATCTCCAAAGTTATCCAAATGTCTCCCAAAACATTTACACTTACACAAAACCTCCTCCTTTATCTACATATCTTCCACAATATTTGTAAGTTTTCTCCACGATACACCCTCATCCCATGGAACTTCTCCATAGCAACAGGCTTCTACCTGAATAAGGTTTTGCTACCACTTTTTGGTGGTATTTCAAGCTCTTAAATGGAATTCAGTTGGCATTTTAAAAATCCCACTTATTATTTCCCCTTTTTTAAAAAAGAAACTGCAAAATAACCAAGCTATGTGTAGGCAGCAGACCTCAACTGACCAGTGCCATATTTAGTCATTGTGGTATCTTTCCATACTTCATGATTCAGAGATACATCACCAAGACCAAATCTTATTCCAGAAGTCAGCACTAAAAGGTTTCATATTAACTTTGACTTTAAAAGGGTGTATACTGCTCAGTACCTAGTAACCATGCATACAGTCTTCTGTTCAGGGACATGTCCCTTCTCAGTAGGGTCTGGGTGGCGGCTGAGAGAATGCGCACGATGTCAGATCTGAGGAGGGGGATGGCTCTCTCATTGGAATCCTATTAGAAGGACAGAGAAATTTACTGCAAGGGAATGATAGGGCAGATTGCTGACTTTTTGACACGCAGCCCTTCCTTGCTGGTCTGCAAAGCTCTATCTCAAAATGGGCTGGTTCCTTACACATTACCCATGGAAAGAAGCTATTCAATACGTGCAATGAAAACGCTATCCTTGCAAAAATGAACAAGGACTTTTCACTGGCTACCAGCAAATAATGCCCATGAGTGGCTGAGCTGTCCTCGTACGACAGAACTGCTTGAGATCTATATCCCACCCCTTGGGAAACACCAGTGACTTACCAGAAGAGTACAAATTACTTACCAGACAGGTATAAAATGGGAAGAAAAACAGAACGATTTCCAGATTATTTCTTTGCACAAGAACATTTGAGTCCAACAGGGAGGCACGCAAAGACTTCACCTGTAAACGATCAAACGGCACTAGCATTTTCAGGCTACTCTTTATGGTCATAAAAACGAAAGTAACCTTTCCCGGGAATCTTGAAACTCCTGCGTTATATCACTCAGAAGAGAACCAGCAGCCACAGGTCAGGAGGGTGTGGGTTCTAGCTCTCGAGGCCACAGGCTGCGTGACATCGGAGAAGACGTTCAGCTGCAGACCTCACTGTTCCACGTGAGAGCCGGAGGGGTTTGGACCAGATGGCCGGGTTCTATGATCTCAAATTCTACGATCCCAGAAAGGATCCAACAGGAACCTTAAACTAAAGCTCTGAAGACACATGGGAAAATAATTCCTGATCAATTCAGTAGATATTCTGAGTGTCTTTTCTGAATACAGATAGGTAGACTAGAGATGCATAAGAAATTAGAGCCACAGACAAACGCTCAGAGTTCAGAAGAGGAGAGCTCTTTCAACTGCAGAGAACAATGATGCTCCACGGGAAAGCTGGGCTTGAAGAACAGGAAGGAGCTACACTGAGACCTCGAAGAAGGGCAGGAATGCACAGCCAGGGGGACAGAAGGGAACAGCCGGGAGCAAAGGCACTGTGAGGCCAGGCCCTGTGGCAGTCGTGTGGGAGCGCAGGGCCTGCAGGGAAGAGTGAGGTGCTGTGGCTGGGAGCAGATGGTTAGAATGCTCTTGAGCTTGGACTATAGCTGTTGGCAATGGGAAGTCAGATATTTTTATTTTTTTATTTTCTTTGAGACAGGGTCTTGCTCTGTCACTCAGGCTGGAGTGCAGTGGTGTGATCTTGACTCACTGCAACCTCTGCCACCGGCGTTCAAGCGATTCTCGTGTCTCAGACAGCTGAGTAGCTGGGATTATAGGTGCCCGCCACCATGCTCTGCTAATTTTTTTTGTTTGTTTTTCAGACAGAGTCTCGCTTTGACACCCAGGCTGGAGTGCAGTGGTGCAATCTTAGCTCACTGCAACCCCCGCCTCCCAGGTTCAAGCGATTCCTTTGTCTCAGCCTCCTGAGTAGCTGGGACTACGGGCGCCCATCACCACACCCAGCTCATTTTTGTATTTTTAGTAGAGACGGGGTTTCACCATGTTGGCCAGGGTGGTCTTGAACTCCTGGCCTCAGGTAATCCACCCGCCTCGGCCTCCCAAAGTGCTGAGATTACAGGCATGAGCCACTGCGCCCAGGCTAATTTTTGTATTTTTAATAAACGTGGGGTTTCATCATGTTGGCCCGGCTGCTCTTGACCTCCTGACCTCAAGTGATTCACCTGCCTCAGGGCTCCCAAAGTGCTGAGATTACAGGCATGAGTCACCGCACCCAGCCGGGAAGTCAGACATTTTTAAAGCACAGGATACATATGAGCAAAGCTAGGCTTTCTCCCCATCCCAAATCTCTTAGCAGATTTGGGATGGGAAGAAACCAGTCAGATCCAAGAGTAAGAGACAAGAAGCCAGAGCAGGGCTGAGACGATGGAGAGAAAGAGACAAAGGGGATACTGACGGGGCAGGAAAGGGACGTGTTCATCGGGGTCGCCTGTGTCCTGATCATTGTGCGAGGCGCTTTTCATCCATTTTTCCACCTTGTCATCAGAGAGATCCTGTGAAGCAGGTCTACAACCCCCATTTTGCAAAGAGAAATGGAACCAGAGGGTAATTCACACTCAGCTGCAGATCTTCTCACCTGCGAATTCAATCTGAACACTTTAAGATCAAAGTGTGGGAACACCACCAGGTGGCGAAAGACAGCAAGACACAAAAGCACAAGAGGCAGGTTTGGGGAAAAGAGACAAAGATCTGGGAGGTTACCATTTCTAAGGGCACGAGAAGGGATGTCGTTACCAGGGAAGAGAGCTTCCCTTGAAGGGCCTGGAGATGGATACCTGGGGGACCCCAATAATTTAGGTTTGAGAGCAGCCAATGGAGACAAGAGAGGAGGGGGAGGACGCCAAGGGAGGAGGGGGTTTCCATGTGTGAGTGGGCAGTGGCCCCCGTGACACAGGACAGAGGAAGGAAACAAAGACCCGCCAATGCAGCAGACCCTCTGCGTGCAGAGGCCGTCTGAGCGCCGTGTGCAGCTAAGCACATTTCTGCAAAGCCAGGGGCCTCCAGAAGGGACCTCTGAGGGTGTGAACACTTATTTGAATGTATGAATCTTAATGCCACTTTGGGAGGCCGCGGTGGGTGGATCACCCGCCAGGCAGGCAGTTCGAGACCATCCTGGCCAACATGGTGAAACCCCATCTCTACTAAAAACACAAAAATTAGCCGGGCATGGTGGTGGGTGCCTGTAATCCCAGCTACTCGGGAGGCTGAGAGAGGAGAATTGCTTGAACCCGGGAGGCGAAGCTTGCAGTGAGTCGAGGTTGTGCCACTGCACCCCAGCCTCGGCGACAGAGCGAGACTCCGTCTCAAAACAAAAACAAAAACAAAAAAAACCTTAATGCATATGTTAAAAAAGCCACCACCAGCCTCAACTGCACAAGGCCTCCTTCTCGCCTTGCTCAGCCGTTCGTTACCCAGACTTAAGCTTGGTGCACCTCCCTTTCCTGGATGTCCCTTTGCAGCTTCAGTGACAACCTGCCCATGAGGATGCTGTGCCCACATGTCGCCTCCTCCCCATGCCCTGTGAGGAACACAGCACCCACCGTGAGTTGGTGATTGGTCCCCAGCATGTACTTCTGCTCCCGGCCGGGGGCATCCCTGTTGATGTGGCCCACCACGAAGACTGAGGCAGGGAGGCGGATGGACGGGCTGGCCAGGACGCTCCCCCAGAGGGCGGTGTAAAACACCTCTTTGCCAACCACCAGCGACAGTCTCAGGAGCAGAGCATCCGTTCTGTTGATGAGAGAGGATAGGGTTCAAGGGCTCGCCCCATCTTCCCGAGTCCCACTGCACACTGCTCTGCGAATGCTGCATGAAGAACCACAGCGGATTCGCCTGGCTGGGGAAGCCCCACCTTCCTCATCGCCGGGAGCCGCTGCCATCTCTCACCCTGCTGTGTGTGTCCACCTGCTGGCTGTCACACTGACCCTGGATTTGCCAAAACCAATGTCACTAGGCAGCGCGGTGTCTTGGCCAATGGAAAGTGGCTAAGCAGTCGTGCGTGGCAGGGCAGAGACCCATCTCCACCCTGGCCGTGCCACGGATGCCTAGGTGCTCACGGAAGGGAGGTTCCACCATAAGAGGGATAGGCAGGTCAGCCACTTCACAGAAAAGCGGAAGGAGCCATTGGTGTATCAAAAACAAGCATATGCTGAGGAGACTGATCAAAGACTTAAGCAATTAGATGCCACCAACTTGAGCACAGCCAAAAATGTGCCAAGTGACATCTGCCTTTAGAAATGCTAGGGGCAAATCTGCCTGGGGCCTCCCACGACCCTGCAAATTCCATCAGCCTGGAGTGGTGTTTCCTTTCAGTCTGCCCACAGCACCTGCATGTGCTGACTCCCGCTCCCAGGGGCTCTTGTGCTGAGGCCGGGCATTTGTTCGCCTCTTATCTTTATCTAGGTCTCCCGTGATACAAAGTCAGCACCTTCTCATGCATCCTTTTAAGAGAAGCAGCGTCACCAGTGGATCAGGGCTCGTTTTTCCCCTGACGCTGACCAAGGCCAGGCCCATGTCTGTTCGGTGGTGTCCCTGCAGCTGACTGCGGCCCTTTCCCTGTCCTCAGTGCACACAATCTGCAGGCTGGGTGACAGCATCTACCAGTAAAACAGCAGAGGCACATTCCCCCTAAGGGATATCACCCCACGAAGGATCTGACTCATTACCTGAAAGGATTCAGTTTCTCACATGCTTCCTATCTGCAAAGACCACAAAAAACAATCAGAAAAACCAACCCGGTGGAATGTGTTGGTTCACAGAGCTTGCCAGAGTTGGCCCTCCCGTGTCCAGATCCTGGTTGTGATGCCTCCTAGATGCAGGACCTAGGACCAGTTTAACATCTGTGCACGCCCGTGCTCAGCTAAAAGACAGGGGAAGGAGCCTCGACCTCGTGGAGATGTTGTGAGAATGAAGTGAGAGTCCCCTCAAAAAAAAAAAAAAAAAAAACAAAAAAAACTGTTTGGCTGGGCGTGGTGGCTCATGCCTGTAATCCCAGCACTCGGGGAGGCTGAGGCGGGTGGATCACCTGAGGTCAGGAGTTTGAGACCAGCCTGGACAACATGGTGAAACCCCATCTCTATTAAAAATGCAAAAATTAGCCAGGCATGATGGCAGGTGCCTATAATCCCAGCTACTGGGGAGGCTGAGGCAGGAGAATTGCTTGAAGCCGGGAGGCGGAGTTTGCAGTGAGCCGAGAGGCCGTCACTGCACTCCAGCCTGGGCAACAGAGTGAGACTCTGTCTCAAAAAAAAAAAAGAAAAGAAAAAAAGAAAAAAAAAAAACTCAACCCAGAAGAACAGACCTAATGCTTGGGCCATGCCGCCTGCAATTACTACTAGGTCCACTCTGTTTGCTGTCACAGCCCCAGTGCCTATTTGAGCAAGTGACTCCAGGTTGGCACTCGAAAAACCCCTCGGTTAATTTTTTTGTATTTCCTTCAAAAATATCTACCATCGCGTTATATTAAAAGTACATTTTGTTCTCCTTAAAATTAGTCTGAACTTCCTGTAAAATATTGCAGGAAATAATGCATGGTACCGTCTTCTTAGAAAAAATAAAAATGAAGAGACATAAGTAATGGCTAAGTGTATAGAAGAAGTAGGCAGGGCGATTTAATGGCTGAGGTTATTGATTGGTCTTCTATTAAAGGCTGAGTAAACAAATAGAGCTTGTCTTTGCCTAGCTCTGAAATCATCACAAACACTATAATGCACACATCGTGGTGTCACAGTCCCCCTTTAATTAGAACTGCATATTCCCAAAGTATGTTCCATGGAACACTGGCCACTAGAGATGTTCCACAGAAGAGGGGTTCCACCCTCAAAAAGTATGGGAAACGCTGCCTATGTTGTCTCTTCAATATTCTGAAAACTGGCTACTAGCTTTCTATTAAAGAAATAATTTTTTTTTTTTTTTTGAGGCAGGGTGTTACTCTGTCACCCAGGCTGGAGTGCAGTGGCATGAACACAGCTCACTGCAGCCCTGACCTCCTGGGCTCAATCAATTTTCCTGCCTCAGCCTCTGAGTAGCTGGGACTACACACCCATGCTGCCACACTGGGCTAATTTTTGCATTTTATATGTAGACAGAGTTTCACCATGTTGCCCAGGCTGGTCTTGAACTTTTGGCTTCAAGTGGTCCACCCTGCATGGCCTCTCAGTGCTGGGACTACAGGTGTGAGCCACTGTGCCCAGCCAGCTTTGTTTTTTAAGTCTCATTTTATTCTAAAAAAAATGGATGCATACTAACAATTTAAATGACATCATAGTAGAAACAACAGCAACTATGACAAACCTTTGGTATGAGAGAGCAAAATAAACGGGGTTAAAAACGAAATAACTTCCTACTCAACAAGAGTTACTATGATCATCTCGGTTGTTAAATTCCAATATTAGTGTGCAGTTTACAGTCCAGAACTCTAAACTTTTTTTTTTTTGAGACGGAGTTTCACTCTTGTTGCCCAGGCTGGAGTGCAATGGCACGATCTTGGCTCACTGCAACCTCTGCCTCCCAGGTTCAAGTGATTCTCCTGGCTCAGCCTCCTGAGTATCTGGGATTACAGGCAGCCGCCACCATGCCTGGCTAATTTTTGTATTTTTTTTTTGGTAGATACGGGGTTTCACCATGTTGGCCAAGCTGGTCTTGAACACCTGAGCTCAGGTAACCCCCCGCCTCGGCCTCCCAAAGTGCTGGAATTACAGGCATGAGCCACCATGCCCCACTGGGAACCCTAAACTTTTAATTCAAAACCAACAAACGGGCCAGGCACAGTGGCTGACACCTGTAATCCCAGCACTTTGGGAGGCCAAGGCAGGTGGATCATTTGAGCCCAGGAGTTCAAGATCAGCCTGGCCAACATGGTAAAACCCCGTCTCTACTAAAAATACAAAATTAGCTGGGCATGGTGGTTCGCACCTGTAATCCCAGCTTCTCGTGAGGCTGAGGCAGGAGAATTGCTTGAACCCAGGAGGTGGAGGCTGCAGGGTGCCAAGATTGCACCGCTGCACTCCAGCCTGGGCAACAGAGTGAGACTCCATCTCAAAAAACAAAACAAAAACAAACAAAAAACCAACAAACATTAAAAAAAAAAACCCAACTTCCAAACCCCAAGTATTTCCATCCTTCCTAACTCATCCCAGCTTATGCTCTCTCATGCCTCCTGCAAACGCAGCTCCTTCAAATGACACTGGCATGCTCCACTCCACAACTGAGAGCAGGTGAGTGGCATGGGCCGGGCACCGCAAATCCCAAGCACTCCACAACTTTGGTTCTGCAGCTGCTTGCCAAAAGGACAACCATGGAAAGCCAAGCTGTCACAAGACAGCACCGCTTTGGTACAATCATCTGAAACTGAAGAGGCAGGGCAGTGACAACAGCACCCTGTACTGTAAACTGCAGGTCAGAAACAGCGCTAAAGAGGGGGCAAAAAAAAAGCCTCGAACCAGCACAGATCATGATCACAGTGCCTGAAACCAACCAAAAGAAATGTTGGTGCTGGGTGCAGTGGCTCACGCCTGTAATCCCAGCACTTTGGGAGGCTGAGGCAGGTGGATCACTTGAGGCCAGGAGTTCAAGACCAGCCTGGCCAACATGGTGAAACTCCGTCTCTACTAAAAATACAAAAATTAGCCAGGTGTCATGGTGCATGCCTGTAGTCCCAGCTACTCGGGAGGCTGAGGGAGGAGAATCGCTTGTACCCGGGAGGTGGAGGTTGCAGTGAGCCAAGATTGCGCCACTGCACTCCAGCCTGGGCGACAGAGCGAGACTGTCTCAAAAAAAAAAAAAAAATAGAAATGTCAGCCAAAAGGGGTGGCTCATGCCTGTAATCTCAGTGCTTTGGAAGGCTGAGGCCGGAGGATCGTTTTATCCTTGGAGGTTGAGACTGCAGTGAGCTATAATCCTGCCACTGTACTCCAGCCTGGGTACACAGCAAGACCCTGGAATTCAATGTGATCATGTGGGTCATGCACGTCGCAAGTGCTCAGTAAAGGGTCCATTTGTTTCCTCCACGATAGGGGCCCTAAGAGGGTACGTCTTCCCCTCTTCATATGGTGACGCTGTGGGTAACTCTTTAATGGGACAGGACATCATGGAAACTCTGTACTATGGCCTCCCTTATTAATGAGCTCCAAAAGAAAAGAAATGTCAATAAATATTTTTCAACTCTTTAAGCCAGGGTTTCTGAACGTCCACCCCACTGACATCTGGGACCAGGTAAGTCTTTGTTGTCGGGGCACCTGTGTGCATTGTAAAATGTTCAGCAGCTCCTGGACTCTACCCACTAAATATCAGTAGCACCCTCCCCACCCCCAGTTGTGACAGCCAAAACTGTCTCCAGATATTGTCAAATGTACCCTGAGAGGCAAAATTACTACTACATTGAAAATTACTGATTTAAATGGAAATATCTGGTGAGCTAGTTGTTGCCTTCTTACAAACCATTTAAAACATTCACCTCTCCTCATCTCCTGAGAAGAAGAGTTTAGTGCTTTCCCTGTTCTAATCTTGTTTTCTTAGTACAGCAAAACACAGCTATGTAGCTATTTCATGGGCACTTAAAAAAAAAAAAAAAGGATTTCTGACCAGTCATAGGTTATCTGCAGACCCCAAAGGGTTAGAAAGCCAGGGTGGATAATAAGTTCTAACAGGGGCCAAAAGTTTCATTCCTTATGGTTCACTAAAAAGCACACACCAGGGACAGCCTCCACCTACATGAAACCTGTGAGTCATCCCAGCCTTCACCAGCTCAACCTAACTCACCACTTTGCAATTTCTACCCACGTGCTCATCATGACCCCCCCCACTGCACCCTCCCTTTCTGCTCTCTGCACATTTGTTGGGGTGTTTCACTCAATTCCCAAGCACTTTTTTTCTTTTTTGAGATGGAGTCTTGCTCTGTTGCCCAGGCTAGAGTGCAGTGGTGCGATCTTGGCTCACTGCAACCTCCACCTCCGAGGTTCAAGTGATTCTTCTGCCTCAGTCTTCCAAATAGCTGGGATTACAGGTGCCTGTCACCACACCTGGCTACCCAAGCACTTCTGGGAACAGTTACCAAACCGTCTCAGACTGAAATGGATATAGCAACCAAAAAATCTTGTACAGTCACTTCAATTACTGTGGCTGCAACACACTGGCTCAGAGATTATTGTATAACCTTTCACCTGCATCCACCTTGGAGAGCTGATAACTAATCACTTCTGGGTGCCACACTGCATTTGGTTTTCTGTCACAGCTAAATAGATTCGGTGATTCATGAAGCTTTACTTGGCTCTTGGTTCAATGTCAAGAAATCACAATATTCAGAAAAAAAATCAATGTTAAGCAACTTTAGCAACTGTTCAAATGAACCTTTATTTATCAACTAAGAAAACAAAAACACTCCAACTATTTACACTTCTAGTGTGATTCACACAGATTTAAAAGATCACAGTAAGCTTTAGGGAACTAATGTGTTCATCTGTCCAATGATGGAAAAATCATGTAGGATGTATACTCACATATCTGTCATCAGAACACAAACACAGCAGAACTTCTAGAAAGGGCCTGGGATTAGGAGTCCATTGGCATGGAGTCTGGCAATGTCCTCCAGCTGCCTCCTATGTGACCTGGACCACTCGTTAACTCAACACACACTTACCGAGTCTCACCGTGTACCAGCCACAGGGCCTGGCGCTGGGCTTAAAACCGCAACGAGACAGATTCTGCCTCCTAAGGTAGAAACTGTAAAGGTGGATTCTCCTTTGGGAAATGGAGAGCCAACACCTGGTCTATGTGAGAGCTTGAAATGGTTAAAGTGCAATGTTTTAGTTACATCTGTCAAGTCCTGATATAGAGCTCACGAAATGCACCCTTGGCCACTTCCTAACTAACCCTTCAAACCATTCTGATTACTTGGTTTACTTAAGGCTGGGGGAGCCGTGCAAATGGACCTTGGATTGATTCCTGGGTTAGACTCCAGCCTCCTGCACCCCTCAGTCACAGCTGACACCACAGGAAAGGGTGACCTGACTAGGGCCTCCAGCACAGGGTAATATGAGCAGCGCGTTGTGTAATCACATGGCAGCTTTTACAAGCACAAAAGTCACCAGTGACTGAACATGGGCTCTTAAAACAGGTCCCATTAACAGAGGTGAATCACTGTGGCATCTCTCAGAAGAGTTAATAAGCTGGAAGTGAGTTCTTACTTTATACTTCTCCGGAAACAAAGGTCACTGTGTATACTCAACAGTCTGGTTTTTGTTTGTTTGTTTGTTTTTTTCTGAGACGTAGTCTTACTCTGTCACCCAGGCTGGAGTGCAGTGGTGCAATCTCGGCTCGCTGCAACCTTCACCTCGCAGGCTCAAGCTATTCCCCTGCCTCAGCCTCCCAAGTAGCTGGGATTACAGGCGCACACCACCATGTCCGGCTAATTTTTTTGTATTTTTAGTAGATATGGGGTTTCACCATGTTGGCCAGGCTGGTCTTGAACTCCTGACCTCAAGTGATCCACCTGCTCTGGCCTCCCAAAGTGCTGGGATTACAGGTGTGAGCCACCGTGCCCGGCCATACTCAATAGTCGGAACAGATTCACACTTTCTCCCATTCCTAAGCAGTGACCACACACACACACACACACAAAGCTACATGAACTTTTGTGCATATGAGTGCTATAGATTTCTCCAAGGTGCTACTGAAACCTGTCAAGATATTCTGCTTCACATCACACTAAATTGCCTTCTCAAGCCCTGCCCTGGCTTTGCTTTTTAATTTAGAAGCAGCCTAGTTTAATGGAAAGAAGAAGGACTTTAGAATCTGATATGAGCCGTGTGTGGTGGCTCACGCCTGTAATCCCAGCACTTTGGGAGGCTGAGGTGGGCGGATCACTTGAGGCCAGGAGTTTGAGACCAGCCTGGCCGCCAGAGGGAAACCCCATCTCTACTAAAAATACAAAAATTAGCTGGGTGTGGTGGCACGAGCCTGTAATCTTGGCTACTTGGGAGGCTGCGGCGGGAGAATCACTTGAACCCAGGAGGCGGAGGTTGTAGTGAGCCGAGATCGCACCACTGCACTCCAGCCTGGGTGATAGAACAAGACTCTGTCTCAAAAAAAAAAAAAAAAAAAAGAATCCAATAGATACAGTGGAATAGAATCCCAGCTGTGGGGCTCACTGACTGTGCGACTGGGAAACCTTCTTACCCTCTGACCCTCACCTGTAAATGGAGGTAACTCCTGGAGCAGAGGAATTCATTACACAATGTGATCATGTGTGTAATGCACGCTGCAAGTGCCCAGGAAAGGGTCCCTTCATTTCCTCCACACTAGGCGCCCTAAGAGGGTATGTCTTCCCTCCACACATGGTGACTCTGTGGGTAACTCCGTAACGGGACAGGACATCATGGGAACCCTGCACTATGGTCTCCCTTATTAATGAGCTACATTTCTCTCCGCCTAAAGGATCTCATCTCTCCGGGCTCGGGACTTCCCCTTTGGTAAAGAGACAAGAGAGATTCCCGGGAGGAATTTGAAATCACAACCACCAAGGAAATGTGAAAGAGCAACCCGACCTCCACACCTACTGCTGCTTCCCATGTCTCTGCACTTCCTTCCCCGTGTCTTTTTTTTTTTTTTCGAGACAGAGTCTCTGTTGTCCAGGCTGGAGTGCAGTGGTGCGATCTCGGCTCACTGCAAGCTCCGCCTCCCAGGTTCACGCCATTCTCCTGCCTCAGCCTCCCGAGTAGCTGGGACTACAGACGCCCGCCACCATGCCCGGCTAAATTTTTTTATTTTTAGTAGAGGCAGGGTTTCATCGTGTTAGCCAGGATGGTCTCCATCTCCTGACCTTGTGATCCACCCACCTTGGCCTTCCAAAGTGCTGGGATTACAGGCGTGAGCCACTGCGCCCGGCCCCCTCCCCGCGTCTTATAAAGCAGTGGAGTAAACACAGCCTGGACAAGACGCCCACGCACCTGTCGGAGATCTCGGAGCCCTCTTCAAGGCCGGGCAGCAGGCCCACGATGAAGGCCTGCAGACTGGGCAGGAGCAGCTTCTGCAGTGGGAGGAAGTACTTCTCGTACAGGGTGAGCAGCACCGGCCTCACCGACACCGCCGCGTGTGCCAGGAGAGGAAATAACCCGCAGCTTCGAGAAAGAACGAGAGGGAGCGGGGCAGAAATAAGATACCCAGTCAGAAGTCCCAGGTGACAAGCCAGCCGAGGGGAGTTTTCACAAGCAAACAGCTGGCCATTTAAACTGCTGGTTTCGATGTGTGGGTATGACATGAGATGGTCACAAAACACTGTTACGTAACAAGCCAGCAATGAAGCTGTCCGCACGTTCAGATGCTAAAGTTCCCTTATAGCAAAGTCAAAATGGGGTGCTGGAGAGGATGTGGAGAAATAGGAACACTTTCACACTGTTGGTGGGACTGTTAACTAGTTCAACCATTGTGGAAGTCAGTGTGGCGATTCCTCAAGGATCTAGAACTAGAAATACCATTTGACCCAGCCATCCCGTTACTGGGTATATACCCAAAGGATTATAAATCAAACTGCTATAAAGACACATCCACACGTATATTTATTGCAACACTAGTCACAATAGCAAAGACTTGGAACCAACCCAAATGTCCATCGATGATAGACTGGATTAAGAAAATGTGGCACATATACACCATGGAATACTATGTAGCCATAAAAAAGGATGAGTTCATGTCCTTTGTAGGGACATGGATGAAGCTGGAAACCATCATTCTCAGCAAACTATCGCAAGGACAAAAAACCAAACATGGCATGTTCTCACTCATAGGTGGGGATTGAACAATGAGAACACTTGGACACAGGAAGGGGAACATCACACACTGGGGCCTGTCATGGGGTCGGGGGAGTGGGGAGGGATAGCACTAGGAGATACACCTAATGTAAATGACGAGTTAATGGGTGCAGCACACCAACATGGCACATGTATACATGTGTGACAAACCTGCACGTTGTGCATATGTACCCTAGAACTTAAATTTAAAAAAAAAAAGAAAGAAAGCAAAGTTAGGACGGATAGACTCCAGAAGGCGCCCAGTGACGTCTCCTGGTGATGGCTTTATGATAAACTGTTGCACACACAGCCCTACGCTTATTTTGCCTGTTTGTCATTTTCTCATCTTGTGAGCTGAAATACCGGTTACTTGGGTAATAAAAAGGAACACAGCAGAGAAGCAATCGCACCTGTACAGAAACAAGTCCTTGGCCAGCCATTTGGTCCCCACGATTTTAAAGATAATCTCGTAGGTTTCCAGAGCTTTTAAGTGGACACCACTGGGCAGGGCAGGGTGCAAACACTGAGCTAATCTTTTGCTGATGAGGAGCCGTCTTGGCAACAAGGAGTACCTCAGGTTACTCTGAAGAGCCTGTCAAACAAGACAAAAAAAACACATGAGGAAGAAGGCAGCGATATTTACAATGGAGAGTGGATCTGCTGAAGCCAGAGAGACTGCAGCCATGTCCCAGTGTGGCTGTAAGAAAGAGACATACACAACAAAGGGGCAGAGGGACTGCATGGCGAGAGTCCACAGCAGCTCTGGCAGCGCTGGAGATGAGGCAGGCACAAGGACTTTCTTAGTAGGTGGCCAGCTTCTCGGTCACACCTCTGAGCCCGTGATGGGTGAGGGCCGTGTGCTTCTCCATCTCAGGAAGCCATGAGTAGGGGCTCACTCAGAAGATATGGATTGGGATTAAAGCCTTCCAGGCTGTGACGCCTGACATTTCTACCAGTTGGAGATGGTGCTGGGAGGAACCCGTGTTCTCCAGGAGGAAAACAGCACCACCCCACTGGGCTGGAGCAATGGTAGTCCCAAGCTAGGCTTCCATAAGCAGGATACACGACACGTCTGCGGGAAAGCATCCCAGAGTGCTTGCTGTACCCGAGAAGCAAGGTCGAGAGTGTGAACAGATCGATGCTGTCCTTCGTGGCACAGAGTAACCATGGGCAGAACTTTGTGCGTGGGAGGCCCCTCATGGCTTAATCTTTTTTTTTCTTTTTTTTTTTTGTGAGATGCAGTCTTGCTCTGTCACCCAGGCTGGAATGCAGTGGCGCAATCTCAGCTCACTGCAACCTCTGCCTCCCAGGTTCAAGCGATTCTCCTGCCTCAGCCTCCCAAGTAGCTGGGACTACAGGTGCCCGCCACCATGCCTGACTAATTTTTTGTATTTTTAGTAGAGAAAGGGTTTCACCGCGTTAGCCAGGATGGTCTCAATCTCCTGACCTTGTGATCCACCCGCCTCGGCCTCCCAAAGTGCTAAAATTACAGATGTGATCCACTGCGCCTGGCCGGCTTAATCTTATAACACAGTGTCTGATGTTATCAGGGAATGATCTGCATAAGTAGTTCATTTGCTCACACAAATATTTACTGAAGGCCTACAGGGTAAAAGTTCACGCTTCTTTTTTTTTTTTTTTTGAGACGGAGTCTTGCTCTGTTGCCCAGGCCGGAGTGCAATGGCATGATCTTGGCTCACTGCAACCTCCACCTCCTGTACCTCCTGGGTTCAAGCGATTCTCCTTCCTCAGCCTCCTGAGTAGCTGGGATTACAGGCACACGCCACCACATCCAGCTAATTTTTTGTATTTTTAGTAGAGATGGGGTTTCACCATGTTGGCCAGACTGGTCTCGAACTCCTGACCTCAAGGGATCCACCCGCCTCGGCCTCCCAAATTGTTGGGATTACAGCCGTGAGCCACTGCATCTGGCCAAGTTCACGTTTCTTAAAAGGTCTCCCAAGCACGGCTCCAGCCTTCCTTTCACTGCCCCTTGCCTAAATGCCCTTCCGGCCACCTTGCTAACTCTTCCTCACGTGTGATTTAGCTCAGTGCCCCCATCTCAGGGAGGCAGAACAGGCCTTCCCTCTACAGTGCGAGGGCAGGGACTATCTCACTCTTCTCTGCTGTCTCCAGCACCCTGCACAGTGCCTAGAACAAAGCGGGCAGTTGGGAAGAGCATCTAAGACATGTGCAATGCCAGCTGCATTCCATCCACATCAGAATCGTGGGCCCTCAGCCTCATGACCACAGGGCCATGACAACTTTCCTCTTGTACGCAAACACTACGATCCCACCTCTAAAGCACACTCAGGTTATGCAGGACATGAAAGGAAGACAAGGAAAACAAGAATATTTTTCATCAGATATCTGTGGTCTAAGTGAATTCTCAAATTCAATAAAATGACATCTTTAAAAAAAATCAGATATGGCCAGGTGCAGTGGCTCACACCTATAATCCTGGCACTTTGGGAGGCAGAGGTGGGTGGATCACAAGGTCAGGAGTTCAAGACCAACCTGGCCAACATGATGAAACCCTGTCTCTACTAAAGACACAAAAAATTAGCCGGGCATGGTGGCGCGTGCCTATAATCCCAGCTACTCAGGAGGCTAAGGCAGGAGAATCACTTGAACCCAGGAGGCAGAGGTTGCAGTGAGCCAACTGCACTCTAGCCTGGGCGACAGGGTGAGACTCCATCTCATCTCAAAAAAAAAAAAAAATCAGATATAACTAGTGGTCATCAAAAAAGGGTTGCACTCTGTTACACAGGCTGGAGAGCAAGTGTGCGATCATGGTTCCATGCAGCTTCAACCTCCAGGTTCCAGTGATCCTCCCACCTTGGCCTCCTGAATAGCTGGGACTGCAGGTGCATGCCACCAAGCCTGGCTAATTTAAAAAGATTGTTCTGTAGAGACAAGGTCTCCCTACATTGCTCAGAATGATCAACTGGTCTCAGACTCCTGGGCTCACGCAATCCTCCTGCCTCAGCCTCCCAAAATGCTGGGATTATGGGTGTGAGCCACTGCGCCTAGCCCTTAAAACATCATTTATGAAGAATGTGATACCTTAAAACAAAGGGAATGCTAATAAAATAATGTGAAAAAATGTGCTTATGTTCCAAAAAGGAAAAAAAAAAAAAGAACAGAGGAGAGGCCACTTAACTTCCACACTGTCACAAAGGATGAAAACAGACTGACGGTAGCAGCAGAGAAGGAATGAACGTGGATAATGGATAGCAAACAGTACATTTGCTCATGGGCAATTTCAAACACATAGAACGGTCAGGCAGCCAACATCCAGCTTCACCACCAGCAATGCCCAGCCAGCCCGCAGAAAACATTTCCACGACTCCCATGGCTTACTGATCACAGGCTAACAAGCTTTCTCCATGGATTCAAGAGCAGGAGAGCTAAAAGCTGTCTTGACCTGTACCATTATTTTTGTCAAGGCAGAGTTTTCTCTTTTTAACACTACCAAATCTCATTTTTGCTCATTATACTCTAAGACTTCTGCTATTTGGGACAAAAAAGATGTTAAGTACTTCCCATGGGGAGCATCTGGGATTCCTAAGAGGTTCCCTCAGTCTGTGCACACAGCAGGATCCCTTTCTTCTGCTCTTTTGAGTATAGGCACGGCAACGTGACATACTTGGGGCCAACAAGATGAATAGAATTATGGGAGTCACTTCTGGCACAGATCTTCAAAGCCAACTCATAGCTTATCACTTCTCTTTTCCCTGCCTCTAAGATTATGGAAACACAGGTTGAGATAAAGCCCCTGAGAAATTTCAGAAAGCAGAAACTACTTTCTGATCCAGTAAGGCAGAAATAAACCATGTTGTAAAAGTCACCATGATTTGAGGATTGTTTGTTACTGTGCATAACTTTCCCTATCCTGACTGATAGATCTCTTTTCATATGAACGCAATTGCAAGGAACCACAACCACTCATTTCAAATTAATAGAACTGATTGCTATTTTTTCTCATTTACATGTGTTACCTCACTTCATTTAATGTGAAAAAGACATAGAAAAAGACACATAGCCCAGAACTGAGGCTGTAACCAGTAAAAGTGGAATGAACTTGTTCACTGTATGTTGACCATGTTTATCATGTTTTGATTTTTTGAGACAGGGTCTCACTCTGTCACCCAGACTGGAATGCAGTGGTGTGATTGCAACTCACTGCAACCTCTAACTCCCAGGCTTAAGCAATCCTCCCACCTCAGTCTCCTGAGTAGCCAGGGTTATAGGCGTGCACCACCACACCCTGCTGATTTTTTTTTTGTTTTGGGGGGATTTTTTTTTTTTTTTTTTTTTTGAGCCAGAGTCTTGTTCTGTCACCAAGGCTGGAGTGCAGTGGTGCAATCTCAGCTCACTGCAACCTCCACCTCCCAGGTTCAAGTGATTCTCCCACCTCAGCCTCCCAAGTAGCTGGGATTACAGGCATGTGCCACCACACCTGGCTAATTTTTGTATTTTTTAGTAGAGACAAGTTGAGCCACATTGGCCAGGATGGTCTTGAACTCCTGGCCACAAGTGATCTACCTGCCTTGGCCTCCCAAAGTGCTGGGATTACAGGCATGAGCCATCATGCCCAGCATCTTTGGTATTTTTTCGTAGAGATGGGATTTTGCCATGTTGCTCAGGCTGGCCTCGAACCCCTGGGCTCAATTGATCCACCTGCACTGGCCTCCCAAAGTGCTGGGATTACAGGTGTCAGCCACTGTACCCAGCCCATGTGAATAATGTGAGCAAGGCCCATCTGAGACAGGCAACTGATTTCTGTTGAAGAAAAGGTGCACTAAAGGCAAACTCAGACTGCTTATCAAGAGAGACAAGCTGCAGTTGTCTTCTTTAAAAATGCAGCAAGAAGGCTGGGTGCAGTGGCTCACGCCTGTAATCTCAGCACTTTGGGAGGCCAAGATGGGCAGATCGCCTGAGGTCAGGAGTTTGAGACCAGCCTGGCCAACATGATGAAACCCTGTCTCTACTAAAAATACAAAAATTAGCCAGGCGTGGTGGCACACGCCTGCAGTCCCAGCTACTCAGGAGGCTGAGGCAGGAGAATCACTGGAACCTGGGAGGTGGAGGTTGGAGAGAGTCGAGATTGTGCCACTGAACTCCAGCCTGAGTGACAGAGTGAGACTCTGTCTCAAAAAAAAAAAAAAAAAGAGAGAGAGAGAGAAATGCAGCAAAAGCAAAGGCAATGAACCAACAGGACTTAGAAAAATGAAGAGATATCCTTCCTTTGTGGTAAGAAAAATAAAATTAATATAACAGTGAAATATCATTTTCTTCACCCATCAGAGAGGTAAGCTTGACTCAAGCATACAGGTTCAAGCATAGAGCAGAGTGATCTAGAGATCATGAACAAAGTTAATCAAAACCAGGTCTAGATTTGGCCAGACAGAACTTGCTGGACTGCTCCTTGGAGCTGTCGTCACACAGAGATTGAGTGTTTATACACTCTACATGGAGCCTCGCACTTAACAAGTGCTTCAAAACTAAGGCTTAACAAAGCAATAAACAAAACTGAGGCTATTACTGATGCCTGGTCTAAATATGCAAGCTTGGGCACCAGAGCCACCAATTCCAGTTTCAGAATTTGCTGTTCGGGCAAATTACCTTTCTGGGCTGAAGTTTCATCTGTAAAAATGAGGACTGTGATACCTCACGAAGTTACAAGCATAAAGAGTTACCATGTATAAAGAATTTAGCATACTGCCCAGCACAAAGTAAGTAATCCACACACATGACCTCTTAGTATAATGACAAATTGAAAAATAAGCAGAATATTTAAAGATGGAGACTCCACTCTTTGTGCAGAAGCTCAGAGCTGTAGCCCAGTGGAGAAGGGAGAACCAGTTGCTTGGATCAGTGGTAAAGGCCACCATGGAGGTTCCCACTCGGGCTCCCCGCAATTCCACCTTACGAGACTTTTCCGTGATGCCCTTCAGTCTCACTGAAGGCCAGCACCAGACACAAGAGGGACAGCACATTTTTAGGGCAAACTTCTCTGGTGGATACTAATGGGGTGCAGGAAATGCTACCCCAAAATATGGTACCTGGGAAACTGAGAAAACAGCAGAAGCAGGAAGGATACTCTCACCTTCCTCCCTGTGGCAGCTCATAAAGCCTAGGCAGCTCATAAAGCCTAGGGAGATCAAGATCTCCCTCCCTTCTCCCCTGAACGCCCTGTGACAGGCGTCCTGCCCTATACCCAGAGGGAAGGAATGTCTCCCAGAGGCACCAAGAAGAACCTGAACAAACAGGCCTTGCTAAATTCCCCCCGGGGTATTCCTGAATCATCACAGCCCGCATCCAGTCATTCTACGCGACTGTCACACTTCATCAAACCCAAGCACAGAGACACAGATTGGAATCCCTGTTTCTCCAAGTCTTCATTTCTGAAGGCTCTCATGCCATGTAAAACTTAATTTGCATGCTTTTCTCTCGTTAATCTCTCTTTCGTTATAGGGGTCTCAGCCATGAACCTCGCAATGGATGAGGAAAAGATATTACTTATTCACCCCTTCAACACTGTTCTTTACAATTGCTAATGCCCTGTACCCAAAGACAACACCGGTGCCCTCGTCCAAGTACAGGACTTAGGAAAGCTTCTTTCTTAGATAAAACAGTATGAATTTCCTTGTTCTAAAGAATGAAAGTGGGGCCGGGCATGGTGGCTCATGCCTGTAATCCCAGCACTTTGGGAGGCCAAGGTGGGCAGATCAGAGGTCAGGAGATCAAGACCATCCTGGCTAACACAGTGAAACCCCATCTCCACTAAAAAAATACAAAAAATTAGCCGGGCGTGGTGGCGGGCGCCTGTAGTCCCAGCTACTCGGGAGGCTGAGGCAGGAGAATGGTGTGAACCCAGGAGGTGGAGCTTGCAGTGAGCCGAGATCGTGCCACTGCACTCCAGCCTGGGCAACAGAGTGAGACTCCATTTCAAAAAAAAAAAAGAATGAAAGTGGCTGGGCATAGTGGCTCACACCTGTAATCCCAGCACTCTGAGAGGCCAAGAAGGACAGATCACTTGAGCCTAGGAATTGGAGACCAGCCTGGGCAACATGGCAAAAACCGGCCTCTACTAAAAAAATACAAAGAAATTAGCTGGGTGTGGTGGCACATGGCTATGGTCCTAGCTACCTGGGAGGCTGAGGTGGGAGGATCACCAGAGCCCAGGAGGTTGAGGCTGCAGTGAGCTGTGATCATGCCACTGTACTCCAGCCTGGGCGACTCTTGTCTCAAAAAAAAAAAAAAAGAATGAAAATTAGTTTTTGGTAGTTTTTTTTTTTTGACAGTGTCTTGCCCTGTCACCCACAGTGGAGTGCAGTGGTGTGATCTTGGCTCACTGCAGCCTCAATCTCCCAAGCCCAGGCAATTCTCCCTCCTCAGCTTCTCGAGTAGCTGGAACTACAGGCGTATACCACCACGCCTGGCTGATTTCTATATTTTTTGTAGAGATGGGGTTTCGCCATGTTGCCCAGGCTAGTCTCAAACTCCTGAGCTTAAGCAATCCACCCACCTCAGCCTCTCAAAGTGCTGAGATTATAGGCATGAGCCACCATGCCCAGCCAAGAATGAAAGTTATCCTAAGGAGTTTGAGACTAGCCTGGGCAATTCGGTAGGACTCCATCTGGAAGTTTCTGTTTGGGAGGATGAAAAGGTTCTGGAGATGGATGGCAGGATACACAATATGAATGTACTTAATACCACTGAACTGTGCCCTTAAAAATGGTTAGAATGGTCAACTTTAGGCCATGTGTATTTTACCACAATAGCATAAAGAGAAAAGAAATAATGCTGTTTCATGGCAATTGCTCTTGCTGGCTAAGGCTGTAAGAGCCATAAACTTTTTTTTTTTTTTTGAGACAGAGTCTTACTCTGTTGCCAGGCTGGAGTGCAGTGGTGTGATCTCGGCTCACTGCAACCTCCGCCTTCCGGGTTCAAGCAATTCTCCTGCCTCCGCCTCCCAAGTAGCCAGGATTACAGGCACGTGCCACCATGCCCGGCTAATTTTTGTATTTTTAGTAGAGACGAGGTTTCACTATGTTGGCCAGATTGGTCTCGAACTCCTGACCTCAAGTGATTCACCTGCCTTGGCCTCCCAAAGTGTTGGGATTACAGGCGTGAGCCACCTCGCCCAGCCTAGCCATGAATTCTTGAGTGACACTTGCACGCCAGCCCCTCCTGGACTGAACTGACCAGAGAAGAGTGGGACTCATTTCAGCAAACCCTGAGGCAGCCCAGGGATTTGGTGCAGCTCTCTTGAGAGTGAGCTTTCAATCTTTAATTACCACAATAACTACCTTCTAGGGCTTGCAAACTCCTGATTCCCTCTTCAGGGTGTATGTGTGGGTATGTGGGTTTTTTTCTGTTTTTTGTTTTTTTTTTTTTCTGACTTGTTTTTTAAAGTTCTAGTGGGGTATGTCTTATTCTCTGACAGCGTCTTCACCCTTCCCCCAACGACACTCTTCCGCTCCCATTTGGCAATGTCGCTGACATTATGACCCACTAGCCACGGCTAGGAAAACTCCAAGGTAAGAAGTATTTGGATCCCAAGAAAGAAGCCTTGCTCTCAAATTCCTTCTAACTCTCATCTAGGAGGAGAAGCAAGAGCTCCTGCCCTCATGGTCGGTCTTGGTGACTTTTCCTTCTCTGAGCAAAAACTGGGCCACATGTCACTGTCATCCCTCTCCCGGCAGGTCCAGGGCTGCCAAGACTGGAATTAGCACAAAACAGGTGTGCCACCCTCACACTACCTTTCTCATCTCCATCCTCCATCCAGGCTTTGCCAAGAATCTTCTCCAGCAAGAAAAGCTCAGCAAACACTTCCAGGACAGTTTCACTATCCAGAAACCCAAACTGGCTGGCCAGTAAGCTTAATATACGTATCATATGAGAAATATTCTTCTGCAACTATAGAATAAATATCACAGAGAAATAGATGAACTGAGGTGGGGCACAATGGCTCACGCCTGTAATCCCACACTTTAGGAGGCCGAGGCAGGTAGATCGCTTGAGGTCAGGAGTTTGATATCAGCCTGGGCAACATGGCGAAACCCTGTCCCTACTAAAAATACAAAAATTAGCCAGGCGTAGTAGCACAGGCCTGTAATCCCAGATACTTGGGAGACTGAGGTGGGAGGATCACTTGAACCCGGGAGGCAGAGGTTGCAGTGAGCTGAGATTGCGCCACTGCACTCCAGCCTGAGTGAGAGAGCGAGACTCCATCTCGAAAAGAAAAAAAAAAGAAAGAGATGAACTGGCCAGGAAAAATGGCCATGTTTTCAAAATCACTTTTAATTTAATTAATTTATTTATTTAGAGACAGAGTCTCACTCTGTCCCCCAACACTGGAGTGCAGTGGTGCAATCTCGGCTCACTGCAACCTCCGCCTCCTGGGTTCAAGTGATTCTCCTGCCTCAGCCTCCTGAGTGGCTGAGATTACAGGCATGTGCCACCATGCCTGGCTAATTTTTATTTTTTGTATTTTTATTAGAGACGGGGTTTCACCATTTTGGCCAGGCTGGTCTCGAATTCCTGACCTCAGGCAATCTGCCTGCCTCAGCCTCCCAAAGTGCTGGGATTACAGGTGTAAGCCACTGTGCCCAGCTGAAAATCATTTTTTTTTTTTTTTTTTGAGACGGAGTATCGCTCTGTCACCCAGGTTGGAGTGCAGTAGTGTGATCTTGGCTCACTGCAACCTCCACTTCCCAGGTTCCAGCGATTCTCCTGCCTCAGTCTCCCAGGTAGCTGGGACTACAGGTGCATGCCACCACGCCCAGCTAACTTTTGTATTTTTTAGTAGAGACAGGGTTTCACCATACTGGTCAGGCTGGTCTCAAACTCCTGACCTCGTGATCCACCTGTCTCAGCCTCCCAAAGTGCTGGGATTACAGGCGTGAGCCACTGTGCCTAACCCAAAATCCCATTTTTTTTTGAGACAGAGTCTCGCTCTGTCACCCAGGCTGGAGTGTAGTGGTGTGATCTCAGCTCACTGCAACCTCCACCTCCCGGGTTCTAGCGATTCTGCTGCCTCAGCCTCCAGAGTAGCTGGGACTACAGGCGTGCACCAGCACGCCCAGCTACGGGGTTTCACCATATTGGCCAGGCCGGTCTCGAACTCCTGACCTTGTGATCCACCGTCTTGGCCTCCCAAAGTGCTGGGATTACAGGTGTAAGCCACTGCACCCAGCCTTCAAAATCACTTTTTAAAGTGCTAAAAAAATTTAAAAAGGAGAAACTGATTAAACAGGAAATTAAACTTTCTTATTTATTTCACTCAGGAACTACACTGTTCTAAAAGCATTCCTTGAGCTATAATTAGGACATAATTGTAACATTTTTGACCTCATTATATGCATAGGCTCAGTAGGCTGACCTTAAAAGAAAATACTAAAATGTTAAGTATAAAGTATGTTTGAAAAAAAAAGATTCAAACTACATCCAAGCTTAATAGAAATCAGGAAGTGTCACTGTTGCTCCACCCAAGAAAATATCTTTGTTTCCTTTGACTTTACACAACCTGACAGTATGACAGTCCCCAGGACACGGCATGATTTAGAAGCATTCTGTGTAGGGAACACGATGAAAAATTCCAAAAGGCTACACATGGACACAAGTTAATATGCTTAAAAATGGTTAAGATGGTAAATTTTATGTTATATGTATTTTACCACAATTTGTTTATATGTATTTTACCACAATTTAAAATGCTTTAAAAAAGGAGTAATTTAACCATATGGGTGGGGAGTGGACAGAATTATGTTTCATTTTTAAAACGCTTTATTTAGCCCGTAAAATAAAAATGTTAAATGTTTCCTTTAAAAGTTCCTAGAAGAGACAGTCACCCTACTTTTGCACAGAGTACAATGCTGACTTCAGAATGCCAGATGTCTTTGTCTAGAAAGAAATGTAAGTCAGCCAATTTAAAAGCACGTCTCCCACCAAGCAAACGAGGAGTTGCATTTTTCACGGTGAAACACTGACATGTCTTCCTTCTGGAAGTCAGGCATCTTTGTAAGGGTGTTCTTTTCATGCCACTGAAAGGAAGCTGCACAGTGGCACAGTGAGTCAGGGAGGCCAGGTGACACAGGCTCAAACGCTCAGTGAAGCACCTGCCAGGGGGCACTGTTAGTGCCCTTTAGACAGGACGAAAATGGAACAGACCAGCACTTGGCCAGGACTTCCCAAGTGCTCATGGTGTGGCATTCCACCTTGACTGAAATGGCATGACCCGGTTGCTTTGCCAGCTTGAGGGAGTGGCGGTGGCAAGAGATAAGCTGGAGAAACAGGCAGAAGGCAAGGCTGCCGAGAGCCATCTCAGGGAGTCGGGGTTCCACAGGTAACCAGTGAGACCAGTTTTTGTTGAACTGGGAGAGCAGTGCTGCTATAACTCCTATGTAAACAAGGAGCTTCCTTCTCTGAAAGGTCACAGCTGAAATATCATTGTGTTGTATTTACCTAAGTCAGTTGAACCCTAACAGGGCCATGCACGTGATTAATCAGCTCTCAGCATGAGTTATCCACATACCCAAATCCCAGCTTCCAATAAAGCTGCTAGCAAGGAATGGGTCACTCAGGCTAACTCCATCTTCTGCATCAGGTAAGAAGACACATTAGAATATGCTTTTTTTTTCCTTTTAAAATTTTCTTAAAATTACCATGCTGCTTGAGTAGGAGTAGAACTGAAGGCTGGGTGTATCACCTACTAGAGATTTTAAAAGCATGCTCAGAAAAAAAAGAAGCAGGCCAGGCGCAGTGGCTTACACCTGTAATCCCAGCACTTTGGGAGGCCGAGGCAGGTGAATTGCTTCAGCCCAGGAGTTCAAGACCAGCAACATGGCAAAACCCTGTCTCTATAAAAAATACAAAAATTAGCTGGGCATGTGATGTGCACCTGTAGTCCCAGCTACTTGGGAGGCTGAGGCAGGAGGATCACTTGGAACTAGGAGGTCAAGGCTGTGGGCGAGCTACGATCGCACCTCTGCACTCCAGCCTGGGCAACAAAGTGAGACCCTGTCTCAAAAATAAAATAAAAAATAAAATAAATAGGCTGGGCACAGTGGCTTATGCCTATAATCCCAGCACTTTGGGAGGCAAAGGAAGGCGGATCACCTGAGGTTGGGAGTTCAAGACCAGCCTAGCCAACATAGTGAAACCCCATCTCTACTAAAAAAAAACAAAAATTAGCCAGATGTGGTAGTGGTCTCCTGTAATCCTAGCTACTCAGGAGGCTCAGGCAGGAGAATCACTTGAACCTGGGAGGCGGAGGTTGCAGTGAGCTGAGATGGTGCCACTGCACTCCAGCCTGGGCAACAGAGCAAAACTCTTGTCGAAAGCCAGGCCTTGGCTTCAGCAATGTCATTCTCCCCACAGACGATGAATGGGCGCTGGCCACAGTCAAGCACCCTCCCCCGGGAAGGGAGGGGAGAGGAGGGGAAGGGAGGGGAGGGGAGGGGCAGGACAGCCAGCTAACCCAGGCCAGGCCTTGGGGGAAGAGCACAGTGGGTGCTTGACTGTGGCTGGCACCCACTCACCGTCTGCTGGGGGAATGACATTGCTGAAGCCAAGGCCTGAGCCCTGGCACCTTGGCAGGTTCAGAAGCTCATTTTTATCAGTTTACCCAGAGGTGGCTCTGCTGTGGAGGGAATGTTTTGCTGGCCGCCGGTCGAGCTCCTAAGACGGGCCCCGAAAGTCAATGGGAGGGGAACTGTGACAGAGGCCAGGCTCTGAGTGGCAGGCCTGGGTCCGAGTCCGGGCTCCAGCTCTCATCTGAGCAAGCCTGTCACAAGTCACCTGATAGCTCTGAGGCTCTGCTTTCTCACCCATTATTTCTGAAACCTGGAATCCTCCAAAGTCAGCACCATTCAGCCCCTTTTACTGAAGAACGAGCTGGAGCTCAGAGGTCTGCCTGCAGCTTCCCAGGTGTGCAGAGTATTTCAGGTCCGCCAGCGCCCTGCAAAGCCCACACTCCGGGGGTGGGGGTGGAACATGTAGACATGTCAGGGGAGGCTGAGGAAGTGCTGTAGGTGACCAAAAATATACCATCACCTACTCATAAGCTGGTCGTGCAGGATAAACTCAAAAAGGAGCTGAAACATACAGGGTATTCATTCTATTTCCACTTCCCCAGTGTGTCAGGGTTAACACTGGATATGCGTACACATGTCCACACATGCAGGCACACAAATACATACATACATACTTCCCATACATATACACACACACACCCTCTACACATGCATACATGTACACACATGCACACACTCCACACATACACACTGCATACATATACACACATGCATACACACATCCCACACGTGTACACATACACAAGTCATGAGCAATAGGGCCTGTCAGCCACACAGGCTGCTCCCAATCTCTTAGTTAAGATGACTCAAGAATCCACATGCTAGATCAGAAAATTACTTCTTTTTTTTTTTGTGAGACGAAGTCTCGTTCTGTTGCCCAGGCTGGAGTGCAGTGGCGCAATCTTAGCTCACTGCAACCTCTGCCTCCTGGGTTCAAGAAATTCTCATGCCTCAGCCTCCCAAGTAGCTGGGATTACAGGCGCCCGCCACCACGCCCAGCTAATTTTTGTATTTTTAGTAGAAACAAGGTTTCACCACGTTGGCCAGGCTGGTCTCAAACTCCTGACCTCAAGTGATCCACCTGCCTTGGCCACCCAAAGTGCTGGGATTACAGGTGTGAGCCACCACGCCCGGCCCAGAAAATTACTTTTTAAAACACAAGGCAACAAACTCACCGCTGCCTCACAGCGGGTAATCTGCAGCACACATGTGCAAATGCTGCCCCTTATTTTTCCCCGTCAGAGTTTATTATGACACTTAGACTCAAAGCCACTCTGTCTTGCCACTAACGCCTACTTTCCCTGTCTTCCCATAGAGGAAGTTTAGGTAGCTGTGATGCTGTACAGTACCTTCCGCATTTCTAGACTTATATTTTATTCTTTTGCGATGGCACAGCACTTCCTCAGCCTTCCCTGACATTGTTACATGTTGCCCTCAACCCTGGAGTGTGGGCTTCACAAGGCGCTGGCCGACCTGAAATACTCGTCATACACCTGGGAAGCTGCAAGCAAGCCTTTGAACTCCAGTTTCTTCATCAGTAGAAGAGGCTGAGTGGCACTGAGTTTGGAGGATCCTAGGTTTGAAAAACAATGGTGGCAAGCATATAATAGGGGCTCACAAAGGAAACTGTTCTATTTGGGGGGTCTAAGAGCTAACAGTCTCAGAAGTGATGAAAAATGGCAGGAGGAGGTGAAGGCAGCTGAGTTCTGCAATAAACCACAGGAAAAGAAGGTAAGGATGTGGGGCCGACTCTCCCTTCAGAACACAGTCTACACCTTGAAATGTACATGATGCAGAGAACACTGCCATTCTTATGCATTTATCATCACAAACCAGAAAATCAAATAAAAGTAATCATACCATTAAAAATATAAAATAACATAGTATCGGGAGATGTTATTTTTCTAATTTTTAAACATATTTTATTGCACATACAAATGATCTGTTTAACAAACACCAAAGCTTATAGGGAAACCTGCTTGTTAAAGTCAGAGACAGAAGAAAAGGAAGAACGCCTTCGGGACACAGTCTTACTACAAATCCTCAACAGGTTTCAGTCCCCAAAGTTCTACTGGTAGAACTCAATATTCTTCAAAAGTCACACCCAGAACAGAACTGGCATGCTCTAATGAAATGAGATGTTAACTCCTCCTCCCCAGCGCCTTCTTCTAGAGAACTCCCAGAGGCCTTCCTGACCCTCAGCGCTACAGCAGATTGGGCGCAGAGTGGCTGTTCAGAGCTCCAGGCTCAACCTCCCACAGCGATCCTGTTCCCCGCAGCCCGCAGAGCCTCCCACACCTGAAGCGCACGTGGGCTGCCTGCTGGGTCAGCACTTGCTGCGTATGCCGGGCAGCCTGAGCACCAAGGAGGGGAACGCAGAGCCTCAGGCCGGCAGCGAAGCACACAGCTCTCCACGATAGCCTGTTCTGAATCCAGTCTGCGGTCTTCCTCCTAGTGCTTTTTCCTCCTGCTTCCCTGTCCCTGGAATAAGCTACCTGCACGGAAGCAGGAGACCTGTGAAAGAACCATCTCTCGGCAGCTGGGTGGGAAGGGGCCGCAACAGTGTATACAGGGGCTGGGCACGGTGGCTCATGCCTATGATCCCAGCACTCTGGGAGGCCGAGGTGGGTGGATCACTTGAGGTCAGGAGTTCAAGACCAGCCTGGGCAACATAGCGAAACCCGCCTCTACTAAAAATACAAAAATTAGGCCGGGCGTGGTGGCTCACACCTGTAATCGCAGCACTCTGGGAGACCAAGGCAGGTGGATCACCTGAGGTCGGGAGTTTGAGACCAGCCTGACCAACATGGTGAAATCCCATCTCTAATAAAAATACAAAAATTAGCCAGGTGTGGTGGTGCACATCTGTAATCCCAGCTACTTGGGAGGCTGAGGCAGGAGAATCACTTGAACCTGGGAGCCGGAGGTTGCAGTGAGCCAAGATCACGCCACTGCACTCCAGCCTGGACGACAGAGTATGACTCTGTCTCAAAAAAAGATAAAATAGAAAAAGCAAAAAACAAAAATTAACCAGGCGTGGTGGCACGCACCTGTAGTCCCAGCTACTCGGGAAGCTGAGGCAGGAGAATAGCTTGAACCTGGGAGGCAGAGGTTGCAGTGAGTTGAGACTGCACCACTGCACTCCAGCCTGGGCGACAGAGTGAGACGCCATCTAAAAAAAAAAAAAAAAGAAACCATGTACACAGGAAATGTGAAGATGGCATGAAAGCTGGGCTATCTCCAGATACATTCAAGCCCAAAGCTGACTCCTCTCTCCAAAAGGCAGCAGCTATACAACTCTGTCCCGGGCACTCAGAACAAAGAGGCAGAGTGCTGTGGCTGGCAGAGGCGGCAGGTGCTGGAAGCACACGACCCCCTCCAAAACACAACAAAGGTTCCGTAGTTGGAATGGTGCCTCCGCCATGGGGAGACAGAAGGTCCTCTGCAACTGCTCTGTAGGCGTCCTGCTCCCAGCCAGAAACCACTCCAACAGCTGCAAGACACTGCATCTTTTAAGGATGCACAAAATACCTTTACTGTCAACAGACAAGTACGTCCACGTCAGCCTGCAGAAGAAACAGGCTCTGGCTCTCGGGTTGAGGATGGTCCAGGGTTGTGAGCTCAGCTAGGACATGTGTGGCTGTAAAGAACAGACCATCAAGCCATACAGGTTTAAATGAAGCAATGTATTGCCTCACAAAACCAAAGGTCTACAGCAGTGGTTCTCAACTGGGGAAATTTTGCCCCCAGGGGACATTTGGCAATGTGTGGAAACATTTCTGGCTGTTACAACTTTGGGTGGAGGAGGGGGTGATACTGGCATCTACTGGACAGAAGTCAGGGAGGCCAGGATGGGAATAAGCATCCTACAGAGAGCTGGGCACAGTGGCGCGCACCTGTGATCCCAGCTACTCAGGAGGCGAAGGCGAGAGGATTGTGTGAGGCTGTAGTGAGCTATGACTGCATCTGTAAACAGCTCCTGCACTCTGGCCTGGGCAACATAGTGAGACCCTGCCTCTTAAACAAAAGAAAACATCCTACAGTGCACAGACCACCACCCACCCGCAGCCAGAATGTCTGCCATGCCACAGCATGCCAAGGCTGGGAAACCAGGGCTAAAGGAGCTCATTTCTGCATTTGGTTCCTGCAAGGGCTCAGTGACATCCCCAAAAGATCCAAGCATTCTGGTGCCTTACATGCTGTCAATGATGAATTGACTCTTCTTTTTTAGACAAGGTCTTGCTCTGTTGCCCAGGCTAGAGGACAGTTGTGCAAACATGGCTCACTGTGGCCTCAACCTTGTGGGCTCAAGCAATTCTCCTGCCTCAACCTCCCAACTAGCTGGGACCACAGGTACACACCGTCACACCTGGCTAACTTTAACTTTTTTTGTAGAGATGGGGTCTGGCTATGTTGCTCAGGCTGGTCTCAAACTCCTGGCCTCAAGCTGTCCTCCCGCCTCAGCCAAGTGCTGGGATTATAGATGTGAACCAGCACGCCCTGCCAGTGAATTGACTCTTAACCTATCTTTCCCTGTCGTGGCAGTGTGTGTTCCTTTTTGTCTCTTTGTATGAGAAAAAAACCTTTCCAGAAGCCACCCTGCAGCCTTCCCGCCATATCTCATTGGGCTAGAGCAGGTCATGTGCCCACCTCGAAATTAATCCCTGCCAAGGAAAGCAGGATTTTTAGGATGAAGTCCTAGAACAATAACATTTACTGCTGGGGCCCCCACCCTGCAGCGCATCACCACCTGATCCCCAAATATAACTGGGGTTCTCTATTGGCAAGAAAGAAGAGGGCAGAATGGTTATCGGTGGGTAACCAGTGCATCTGCCCCAATCTCAGAAATGGTGAGTCTGAACATGACCCCAGGTGCTCCAATTCCGGGCTCCTTCCTGCATTCCACAAATCGGAATTAGATTATCCTCCAACATATTTGCTTCCCAGGCACATCCTAGGCATTGGGAAAATCTAGCCTAAGTACAAGAATGACCCCCAAACACAAGAGTAATATATAAGGCAGAACTGTGATGCTTGGTAAAAAGCAATTCAATACTTTACATGTTGATCAGGTAATGAAATGACATGCCTTTCTTGCCATATAAAGATAAGTAGTTATTAAAGTTAGTAACCAAGGAATAAACTGATCCTTTATGACACAAGAAACAGAGGGAGGTCACAGGGTAGAGATGATGGTGAAACACTACAGACCCTTCCATTAAATGGAAGGTGAGTGCAGGCACTGGGCCCAGCCCACCCAAATCACGGCTCCCTTCTTCTTCAGTTAGGGCTGCAGCTGGGCCATGGCTGCCCAGTCTCCCTGGGAGGCATGGGTGGACATAACACGTGCCATCAGGACCTGGCTGGTTAAAACCTCAGTATGTGTGCTTCTCTGTGTCCTTCCCTTTTCCTGTGGGACAGAATGGCAATGAAAAGAGGAACTGTGAAAGCCACGTGTTCAAGAAGACAAGAGTCCTGGGCCGGGCGTGGTGGCTCATGCCTGTAATCCCAGCACTTTGGGAGGCTGAGGGGGGTGGATCACATGAGGTCAGGAGTTCATGACCAGCCTGGTCAACATGGTGAAACCCCGTCTCTACTAAAAATACAAAAATTAGCCGGGCGTGGTGGCACACGCCTGTAATCCCAGCTACTCGGGAGGCTGAGGCAGGAGAATTGCTTGAGCCTGGGAGACGGAGGTTGCAGTGAGCCAAGATCGTGCCACTGCACTCTAGCCTGACTGACAGAGCAAGACACTGTCTCAAAAAAAAAAAAAAGAAGACAGAGTCCTAGCTTGAGTTTCTGGAATGACCGTGTAGAAGAGAGCTGCCCACCCATCTGAATAACATGCTTAACTGATACATGAGTGAGGATAAACTTCAATTACATCGAGGACATTGATTTTGGACTTCTTTGTTATAGCAGCCAACATTACCGTGGTTAACACACTGATAGCAACATTGCTATTCAACACTGTTCCAGGAAATGCTAGCAAAATATTAGAAAAAAATACAAATCAGTATTGGTTGACGGTATACCTGTCTACCTGAGGAAAATAATCCCATTCACAATAGCAAAAACACATGTATAAAATACTTAATATACTTGAGGAACAGGAAGGTCTTATTTAAGAAGAACTCTTAAGGACATAAGTGAATACTTTTTTTTTTTTTTGAGACACAGTCTCACTCTGTCTGACAACCCAGGCTGGAATGCAGTGGCATAATCTCGGCTCATTGCAACCTCCGCCTCATGGGTTCAAGCGATTCTCATGCCTCAGTCTCTCAAGTAGCTGGGATTACAGGTGCACGCCACTATGCCCAGCTATTTTTTGTATTTTTAGTAGAGATGGGGTTTTGCCATGTTGGCCAGGCTGGTCTCGAACTCCTGACCTCAGGTGATCCCCCCGCCTCGGCCTCCCAGTATGCTGGGATTACAGGCATGAGCCACTGTGCCCAGCCACAATTTTTTTTCTTTTTTTGAGACCGAGTTTCACTCTTGCCCAGGCTGGAGCGCCGTCTATTGCCCAGGCCTGATCTCAGCTCACTGTGACCTCTGCCTCCTGGGTTCAAGTGATTCTCCTGCCTCAGCCTCCCAAGTAGCTAGGACTAACAGGTGTGCGCCACCACACCCAGCTAATTTTTTGTATTTTTGGTAAAGATGAGGTTTCACCATGTTGGCCAGGCTGGTCTTGAACTCCTGACCTCAGGTGATCTGCCTGCCTCAGCCTCCCAAAGCCCTGGGATTACAGGCATGAGCCACCGCGGCCAGCAAAGTGAGTACATTTTAATGAATGATGGAAACTACCACATTTCTATATGGAAGGGCCCAAGTGTGTAAAGATGTCACTTCTTCCCAGAATAATCTAAATTGTTATTACCTATAATGGTTAATATCAATAACCCCCTCTAGTTTTTTTTTAACTTTATAAATTATCCTAATGTTCCCAACATGGGAATAGTGGAGAAATTCTGGAATCAGAAGAGTGACAAGATTGGGATAGAGAATGTGGTCCTGCTAGATAAACACATGACAAAGTACAGCAGGTGACAGGCTGTGGCTCTGGCATCTGTGCAGGCAGAGGAGAGGGGCAAAGGCAGGCCAGCACATACCCCTGTGTCCAGAGGCTTCACTGTACGTCCACTGACCCAGCTACTCCACCTCTAGCAATTTATCTTAACAAAAATAGCCACGTGCGTAAAGATGTTCATTACAGCTTTATTCAGAGTCGTGAAAAACTGGAAATACACTAGTCCTACAATAAGGGGCTTCGAGATCTTGTCCACTCCTATACAGTACCCCCTCCCTTTCTCTCACACACACACAAGATTGAGTGGGCTATATGTAAACTGTTCGCCTGTCCTTTCTTCCCCCTTATTTATAATAAGCATTTTTCATGTTAGTAACTACCAGTCTACTTGGTTCCATGGCTGTGTGTGCATTATATTGTCGTTCCATGACTCACTTCACAACTACTCCCCTACCAGGGGTGGTCACTCCCAATTTTTTGCTATTACCTACAATAAAACAGTGAAGATTCTTACAGTGATCTTTATGTTATGTGTCTATGGAATTAAAACAAAGTTACAATGACCACTTACTGATTTTCTAATCATCTGTCATGTACAAAATGCAAAAGCCACAATAAGAGAGTATTACACTCTCATTAAAATGACCAAAGTGAAAAAGACTGACCATACCAAGTGTTGAAGAGGATGGGGGAGAACTGGAGCTTTCATACACTGCAGCTGGGAATGTAAAATGATACAACCACTTTGGCAAACAGTTTGGCAGCTTCTTAAAAAATTAAACATATACCTACTGGAAGCAACCCAAATGTCCACTAATGGGAAATGGATAAAGAAATTGTATATATCCATGGACTCTTACTCAGCAGTAAAAAAGAAGGAAACTTTGATGTACACAACAGCCTGAATGACTCTCGAAGTAGCTTTGCTGAGTGAAAGAAGCCAGACCAGAAAAGGAGAGAGACGGCACATACTGTGGGATTCCATTTATATAAACTTTCAGAAAATGCAAACAAATCTATGGTGACAGAAAACAGATCAGTGGTTGTCTGGGGACAAGGGAGGGAGGGAGACGACAAAAGGACAGGAGGAAACTTCTGGGGGTGACAGATCCATGCTCATTGTCTTGATTGTGGTGATGGTTTCACAGGGATAAACGTTATGTCAAAACTCTTTAAATTATACACTTCTAAATGCTTGCAGTTTATTGTATGCCCAATAAAGTTGGAAAGAAATTTAAAAGGAAAAGACTATTTTTAAAAGATAGGTAAATGGGAATGCCTGTATGTGACTCAAATACAAGCTTGAATGTTGGTATTCCTGTTCAAACAGTTGCTTTTTTTCTGAAAAATACAAGTTTAACTTAGTTCCTTCTGTATTAGTTGGCCCAGGCTGCCATAACAAAATACCACAGAGTGGGCGGCTTAAACAACAGAAATTTACTTCTCCCAGTTCTGTAGGTTGGGAGTCCGCAATCAAGGTGCCAGCAGTTTCAGCTCTCTTCCTGGCTTGCAGACAGCCATCTCCTCACTGTGTCCTCACATGGTGGGAGGTGGGAGGAAGTCTGTCTCTTCCTCTTCCTTTTTTTTTTTTTCTTAAGAGACTCCTGGACTCAAGCAAACCTCCCACCTCAGCCTCCCAAGTAGCTGAGACTACAGGTGCATGCTACCACACCAGGCTAATTTTGTTTGTTCGTTTGTTTTTGTAGAGATGGGGTTTCCCCATGTTGTCCAGGCTGGTCTCAAACTCCTGGGCTCAAGTGATCCACCTGCCTTAGCCTCCCAAAGTCCTGAGAGTACAAGTGTGAGCCACTGTGCCTGCCCTCCTCCTATTCTTATAAGGCCACAGTCCTATTAAATTAGGGTCTCATCCTCATGACCTCATTTAACCTAAACCATCTGCCAAAGATCCTACCTTGATATACAGCTACACTGGGGTTAAGACTTCAGCATATGAGTTTGAGGGGAGAAGGAGAAACACAATTCAGTCCACAGCACCTTCCACACCAAGGCGTGACATGGAGTTTCTAGCTCCTAACTTTCTTGGGAGAATTTATATAGTGTAGGTGGGTCACAAACCCTTTCCCTTATCTATAAACTCAATTCTGTTAGATTGCTGGATATTTTAGTCTATTTTCTGTTGCTTATAACAGAATACCTGAAACTGGGTCATTTATAAAGAAAATAAATTTACTTTTTACAGTTACAGAGGCCAAGCTCAAGGGGCTGCATCTGGTGAGGGCCTTCTTGCTGGTGGAGACTCTCTGCAGAGTCCCGAAGTGGTGTGGGATATCACATGGCAAGGAGGCCGAGCATGCTAATGCTAGCTCAGGCCTCTCTTCCTCTTCTTATTTAGCTACCAGTTCCTCACCCAGGATAACCTATCAATGCATTAATCCATACGTCGAGTAACTCATTTATGAGAACAGAGCCCTCATGGTCTGGTCACCTTTTAAAGGCCCCCCCAACCCCAATATTGTCAAATTGGGGTTAAGTTTCAGCATGGACTTTGGAAGAGCCATTCAAATCACAGCACTGGAGGAATAATTCATCTCTAAATCTGGACTACCTCCAGCCCCACAGCAGACCTGAAAGGAAGAATGGCAAAAATATTCCTTCACTCAAACACAAAGTAAATAGACTATCCTGGCTACAAATTATCGAAAAGCATATCAGACTCTTTTCAGCAAAGAGAAATGCTCTTTTCAAAAAGACCATCTCGATCTTACAGTGTGAGTGGCCCTCACTGAGGCTGCTGTGAAGCCTGGGGTAGCAGTGCTCTTGAACACCCTCAGCTCCTTCAGATAACCTGGGGTAAGGGGTGAAGCTGCAACATCATCAGAGCCCCAGCATGGCACCCACAACAGAACGACAGCAAAGGATTCAGCAGCCTTTGCCACACCTTAGAAATGGGAGTTAGGACTGGGCACGGTGGCTCACGCCTGTAATCCCAGCACTTTGGGAGGTCGAGGCAGGCGGATCACCTGAGGTCAGGAGTTCAAGACCAGTCTGGCGAAACCCTGTCTCTACAAAAAATACAAAAAAAATTAGCCAGGTGTGGTGGCGCATGCCTGTGATCCCAGCTACTCAGGAGCCTGGGGCAGGAGAATCACTTGAACCTGGGAGGTGGAGGTTGTAGTGAGCCAAGATTGGGTCACTGCACTCCAGCCTGGGTGACAGAGTGAGACTCTGTCTCAAAAAAGAAAAGAAAGGGGAGGGGAGGGAAAAAAACGGGAGTTGGATCTGCATCTTCTAAATACTGGTGCCAAGAGCATCAGGACACTGCCAGAGACAAATGGATGCTGGGCTGGCCCCTCTCCTGCAGAGGTACAGGATCTAGTTTAACGTGAAGCCAGTCAAGAATTCCCATCAACAGCATCCTTTCCATTTGGTGTCTTCTCAGAAGGCAATTCAGGCCCTTATCATTCCACGATGACCCTGGCCCTGCACTTACCTGGCCACCTCCACCCTCACGGTCATAGCCACAGAGGTCATCAGAACAAAGGTTGCTAGAAAATGGCTAAAATCATAGCCCCAAATTTAGGTGTCACGCTCTAACAGAGGATGCCCTACAAGTGAGATGCTGAGATGAAACCAGGCACCCTGCAGGCTGAAAGATGCAGCTCATACACAAGGAGGCTGGCAGGGCTCGTAGCCTTGTTCTAGGCACTGAGCATGCAGGGTCTGGCCAGCAGGGATAAGGAGTGCAGAGTCAACTGTGGCAGCAGCACCAAGGCTCCAGTGGGGGAGGAAGGCTGAAAGGGCCACCCCCAGCAGACATGTAGGATACCCCCACAATGCAGTGCCCCATAAATAAGCTGGTGCAGAGCTCTTGGCATGCGGTGGAGGGGGCACAAATCACCTGGAACGCTTTCCTGACTCAGCAGTTCTGGGTGCTTAACTGTATCACCACACACACACACACACACACACACGCACACACACCCCAAAGTCGAAGCTCCTCACTGGGCTCCTGGATCAAGAACAAGACTAAAGAAATCACACTTCCTCTGTTCCTCCACAAGGTGTGTGATAAAAGACCATCTGGGCTTCTACCAGAGATCAGCTTTGTAAACAGGTGACAGGTGGAGAGACAGCCTGCACCTCCTCATCACATTCTGTCATGGCTGAACTGTATCCCTCTCAAACTCCTATGGCAAAGCCCTTCCTGACCTCCACCTGAGACTGGGACTGTATTTAGAGACAGGTTCTTTTTCTTTTTCTTTTCTTTCTTTTTTTTGAGACAGAGTCTCACTCTGTTGCCCAGGCTAGAGAACAGCAGTGCCATCTTGGTTCATTGCATCCTCCACCTTCTGGGTTCAAGTGATTCTCCTGCCTCAGCCTCCTGAGTAGCTGGGATTACAGGCATGCGCCACCATACCCAGCTCGTTTTTATATTTTCAATAGAAACAGGATTTCACCATGTTGGCCAGGCTGGTCTTGAACTCCTGACCTCAAGTGATCCACCCATCTTGGCCTCCCATAGGCCAAGGGATTACAAGCATGAGCCACCATACCCGGCCGGAGACAGGATTTTTAAATAGGTAATCAAAGTAGAATGAAGCAGTTAGGGTGAGCCCTAATGCAGTCTGACTGGTGTCCTTGTAAGAAGAGGAAATCTGGGCCAGGCGTGGTGGCTCACGCCTGTAATCCCAGCACTTTGGGAGGCCGAGGCGGGCGGATCACTTAAGGTCAGGAGTTCGAGACCAGCCTGGCCAACATGGTGAAACCACATCTCTACTAAAAATACAAAAATTAGCTGGCTGTGGTGGCAGGCACCTGTAATCCCAGCTACTTTGGAGGCTGAGGCAGAAGAATCGCTTGAATCTGGGAGGTGAAGGTTGCAGTGAGCCAAGATCGTGCTACTGCACTCCAGCCTGGGCAACAAAGTGAGACTCCATCTCAAAAAAAAAAAAGAAGAAGAAGAAGAAATCTGGATACAGATACACCCAGAGGGATGATCCTGTGAGGACCCAGGGAGAAGACACCATCTCCAAGCCAGGCAGCGAGGCCTCAGAAGAACCAACCCTGCCGACACGTTGATATTGGACTTCTGGCTTCCAGAACTGTGAAACAAAACAATCTGTTGTTTAATCCACTCTGCCAGTGGTATTTTGTTATGGCAGCCCTAGCAGACTAACACAGACTCCAGGCTGAAGAGGATTTATGTGAACTAATACTAGTCAACAGGGAAGAGGAGTTGATTCAGGCAGGGGTAAAAAATCAGGATCCCGGCCAGGCACGGTGGCTCACGCCTATAATTCCAGCACTTTGTGAGGATCACTCGAGCTCAGGAATTTGAGACCTGCCTGGGCAACATAGTGAAACCCTGTCTCTATGAAAAGAAAATACAAAAATTAGCCAGGCATGGTAGCGCACACATGCCTGTAGTCTCAGCTACTTGGGAGGCTGAGGCAGGAGGATGGCCTGAGCCCAGGAGGCAGAGGTTGCAGTAAACTGAGATCATGCCATTGCACTCCAGCCTCAAAAAAAGAAGAAGGATTCTGTTGGACTCACCCAAGTTTTTATTAATTTATTTATTATTTTGGTTTTTGGTTACCCAGGCTGGAGTGCTGGAGTGCAGTGGTGCAATCTCGGCTCACTGCAACCTCCGCCACCCAGGTTCCAGAAATTCTCTTGCCTCAGTCTCCCAAGTAGCTGGGATTACAGGTGCCTGCCATCACGCCCGGCTAATTTTTGCATTTTTAGTAGAGACGGGGTTTCGCCATGTCAGCAAGGCTGGTCTCAAACTCCTGACCTCAAGTAATCCACCCACCTTGGCCTCCCAAAGTGCTGGGACTACACACGTGAGCCACCACGCCTGGCCTCTCACCAAGTTTTTAGGTAAAGAGTTCTTGCAGCCGATCTGTAAAGGGCTGGAGTAGTTCACTAGGTCTCCAAGCTCCAACCCGTGTTCTTCCCACCACACTGCAGCACTAATTCTGAAACACACCATCAGGAGGCTCTGCTTTAAACAGGAGGTGCTTGTAGCTAACTGATGAAGACTCCGGAAGCTGAACTGTGTGACACCACAGACCTCATGCTGCCCTTCCTGTTCATGGCTGCTCTGTGAAACCGTAGTGTGTCATCAGATAAAAGCAGCGAAAAAACAAAAAACAAAAAAAACTGGTTCATTTAGGACCATTATAACTTTTTTTTTTTTTTAAAGAGCTTTAATGATAAGATTTTTAAATCCAGAGTTAATTTATTTCTATTAGCCTTCACTTCCAAAATCAAAGCTGTAAATCAGGCTTGGTAGAGCACCTGGGTTCAGGGCTCAAAAGGGCACTTGATGAAAATGTTTTTCTTGGGCCGGGCGCGGCGGCTCACGCCTGTAATCCCAGCACTTTGGGAGGCCGAGGCGGATGAATCATGAGGTCAGGAGATCGAGACTATCCTGGCTAACACGGTGAAACCCCGTCTCTACTAAAAATACAAAAAAAATTAGCCGGGTGTGGTGGTGGGCGCCTGTAGTCCCAGCTACTCGGGAGGCTGAGGCAGGAGGATTGCTTGAACCCAGGAGGCGAAGCTTGCAGTGAGCCAAGACGGGGCCGCTGCACTCCAGCCTGGGCGACAGAGCAAGACTCCATCTCAAAAAAAAAAAAAAAGATAAACTATTCTCTAACACAGAAAAATTCTAAAAATGATGCTGAAACATTGAGCAAGTTTGAAAATGATACCATTAGAATCTGTCTACAGCTGGACATACCAAGACCTTCTGGGAACCAGTTTTCTTAGTTGAAAAAAGGGTTGACTGGATGAGTCTTCTCCTCCAAATCTAAGTTTTATGCATTATAACATTTAGTTACCTACCTTAAAAAAAAGAATGTTGACCCTAAGCTTTTGTGTCCTATATCATTGTTTAAATCTGTATTATAAAGAATTTTGCTAATTCAACTCTCAACTCTTTTTTGAGACAGAGTCTTCCTCTGTCCCCAAGGCTGGAGTGCAGTGGTGCAATCTTGGCTCACTGCAACCTCTGCCTCCCAGGTTCAAGCGATTCTCCTGCCTCAGCCTCCCAAGTAGCTGGGACTACAGGCATTCGCCACGATGCCTGGCTAATTTTTTTTATTTTTAATAGAGACAGGGTTTCACCATGTTGGCCAGGCTGGACTCAAACTCCTGACCTCAGGTTATCCACCTGCCTCAGCCTCCCAAAGTGCTGGGATTACAGGGGTGAGCTACTGCGCCCCGCCCAACTCTCAACTCTTACTCACTGAATTTCTGTGCATAAGTCCAAGAAATGTGACGATCACCAAAGCCTTAAAAAAATTCCTTTTTTTTTTTGAGCCAGGGTCTCACTCTGTCACCCAGGATGGAGTGCAGTGGTGCAAGAGCTCCAGGCTGAGGCTCCAGGGATCCTCCCACCTCAGGCTTCTGAGTAGCTGGACTACAGGTGTGCACCACCATGGCCAGATAATTTTTGTAGTTTTGGAGAGACAAGGTTTTGCCATGTTGCCCAAGCTGGTCTGAAACTCCTGGGCTCAAGTGATCCTTCTGCCTTCAGCCTCCCAAAGTGCTAGGATTACAGGCATGCATCACTGCACCCAGTGAAGAAAATTCTTTATTCATACCAACTCCTATCAGGGACCCTTGAATGCAGAAGTTGCAAGTTTCACAGAACCAAGTATTCCTGATGCTGATCAAGATGTGCTCCCTCCAGCACCATCCAAACCCTCCACATCCAGTAACGGCAGGAACTGATCTCAGGCCTAATGGTGCGGGCATCCACACTGGCTCTTGTGCTTGCTGACGGCCCGGGGAATTCTTGGAATGGGTGAGGCAGAGGTTCCCTTGCTCACAGCCTCCCTGGGAGGAAGCTCAGTGGCTTCCCCTCCCCGCCAGAGCAAAATCCTATCAGTGGCCTGACCCTGCTGTATCTCTGGTCACTCTGTCCTCTGGCTACTCCTGTCCCCTTCCCATGCCTTGGACACAGGCCCATGCCCCAGATTGCCCTTCCCACCAGCTTGCTCACTTCACCCCAACCTCTGCTTTAAGGTCACGCTGTCAGTGTCCTCTCTGTCTAAAATAGCACTCCCTCCTCCTTCCTCCATACCCCACTTCCCCAGTTTATTTTTCTTCTTAGCATTCAGCATCTGACATCACACAGTCATCTGTCGTCTGTCTCTCGCCAAGAAAGCGTCATTTCTTTCCATGAGAGCAGGGGCTTAGTGTTCAATGCCTTATCCCCAGCACTGAGGTGTTAACAGATCTTGTCCTACCACTGTCATAGCATTCTAGGGCTGCTATAACGAAGTGCCACACACCAGGTGGCTTCAACAACAGAAATGTATTCTCTCATGTTAAGTCTGAAATCAAGGTGTCAAGAGAGCGGCTTTCTTCTGAAGGCTGCATAGACAATCTGTCCCGTGCCTCTCCCCCCGCTGCTAGGAGTTTGCTGTCATTCTTTGGCACTTCTTGGCTTGTAGATGCATCTTTCTGGTCTCTGCCTTCATCCTCACATGGTGCCTTCCCTCATGCATGTCTGTGTCTACATTTCCCCTTTTTCATCAGGACACCAGTCACACTGGATTAGGGCCACCCCCTAATGACCTCCTCTAGCTCGATTAGCTCTGTAAAGATGCTGTTTCCAAATCAAGTTACATACTGAGGTACTAAGGGTTAAGACTCCAGGGTTTCTTTCACGGAGGCCAAAATTCAATCCATAATAACCACTCAGTTGCCATAAGACACTGGGCAAGTAGGTTAGCCTTCATCGGTAAAATGGGCCTAATAATTGCGCCTACTGCATTTGGGTGATGGAGACAGGGTCCCTGGCAGCAAAGAAGCACAGCCCTTTCCCCTTACGTAAGCTATACAGATACTGACATGAAGAAGGCTGGAGGCTCTGCTCATGAGCATGGGCCTTGGAACCAGGCTGGTCGGGGTCTGAGCCCTCTCTCTGCCACTGGCTGGCAGTGGCCTTGCACAAGTGGTTGAACCTGAGACGGATCTCAAGATACATTTTAAGTATTATACAATAATGCACGTCAACTCCTTAGCACGCAGTGAGCTCTCCATGAATGTCAGCGGCCTCAGGCAAAGCAGAGGTAGGGACTGACAGCATCACCTTTGTCCCAACCGTATCTTGCAAATTCTTCAAGGTGGCTGCTTAAACTCAACAGTTAATCACAGCAGCAGGGAACAAGAAATGAGATCCAAGAGGAGACCCTTGGGATGGGAATCCTCAGGTAACAACTCTAACAAAGTTATGTCTTTTTTTTTTTTTTTGAAACAGGGTTTTGTTCTGTCACTCAGCACTACGTGCTGCAGCGTAGTGGCATGATCATGCTCACTGCAGCCTTGATCTCCTGGGCTCAAGCGATCCTCCTACTTCAGCCTCCTAAGTAGCTGGGAGGACAAGCAAGCACTACCACGGCTGGATAATTATAAATAAATAAATAATAATTTTATATATATATATTTATTTATTTATTTAGACAGAGTCTCACTCTGTCACCCAGGCTAGAGTGCAGTGGCACGATCTCAGCTCACTGCAACCTCTGCCTCCCGGGTTCAAGCAATTCTCCTGCCTCAGCCTCCTGGGTAGCTGGGACTACAAGTGCATGCCACCATGCCCAGCTAATTTCTGTATTTTTAGTAGAGATGGGGTTTCACCATGTTGGCCAGGGTGGTCTCCATCTTTTGACCTCATGATCTGCCGGCCTCGGCCTCCCAGAGTGCTGGGATTACAGGCATGAGCCACCGCGCCAGGCCTAGAATAGAAATTTCTTCCAAAAAGATACACAAATGCCCAAAAAGCATATGAAAAGGTGCTCAAAATTATTAGTCATTAGGGAAATGCAAATCAAAACCACAGGGAGAGCTCTACCGGTGGAATTTGATTGTGTGATGTCTCACAGAAAGTTCTCCACTCCCAGACATGGGTCCCTCTGCTTCCTGCCATAGGAGTGAAGAAATAGGCAACGTGGGAAGGTGAAGAGCTTCCCTAAGGATGACCCTTCCAAGCTGGTCAACGTCACAGCCTTCCTGGGATACAAGGCTGGCATGACCCACATCACACGGGAAGTCGACAGGCCAAGATCCAAGGTGAAAGTGAAGGAGGTGGTAGAGGCCATGACTACTGTGGAGACACCACCTATGGTGGTTGTGGGCATTGCGGGCTACGTGGAAACCCCTTGAGGCCTCCGGACCTTCAAGGCCATCTTTGCTGAGCACATCAACGATGAGTGCAAAAGGTGTTTCTCTAACAACCGGCATAAATCTAGGAAGAAGGCCTTTACCAAGTACTGCAAGAAATGGCAGGATGAGGATGGCAAGAAGCAGCTGGAGAAGACTTCAGCAGCATGAGGAAGCACTGCCAAGTCACCCGCCTCGCTGCCCACACCCAGACGCGCCTACTTCCTCTGCGCCAGAAGAAGGCCCAGCTGATGGAGATCCAAGTGAACGGAGGCACCATGGCTGAGAAGCTGGACTGAGCCCAGGAGGGGCTACAGCAGCAGGTACCTGTGAACCAAGCGTTTGGGCTGGACGAGATGATCGACATCATCGGGGTGACCAAGGGCAAAGGCTACAAAGGGGTCACCAGTTGTTGGCACACCAAGAAGCTGCCCCACAAGACCCACCGAGGCCTGTGCAAGGTGGCCTGGATTGGGGCATGGCATCCTGACCATGTGGCCTTCTCCATGGCATGTGCTGGGCAGAAAGGCGACCATCACCACACTGAGATCAACAAGAAGATCTGTAAGATTGACCAGGGCTACCTTACTGAGGACAGCAAACCGATCAAGAACAATGCCTCCACGGACTATGACCTGTCTGACAAGAGCATCGACCTTCTGGGTGGCTTTGTCCACTATGGTGAAGTGACCAATAACTCTGTTATGCTGAAAGGCTGTGTGGTGGGAACCAAGAAGCGAGTGCTCATTCTCTGCACATCTTTGCTGGTGCAGACCAGACGATGGGCTCTGGAGAAGACTGACCTTAAGTTCACTGACACCACCTCCAAGTTTGGCTATGGCCGCTTCCAGACCATGGAGGAGAAGAAAGCATTCATGGGACCACTCGAGAAAGACCGAATTGCAAAGGAAGAAGGAGCTTAACGCCAGGAACAGGTTTTGCACCTGGTGGGGTCTCAATAAAAGTTATTTTTTAAAATTATTAATTAAAAAAAAAAACCCACAGGGAGAGACCACTTCACACAACTAGGATGGTTATCATTTTTAAAAAACTGAAAATAGGCTGGGCACAGTGGCTCAAACCTGTAATCCCAGCACTTTGGGAGGTTGAGGCGGGCAGATCACCTGAGGTCAGGAGTTCGAGACCAGCCTGGCCAAGATGGTGAAACCCCATCTGTATTAAAAAGTAAAAATAAAAAATTAGCCAGGCATGGTCGCTAACGCCTATAACCCCAGCTACTCAGGAGGCTGAGGGATGAGAATCGCTTGAACCCAGGAGGTGGAGGTTGCAGGAGCCAAGATTGCACAACTGCACTCCAGCCTGGGCAACAGAGCGAGTGTCAAAAAAAAAAAAACTTGAAAATAAGTATTGGTGAGGATGTTAGGAAATTGGAACACTCACGCATTGCTTTTGGTGGATATGTAAAATGGTGCAACTGCTGGGAAAACAATTTGGTGGCTCCTCAGTAAGTTAAACATAGCGTTTCCGTATGTCCCAGCAATGCCCCTCCTAAGTATGCACCCCAAAGAATTGAAAACTGAGGTTCAAACAAAAGCTTGCAAATGAATGCTCATAGCAACACTATTCACAATAGCCAAAAGGTAAAAATCTAAATGTCCATCAACTGATCAATGGATAAAGAAAAATGTGGCTCGGCGCGGTGGCTCATGTCTATAATCCCAGCACTTTGGGAGGCCAAGGCAGGCAGATCACTGGAGGTCAGGAGTTCAAGACCAGCCTGGCCAACATGGTGAAACCCTGTCTCTACTAAAAATACAAAAATTAGCCGGGTGTGGTGGTGTGCGCCTGTAGTCTCAGTTACTCGGGAGGCTGAGGCAGGAGAATCGCTTCAACCTAGAAGGTGGAGGTTGCAGTTAGCCGAGACTGTGCCACTGCACTTCAGCCTGGATGACAGAGTGAGATTCCATCTCGAAAAAAAAAAAAAAAAAAAAGAAAAAGAAAAGAAAAGAAAAGAAAATGTGACTTACCCATACAATAGAGTATTATTCAGCTGTAAAAAGGAAGGTAATTCTAACACATACTATAACATGGATGAACCTTAAGAACATTATGCTAAATGAAATAAACCAGTCACAAAAAGCCACATGTGGTATGATTCCATTTCCATGGAAAGTCCGTAGAGAGGGAAAGTAGATTCGTGGTTACCGGGGCTGGGGGGAGGGAGGAATGGGGAGGAACTGCTGAATGGGTACGGGTTTCCTTTTGGAGTGATGAAAATGTGTGGAACTAGATAGTAAGGGTTACACAACATGGTAAACATACTAAAGGCCACTTAACTGTGCACTTTAAAATGGGTAAATGGTGAATTTTGTGTTATGTGAATTTTATCTCAATAAAGAAAAAGAAAAAACAGAAATAATGAAGACTGTGCCCTCCCCAACAATAAATATGCTGTTCGGCTGGGCACGGTGGCTCATGCCTGTAATCCCTGTACTTTGGGAGGCTGAGGTGGGCGGATCACTTGAGGTCAGGAGTTCGAGACCAGCCTGGCCAACATGGTGAAACCCCATCTCTACTACAAATACAAAAAAATTAGCCAGGCCTGGTGGCGGGCACCTCTAATCTCAGCTACTCAGGAGGCTGTGGCAGGAGAATCGCTTGAACCTGGGAGGCTCAGGTTGTCATGAGCCGAGATCGTGTCACTGCACTCCAGCCTGGGTGACAGAGCAAGACTGTTTCAAAAAGAAAAAGAAAAGAAAGAAAAAGTAGGCTGTTCTTAGACTCCAGGAGGGCTGAGTACTGAAAAGTGAAACATCCAGAAGAATGTGGGACTCAATGCGGTTCTACTGCTTCTCCCTTTCCCCTCAAAAAGCAATCCACCTTCAGAGCAAGTCTGCGAATGCAATCTGCATTCACCTAGAGAATTCCTGAGATAGAGCTGTAAAACCAAAGAATTTGCAAGCTCTTATTTCCTGTTTTAAAGACCTTAGAAACATTTATCCACCCCAGCCAGCACGGAGCCGTGACATTTACAGGTCGTAAATATACCTTGCAAAAGACCAGCAGCTTACTGGCCACGAGCTGTAAGAACTGCCCATCTGCAGCGTGCCTGATAGCCATCTGTCAGGGCTGGAGGGTCAGGCTGCTGAAATTCTTCACTCACCCCAGTTCCCCTGGTGTGTTTGGCCTGGGGAGCTGAGATCTGCAGAGTAGAGTTAGACATCTCCTAACTCCCACCTAGCACTTGGGCTCCAAACTCAGGTCCTGTCTGAACAGCAACAGAGCCAGGTACAGCTTATCTAAGCCCAGATATCATCTACCTACATGTTGTAGTGGTCATCTGAGCACTTGAAAGTCCCTGTGTCACTTTCTTTCTGGGAAAGAAAGGATGGGAAAATATAATGCTCCCATCTATATGTCACTTATATAGAGATGTGGTTCCCAACCTTTTTGGCACCAGGGACCAGTTTCGTGGAAGACAATTTTTTTTTTTTTGAGACGGAGTCTTGCTCTGTCACCCAGGATGGAGGGCAGTGGTGCAATCTCAGCTCACTGCAAGCTCCGCCTCCCTGGTTCACGCCATTCTCCTGCCTCAGCCTCCTGAGAAGCTGGGACTACAGGTGCTCGCCACCACGCCCGGCTAATTTTTTTGTATTTTTAGTAGAGACAGGGTTTCACCGCGTTAGCCAGGATGGTCTCGATCTCCTGATTTTGTGATCCGCCACTCACCTTGGCCTCCCAAAGTGCTGGGATTACAGGTGTGAGCCACCACGTCTGGCCACGTGGAAGACAATTTCTCCACAGATGGGGTGGCAGATGGGTGGGAGGGCGCATGGTTGGTTTCAGGATGAAACTGTAGATCTGCTGTTGTACCACCTCAGATCATCAGGTATTAGTTAGATTCTCATAAAGAGTGGCCAGGTGTGGTGGCTCACGCCTGTGACCCCAGCACTTTGGGAGGCCGAGGTGGGTGGATCACTTGAGGTCAGGAGTTCGAGACCAGCCTGGCCAACATGGTGAAACCCAGTCTCTACTAAAAATACAAAAATTAGCCAGGTGTGGTGGCACGTGCCTGTAATCCCAACTACTTGGGTGGCTGAGGCAGGAGTAATCGCTTGAACCTGGGAGGTGGAGGTTGCAGTCAGCCAAGGTTGCGCCATTGCACTCCAACCTGGGCAACAGAGTGAGACTGTCTCAAAAAAAAAAAAAAAAAGATTCTCCTAAAGAGCATGCAACCTAGATCCCTCACATGTGCAGTTCACGATAGGGTTTATGCTCCAGTGAGAACCCAGTGCCACCACTAATCTGACAGGAGGCAGAGCCCAAGCAGTAATGCTCGCTCGCACCGCTCACCTCCTGCTGTGCGTCCCGGTTCCTAATAGGCCACGGACTGGTACCGGTCAGCGGCCTGGGGGTTGGGGACCCCTGATATAGAGTACAAGGTCAAGCCCACGTGTGACCAGTTTTGGTTTTCCTAGATCTGACCCCATACACACACATGCACACACGTATGCACACACATGCACACACACACACAAGTTTTGGGCAGATTTCAATATTTATTTCAACTTTTATTCTTCTAGGAGTTACCAGACAGCAGTAAAAGGATCAAAAAAGTAGATCAAAGAAGAAAAATAAATAAAAATCCTAAGGAGTATACAAAGAACAGTCTTTGAATACCTAATTTGACCATTTTAAATTTTATCTTGTCTAGACATTAACATTGTTAAGAAAAAGACTTCAACTATACGAACACTATATATATTTTTATGCTCAGAAAAAGCTGGAAGGAGGTACATACATTGATAGGTTAACAGTGGGTAACACTGGAGGACAGAATTATGAGTGGTTTTTTTCTTTTCTATATTTTCTAATTATTGTAATCATCATTGTATATATAATGGTATTTCCTTGAAATAATATAAAGATTATACTGTATAATATGTAATGATATAAAGATTATAAAATACAAATAATATAATCATGTAATTTCTTATAATAATAAAAAGACAATTACGTCCCCACCTCCATGCAATCCAAATAGGATACACCCTACATACCTTGTTGAGTTTGCCAAGTGAAGATATGAGATCCGCCCATTCACTCGAGGACTCAAAATTTCTCAAAGCCTTTTCAATCACTGAAGAGTAGCTTCTGTATCTGTAATCATTTAAGAGCTCCTGCTCTTCTGGATCCATCTTACATTCTCACAGCAGAAAAGTATCTAAAAGCAAATCAAAAAATAACCAAATGAGAGAGCCATTTGGGGATACAAATCATTCCCAACCCAGAGCTACAGAAGACACGTGTCCACAAACACAACTGTGCACAAACTCACTGGGCAATCCTGTTCAAATATTTAGCAAGGCTTCTGGGCCAGGCACTGTGGGAGATGAAAGATAAATAGTTCCCGCCCTCGTGGATTCTGGGGGAGAACAGGAAACAGGAGCAGACAGCATAGAAGTGCTAGGGCTCCAAGTAACTGACAAAATTAATTCCAGGATCAAAGCTCCAAAGCTGCTAGACTATATGTTGTTGCCAGCCGGTAATTTTAAATGAGCACAGCCCCTCCCATCATATGGCATTTCTAAACTTTTTATGTTTTTTTGGAGGCAGGGTCTTACTCTGCCACCCAGGCTGCAGTGCAGTGGCACGATCACGGGTCACTGCAGCCTTGACCTCCTAAGCTCAAGTGATCCTTCCTTCCACCTCAGCCTCCCAAGTAGCTGGGACTATTGGGATGTATCACCATGCCTGGCTGTTTTATTTAAAGTGTGGCAGGCATCTACCCAACATGCCTTGTTCTCCTTTTCTGTACTAAAGGAGCACTGGTTTTGTTCATGGTAACACTGTAATTCCCAGACTCCCTTGCATCTAGGTGGCCATGTGACAGCTCTTGACAATGAGATGTCAGTAGAAGCTGTGGGTCAAAAGGCTGTTGGAAAGGAGGCAGACTTCCTGGCATAAGCCTTTTGTCCTCCTTTCTTCCTCTTTCTGCCTAGAACAAAGGCATGATGTTGGAGTGAAGCTACATCTTGCACCTGTCATGAAACATGCACGAAAGTCACAAACTAACGATGGCTGAGTGGAACGACAGAGCCCCTGCAGCCCCAGATGGCATGATGAAGGCACCACATGCCAACCCCGGATGCTGTAATGTCTGGTGTATGTTTTCTGCACATAACAGCTAATTTGTTTAAGCCACTGTTCTATCAGGTTTTCTGTTATAGCCAACCACAATCCTAATTGATATATGAGGACAAATAGTATTTCACCAGTACTGCTCAGTCTGAAAGGAAAGACAAATACAGAGCAATGCTATATAGTTAAACGTGAGTGAACGCGGTTAGCTGGGTAGATTGCTAAACAAGTTGGATGTAGTCAATCAAATAAAAAGGCAAATATGGTAAATGGAAGAAACTGAACTGAAGGTACAACACGTTCTTTAAGCTTGAGTCTTTCATTTACAGGCCAGTACAGTTATAAAAATTTCATGAAATCTCATACTTCAATTTCCGATCACTCCAGACCCAATCCAATCTTCACCAGGCCACCACTACTTTCTTTCTTTCTTTTTTTTTTTTTTTGAGACAGAGTCTCACTCTTGTTGACCAAGCTGGAGTGCGGTGGCGCAATCTTGGCTCACTGCAACCTCTGCTTCCTGGGTTCAAGCGATTCTCCTGCCTCAGCCTCCCAAATAGCTGGGGCTACAGGCACGTGCCACCATGTCCAGCTAATTTTTGTATTTTTAGTAGAGACGGGGTTTCACGTGTTGGTCAGGCTGGTCTTGAACTCCTGACCTCGTGATCTGCCCACCTCAGCCTCCCAAAGTGCCGGGATTACAGGCGTGAGCCACCGCGCCTGGCAACCACCACTACTTTCAAGTCACCAATGGCAGAGGTCCTTTCTGTTTCCTCACTTTACCTCTCAGTAGCACTCTGCGGCAGACCACTTCTTTAAGCAGCCTAGCAGCCTCCACTTGGCCCACACACTCCTCTGGCCCCTCCAGCACCAGAGCTTGTTTCCCATCTACCTCTCTGAACTTCTTTCCTCCTCCTCTACCAACTGCTAAATACATTCCCTGGCGGCTGGGCATGGTGACTCACACCTGTAATCTCAGCACTTTTGAGAGGCCAAGGCGGGCAGATCACTTGAGGTCAGATGTTTGAGACCAGCCTGGCCAACATCGTGAAAACCCATCTCTACCAAAAAATAAACATAAAAAATAGCTGGGCATGGTGGCACACACCTGTCCCAGCTACTCGGGAGGATGAGGCATGAGCATTGCTTGAACCCAGGAGCCATGGAGGTTGCAGTGAGGTGAGACTGCGCCACTGTACCCCAGCCTGGGTAACAGAACAAGACTCCATCTCAAAAAAAAAAGAAAGTGAAGACTTTGGGAGGTGATTATGTCATGGGATTAGTGCTCTTTTAAAAGGGACACCAGCTGAACGGAGTGGCTCACATCTGAAATCCTGGGAGGCCAAAGCAGGTGGATCACTTGAGTCCAGGAGTTTGAGACTAACCTGAGCAACATGGTGAAACCCCATCTCTACAAACAATACAAAAATTAGCAGGGTGTAGTGGCACATGCCTATAGTCCCAGGTACTCAGGAGTCTGAGTTGGGAGGATCACTTGAGTTTGGGAGGTTGAGGCTGCAGTGAGCCATGATCATGCCACTGCACTCCAGTCTGGGCAACAGAATGAGACCCTGTCTCAAACAAATAAACTAAATTAAAGAGACCCAAGGGAGCCTGGCTGTTCTTTCCACTGTGAGGATACAGCAAGCAGGCCCCACCAGACACCGAATCTGCCAGCACCTTGATCTTGAACTTCTCAGCCTCCAGAACTATAGGAATACACTACTGTCACTTATAACAGAAATACCTAGTTTACACTATTTTATTGGAGCAGCCTGAATTAACTAAGACAAGCATCCATCCACAAAATATGGTCTATCCACAAAGGAACGCTGAGGCAATGGAAAGGAACCAAATACTGATACGCCGCAACTTGGATGAACCCTGAAAACACACGCTTAGTGGAAGACGCCAGACACACAAGACCAGACATTGTATGATTCCATTGATATGAAATGCCCTCCACAGGCAAATCTAGAGAGAAGGCAAGTAGGTTAGTGGCTGCCTGGGGTGCAGTGAAAACAGGGAGTAATGGCCACTGGGCACGGCGATCTTTCTCAGGTAAGGCAAACGTGCTAAAATGGGATGATGGCGATGCTTGCACAACTCTGTAAATGTATGAAAAATCACTGAAATTATCTGGGCACAGTGGCTCATGCCTGTGATCCCAGCTACTCCAGAGGTTGAGGTAGGAGGATTGCTTCTGCCCCGGAGGTTGTGACCAGCCTGGGTCACAAACAACATGGCAAGACCCTGTCTCAAAAACAACAACAACAACACTGAATTATACACTTGAATGAATTTTATGAGCTGCAAATTATAGTGCAATAAAGCTGTTAAAAAAAATAAAACTAGGCCAGGTGCAGTGGCCCATGCCTATAATCCCAGCGCTTTGGGAGGCCGAGGTGGGTGGATCACGAGGTCAGGAGTTCGAGACCAGCCTGGCCAACATGGTGAAACTCCATCTCTACTAAAAATAGAAAAATTAGCTGGGCATGGTGGCTGTAATCCCAGCTATTCAGGAGGCTGAGGCGGGAGAATCACTGGAATCCAGGAGGCGGAGGTTGCAGTGGGCTCAGATCGCACCATTGCACTCCAGCCTGGGTGACATAGTGAGACTCTGTCCCCACCAAAAAACAAAACACACACACAAAAAAAAACAACAGTAAACTCTCAATTCCATCTGCTCAACATGCTCCTTCTCCCATCTTTTCCTTCTCAGAAAGTAGCCCCTTTACCTGTTGGATTATTCTAGACTCTTCCTTCTCTTCTCCTGCCATGCTCAACCCCAGTCCTGTTTGCCTCTTCTTCCTAAACACCTGTTGACTCAATTGCTCTCCATCGCCACACCGCAGTGTGGGCTGCCTGTTGCCTGCATGTTTGCAGGAGCTTCCCAATGATTCTCCCACACTTGCCCCTTTCCAGTGCCTTTACACACAGTGCTCCAAGAATCCTTTTAAAACAATGCATACAACTGCCATGTTTAAAATTGTTTCCATAAAGCTTAAAATAAGGCCAGGTGCAGTGGCTCACGCCTGTAACCCCAGCACTTCGGGAGGCCGAGGCGGGTGGATCACCTGACATCAGGAGTTCGTGACCAGCATGGCCAACATGGCGAAACCCCGTCACTACTAAAAATACAAAAATTAGCCAGGTGTGGTGGCACATGCCTGTGATCCCAGCTACTCGGGAGGCTGAGGCAGGAGAATAGTTTGAACCTGGGAGGTGGAAGTTACAGTGAGCTGGGATTGTGCCACCGCACTCCAGCCTGGGTGACAGAGTGAGACTCTGTCTCAAAAAAAAAAAAAAAAAAGAAAACTTAAAATAGAACCAAACAACCCCTTTTCCAGCTTACAAGACTCTACCCACTTGTCACTGCACCCTCCAACCCCAAGACGGACCCATCCTGCCACAGAGCCTCTGCATATGCGTGCCTCTCTGCAAAAATATACTGCACCTTGCACACCCACCCACAAAATAAGACCGCCTACTCAATCCTGGGAAGGCCTGTCCCTTTTTCTGAAATAACTGCCTTCACACATTTTGAAAATATTAAGGAAAAGATGGTAATGAGAGCTGGTAGTTTGTTCCTTTTGCCAAGTAAAGACTAAGAAGTTGATATATCCAAAATGGTCCATATTATTATTATTATTATTATTTTTTCCAGAAAATTCAGTTCTGAAACCCAGCATCTCTAAACCACCGCAATACTCCAATGGTGCACAGTCTGTTCACTCTACTAAGTGTCTAAACATGGGGGAAAGAAACATAAATAAGACAAGGTCCCTACTCTCATAGTTCATAGCCTAATAAAAGTGGAAGTACCTAAATACATAATTTCAGTTTAATGTGGGACACGTAAGTGTCAGAGGGTGGACAAAGTGGCCTTGCTCCTTTTAACACACATAAGTGACAGAGGGTGGACAAAATGACAGAGTCTGATGATACCAAGAGGAAACTCAGCCACCGGCAGAGGAGTCCTCAAAGTCCAGAGGTGTGGGCAGCTAGAGTTACCAGGAAGAGAACTGTGATAAGGTGTGTATTGACGATAAGGTGTGTATTTAGAAGGTGGGGTGGCAAGGGACGCCACTGCTCATGGCAAGAAGGGCATCAGCCAGGTAAGAGCAGTAGCTGGAGCAGTTCAGTGTTATGGTTGGCCATATGAAGAAAGTGCTATTTGGTGTAACTACCAGCACACGAGAGAAGTTTGGAAATCGTCATTCATGCAAGCTCCTTTATTTCGAAATATGGGGCACGTGGTATGCTACCAAGCAAGTCTTCTGGGTGAGCTTGGTAAATTCACCATTTATGCATGCATTTGTTTTTCTTCTTTTTTTTTGAGATGGAGTTTCGCTCTTGTTGACCGGGCTGGAGTGCAATGGCGCGATCTCAACTCACCACAACCTCCGCCTCCTGAGTTCAAGCGATTCTCCTGCCTCAGCCTCCTGAGTACCTGGGATTACAGGCAGGTGCCACCACGCCCGGCTAATTTTGTATTTTTAGTAGAGATGGGGTTTCTCCATGTTGGTCAGCCTGGTCTCGAACACCCAACCTCAAGTGATCCACCCACCTTGGCCTCCCAAAGTACTGGGATTACAGGCATAAGCCACTGCGCCCAGTCTCTTTTTTGTTTTGTTTTGTTTTGGTTTTTGATTTTTGAGACAGAGTCTCGCTCTTGTCACCCAGGCTGGGGTAAAATGGTGTGATCTTGGCTCACTGCAACCTCTGCCTCCCGGGTTCCAGCGATTCTCCTGCCTCAGCCTCCCGAGTAGCTGGGATTACAGGTGCCCGCCACAATGCCTGGCTAATTTTTTAAAATATTTTTGGTAGAGACAGAGTTTCACCATGTTGGCCAGGCTGGTCTCAAACTCCTGACGTAAGGTGATCCGCCCACCTCGGCCTCCCAAAGTGTTGGGATTACAGGCATGAGCCACTGCACCTGGCCTTATGCATGCATTTCTTTTTTCTTTTCTTTTTTTTTTTTTTTTGAGACAAGAGTCTCGCTCTGTCGCCATGCTGGAGTGCAGTGGCGCCATTTCGGCTCACTGCAACCTGCGCCTCCTAGATTGAAGTGATTCTCCTGCCTCAGACTCCCGAGTAGCTGGGACTACAGGCGCATGCCACCACGCCCAACTAATTTTTGTATTTTTAGTAGAGACACAGTTTCATCATGTTGGCCAGGATGGTCTTGATCTCCTGACCTTGTGATCCACCCCCTCGACTTCCCAAAGTGCTGGGATTACAGGTGTGAGCCACCACGCCCGGCTGCATGCATTTCTTTACTGCAATACACGAGTCCTGTGAGATGGGTATTAGGCCCAAGATGAGGATATTAGAAGTCAGGCCATTCGGAAAATTGCCCAGGTCACACACCCAGCAGCTAGCAGAACCAGATTCGAGCTCAGGTCAGTGAGATAGTACAGGTCTCCACTACATTATGCTACTGATAAAATTATTGGTTCAGTTCTCAAATAGCTCTTTTGCCAATGATCTTGCAATCTATCCTGGATATGTCTCCTGTGAGAGATTGAAGAGTTCAGTAAAACCGACAGTTATACAGGCTATAAATAACTAGACACAGAAAGAAGTAATCACACAAGAAGTGTATCTGCTCAGATACCTTAAAATCGAAAATGTCAGCAAGAAATCTCTCTCTTTACCCATTTTTAATTTCATAGAAAATCAAATTCAGGGTTGGGCACTGTGGCTCATACCTGTAATCCCAGCACTTTAAGAGGCCGAGGTGGAAGGATTGCTTGAGCCCAGGAGTTTGAGACCAGACTGGGCAACATAATGAGACCTTCGTCTCAAAATAATAATAATAATAATAATTTAGAAAAAGAAAAAAACAAGTTCAAGAGAAAAACCAACTGCCAGATCCCAAAAAAGTTCACTGTAAATATGTCTATATGAAGGAACATTTCTCAGTTCGATGAAAATGAGGACAGTGACCCTACCACATAAGCAAAAACATTTAGCAACAGATAACAGATATGTACTATTAGTAATAAAATTGATAATGATCCTTAGTCCACAGCACAGAAACACTCATCACCAATGGGCTTAATCAACTCTGGGACACACTGTTTTGAATGTGGTCTTTCAAAGTGGCAATTAAATTGTACTGGAAAAAATTTAAGCCACCTAATGGCAGCAGACTTGTGGGGCCGGGGGGACGGTCTTCCCTCGCCTTACCAAAAAAATCCTAGCAAAGTCTTCCCAATTGTGGGGCTGCAGTCGCGAGTGTAAGGCAACACTGCGGGTAACAGTCCCCGCGAGCAGCCGGGAACCCTGCAGGGCGCAGGGGCCAGGCTGGCAGAGCGCGCACTGCGGCCCGGATCCCTTCTCCTGGGGACTGGCTGGAAGACTGGGGTCTTCCCCAACGAGGAAAGCCCTTAGTTCTCACAGGTCTGCGTCCCCAGCCTCCTCCCCAGCCAGGGCACCAGCAAACAAAGGCTGAGCGTCTCTTCGTGGGCCGGCCCCGGGAGGGCGCGCGGGCCGCGACCCACCCCTGGACCTGCACCTGCCGCCCCGCTCGGCGAGGGCGTGGCCGGCATCATATCCTCCGCGCCAGGGTCGGGTAACCCTAGGGGACCCCACCCAGTCTCCCCGCTGCCCTCCCGGTCTCCGGCCCCGAGCTCTCCGCCCCCGCACTGCAGCAGAGCGCGCCGCAGGCCCGGGCCGCGCGCCGGTAAGCCACCTGCACCCCGGGCCGCCCCACGGCGCCGCCCAAGCCCTCTGGACCCGGAGAAGGACCCGCGGGCCGGCGGGGAGGAGATGCCCGGCTCCTCCGGCTTCGCCCAGCGGCTGAGGACTGGACGCCGGACAGGGCGCAGGCACGACTTACCGCGGCAGTGGCCCTGTTGGCGGGCGCGCTCACGTGCGGCGCGGAGGAGCCCTCCGGGCTGGGGGAGAGAGACTGGGCAGGGCTGCGGCGCGGCCGGGAGCCAGAACCGCCGAGGAAGAGCCGGAGAACCAGCGGCAGCGGCTCTTCCCCACCGCGCGGGTCGGGGCGGAGCCTGGAAGCCGGGCCTCGGCGCTTGGGGCGGGGCTGGAAGGCGGGGCTGGACGCCTGGAGGCGGGCTCAGGGGCGGGACCTGGAGGTGGGCCATAGGCGCGCGGGGGCGGGGTTTCCGCGGGCGGGGCGGAACTAGAAGACGGGGCCTGACCGAAGGAGGCGGGATCAAGGGCGGGGCCTGGAAGTGGGCTGTCCCTACAGGGGCGGGGCCTCGGCTGGCCGGGCTAGGCTGGAAGGCGGGGCCTGACTCATGAAGGTGGGATCAAGGGCGGTGCCTGGAGGCGGGCCATAACAACAGGGGCGGGGCCTCGACGGGCTGGGCTGGACTGAAAGGCCAGGCTTGACTCACGGAGTCGGGGTCAGGGGCGGGGCCTGGAGGTGGGCCTTAGACGCGGGGGCGGGGCTTCGGCTTGGGAGCAGGGCTTGGGGAGGGCCCCGGCGTACTGGGGCGGTTCAGTCGCCTCAGCCGCGGTGTGAGGGAGCGGGAGTCTTCCTTAGCTTCTCCGCCATGGGTGTCGCTTCGTAGCCGGGCTGCTCCGGGAAAGGCCTCGTACAGGTGAGCGGGGCGGCGTTCGCGCCTCACCTGGGGACCCCCGACACAACCGAGTGGAAGGGGACATTGGTCAGTGCCCGCCCAAGGTCGTCCGCGCGTGTGTCGGCCCTCGGAGGTGCTTTGGAGTCACTCACAGAAACGGAGAAGCGGGGGCTCCTCGAAGGGTGCGCGGCACCTGGTTCACCCCATCTTTTCCCTCTGGACCACGTCCAAGCCCTCCACACACGTTTGGGGCGCAGGGGGCGCGGCGGGCTTGGGACCCCTGCTAAGTTGCCCCAGCCCGCACGGGCCTCAGGTTTCCGACCCTGGGCGACAGGAGAGGTGAGATCATTTCTACCTGGACAGAGCTTATCACGTGGACTGTGGCTCAGGAAGGAGACCTTGACGTCAACCTTAGAAAGCATTCATATCTCCAGACAATCACCAGCCCCTGCCTGCCATCCTCTCGAGCGCTGGGACCTAGACGGTCCAGTCCGACCGCTTCAGGGTAGGACGCACCTGGAGGGTGCGCGGTAGGCAGTGCTCACCTGAGCACAGGCCCTGTCCCCACCCAGCTGTGGCTCCAGCCAACCCGAAGTGGGCCACTTGTGGATGAAGGCTGTCATTTCTGCAGTGGCCTCGCTCCTTTTAACTCCCGAGCGTCCTTTAGAAATGTTCAGACCAGGTCTGGAGTTCGTGAAGGCGAGGCAGTGGTCAATGAGCTTGGGAGGTGGGGGAGGTCATGAGCACCTGGAAGTTGTTTAGAACACTTTGTGTATATGCATGTTTCTAGGGGAGGGGTATATTATCAGCTTCCAAAGTGGATCTATCACTTCCCTGGAAACACTAAGAATATTTTAATAGCTTGGGATGCTGGACCTGTGGCCCAGCCAGGCTGCTGATTCTGATTTTGTCTCCATTTGGCATATACCAAGTGCCCCAGATGTAAATCCTCTCATGGTCAATTTGAGGAATGGTCTTAAGATAGAAGCAGAGAGAAACGAAAAGATTGAGCCATAGTTAGCAGGAAAAAAAATTAATTTCATGAAAATTGATTTCCTAATGAGAATATGATAAACTGGTTTTACAAAAGCAGCAAACAAAACCAGCAAAAACCAAAAAACAACAAAAAAAAAACAAGAAGATGGCAAGCAGGTGAGTTTTTTTTTTTTTTAGGTTCTTCAAATCCTAGTCACACTCAACACTGCACTGAACAGAGATGAAAGAACTGCTTTACACTTAACATTGAAAAAAGAAGTAGTCTGTTTGTGCCAAAGCCACCATGCACATACAATCTGTGCCTTGTATTCATATACCACCTATCTGTAAAGGATTCCAGGTGTGTGTGCGTGTGGGGGGGTTTAATTTAATTTTGACAAATTCATTTGTAAATCATAATTTAAAAAACTCAATTTATAATTGACAGTATACTGTCAATTACTGTATACTGTATACAATATACTGATACTGACAGGATTGACAGTAAATGTACAACATTGAGATTTGAGTATTCTGGCCGAGCGCAGTGGCTCACGCCTGTAATCCCAGCACTTTGGGAGGCCGAGGCAGGTGGATCACCTGAGGTCAGGAGTTCGAGACCAGCCCGACCAATATAGTGAAACCCTGTCTCTACTAAAAATACAAAAATTAGCTGGGTGTAGTGGTGTGCACCTGTAGTCCCAGCTACTGGGGAGGCTGAGACAGGAGGATTGCTTGAACCTGGGAGACAGAGGTTGCAGTGAGCCTTGATCACACCACTGCACTCCAGCCTGAGTGACAGAGTGAGACTCCATCTCAAAAAAAAAAAAAAAATTGCATATTCTGACAAGAAATATGTTTTCTTGGATCAAGTTGTCTTGTCACAACTTAAAAGTCTACTTAGCTACTTTCATCAGTTTAAGACATGCAGAAACGGTCAGGGTCCTTTCATAATAATACTCAAACCAAGTAAAGCATTTCAACTTTAATTTAAACCGGAACTTTAATCCTTACCCCTCTTGACAGTAAAGAAGGCATTATAAATCAGAACCCACTGCATTATCTGGCTCAGGCTGATCACCCAGTAGAGAGATTGGCCAAGTAAATTCATTCTTAGTTTTGATATGCAGATATTGGTGACCCTCTAAGCCAGTGTCTTCTTTTTTCTTTCTTTTTTTTTTTTTTTGAGATGGAGTCTAGCTCTGTTGCCCAGGCTGGAGTGCAGTGGTGTGATCTTGGCTCACTACAACCTCCGCCTCCCAGGTTCAAGCGATTTTTCTGCCTCAGCCTCCTGAGTAGCTGGGATTACAGCTGTGCGCCACCATGCCCAGCTAATTTTTTGTATTTTTAGTAGAGATGGGGTTTCACCATGTTGGTCAGGCTGGTCTTGAACTCTTGCCCTCAAGTAATCTGCCAGCCTCGGCCTCCCAAATTGCTGGGATTACAGGCGTGAGCCACCGCACCAGGCCTAAGCCAATGTCTTCTATAAACTAACTTCTACTCCACCCATCTTGGTAATAACCACTGTTCTCTGTTGGCTTCTGCCTCCTTTCTCAAAACATCCATTCCCTTTGCCCTCCCCATGTTCTTAGTGGAGAAGTCCTGTGCAGTTTCTATACTTGATACCGCATCCACTTTGCAGTTGACTTGAAATAACAACTAAACCTTTGTCATTGACACCTGTTTCGTCTCCACACTGCATCCTTCTTCAGATTCTTGGTCTGTCACAATCCTTGTTGCTGTTCAGTAGGTGAAGGCAAAGTCAAAGGGTTGAGTCTAAAGCTGATATTGTATGTGGGTGTACCACACATGCAACAGTCTAGAAAAATCTATCACAAGGCTGGGCCTGGTGGCTCATGCCTGTAATCCCAGCTACTCGGGAGGCTGAGGCAGGAGAATCACTTGAACCCAGGAGGGGGAGGTTGCGGTGAGCTGAGGTGGCGCCACTGCACTCCAGCCTGGGCAACAAGAGTGAAACTCCATTTCAAAAAAAAGAAAAATGTTTCACAGAAAAGCTGATGTGGAAAGAACCACTGGCTCCCTCTGGTGTCTAAAAAAAACACATTGTATTAGCCAGGTGTGATGGCATGCACCTGTACTCCCAGGTACTTGGGAGGCTGAGGCAGGAGGATCACTTGAACCCGGGAGTTGGAGGTTGCAGTGAGCTGAGATCATGTCACTGCACTCCATCCTGGGCAACAGAGTAAGACTCTGTCTCAGAAAACAACAAAAACAATATAAAACAAACAAAAAACACATTGTATGAGATAATCCATTTAAAATATGCTGCATTGAAACCATGCTTCATTTCTCTATGGAAAAGTTCACATATAGGCTAACTTGGGGATCTATTAATAATAACCATATGACTTATACTTTAAGCATAATCTAATTTACACTTAGATTTAATGTATCATCTCCCTTAGTTCTTACACCAAGAGAGTTACTACTCTCTAGACTCATCAGTGAAGCTGGACCTGCCAAGCACTGGAGACCACAGGACTTTGTAGTCAGTCCTAGATATGATCCTGGCTTTAGCTCTGAGATCTTGGGCAAGTTAATTAACCTCTCCAAACCTTTATTTCTTCGTTCGAAATATGACAAATATGACATTGATTCCTACCTTAAAGGATACAGTGGTTTCAATGTGTCCCCTAAAGTCATGTGTTAGAAACATAATCCCCAAGGCAACAGTGTTGCAAAGTGGAACCTTTAAGATCATGAGTGAAGACTCTGCCCTCATAAATGGATTAATACCTTTATCAGGGGAGTGGATTCCTGATAGAAGGATGAGTTTAGTTTGCACCTTGTGAGCATTCTCTTGCCCTTCTGCCTTCTGCCATGGTAGAACACACAAGCAGGCCCTTGCCAGATGCTAGTGCCATGCTTTTGGACTTCCCAGCCTCCAGAATTGTGAGAAATAAACTTACTTTTTTTTTTTTTTTTTTTTTGAGACAAGTGACAGAGTCTCTGTTGCTTAGGCTGGAGTGAAGTGGCATGATCATAGCTCACTGCAGCCATAAACTCCTGGGCACAAGTGATACTCCCACCTCAACTTACCAAGTAGGTAGAACTAAAGGTGAGCATGATCACACTTGGTCAATTTTTATTTTTTGTAGAGATAGGGTTTCTCTATGTTGCCCAGGCTGGCATTGAACTCCTGGCCTTAAGTGATGCTCCCACTTTGGCTTCCCAAAGTTATAGGATTATTGGCATGAGCTACTGTGCACAGGCAAATTTACTTTCTTTATAAATTACCTAGTTTGTGATATTCCATTATAGTAACACAAAATGAACTAAGGCAAAGGACTATAGTCAGAATTACCTAAAACCATGTTGGGAAAGCATTAAGCAGGACATATGGTCTAATTTGCCATAGGTTCTCAATTCATGATTTTTTTCTCCTTTTGATTCCAAGCCCAATTGTTTTTTTTCCTACAGCATAGGGTGAACCCCCAACATCGGAGGCAGGTCTCAGTTAATTTAGAAAGTTTATTTTGCCAAGGTTGAGGATGGGCAACCATGACACAGCCTCAGGAGGTTCTGAGAACTTCTGCCCAAGGTGGTCAGGGCACAGCTTGGTTTTATACATTTTAGGGAGACATGAGACATCAATCAATATGTGTAAGATGTACATTGGGCCAATCCAGAAAGGTGGGACAGCTCCAGGTGAAGGCAGGACAGCTGGAAGCCTGGAGGGGACTTCCAGGTCATAGGTAGGTAAGAGAAAAATGGTTGCATTCTTTTGAGTTTCTGATGAGCCTCTCCAAATGAGGCAATCAGATATGCATTTATCTCAGTGAGCAGAGTGGTGACTTTGAATAGAATGGAAGGCAAGTTTGCCCTAAGCAGTTCCCAGCTTAACTCTTCCCTTTAGCTTAGTGATTTTGGGGCCCCAAGATTTATTTTCCTTTCACAATACTATAAAACATGTTAATGCACTTCTATTAGTTAGGTTCCTTTTGATTGCAAGCAACAACTACCCAATTCAATATAGCTTATGAAAAAGAAAATATATTTTAAGGATACAAGGGTATCTTGGAGCATCTCTGAGAATTCAAGATTTCAGGAATGATCTGAGGACAGGGAAGGGAGTTTCTCTTTGGGCCACTTCTTTTCTTTTCTTTTTTTTTTTTTTTTTCCCCAAGACAGGGTCTCGCTTTGTCATCCAGGCTGGAGTGTACTGATACAAACACGGCTCACTGTAAACACCTCCCAGGCTCAAGCAATCCTCCTGCCCCAGCTCCCCAAGTAGCTGGGACTACAGGCATGTACTGCCACACCTGGCTAATTTTTGTATTATTCTGTAGAGACAGGGTATCACCATGTTACCCAGGCTGTTCTCAAACTCATGAGCGCAAGCCATCCACCTGCCTTGATCTCCCAAAGTGCTGGGATTGTGCTGGCAGGAGCCACCACACCTGGCTTAAATGCTCCTCTTGATGGTTGGCCTCTTTCTCTGGCAATGGCTGGCTCCCTCTGCTCCTCAGGCACAGGGGGTGAGATGCACAGTAACAACTCTGATCCAATCCAGCTGGTTCTTTTTAGAGGAAAAACCTATAGCTGGAGCAGTCAACAGAGGCAAGGTCACCTTGTGGCAGCTGCAGCTGCAAACATGGGAAGGAAGCAGGGGGCAGGGGAGGGCAGGAGATCATATTTTGGAAGAGGGTGCTGGGCAGACCATCCAATAAGGGCTAATGGCAGCCCTTCTCTAAGAATGAGAAATGTCATTCTGACCAGCAGTTGACAGTTAAGGGTCATCCAAATGAGCTACATGCTTATCCTAAAAGGATTGGCTAGAGACAAAAGAGGAAGTGGGTTACACACTTATCCAAAAAGGATTGGTTAGAGACAAAAGAGGAAGAAGAAATAAAAGGGACTGGCTCATTTCTTCTGAACTTCCTGTCTGTAACTTTGTCAGGCAGAGCCTGAAGTGCTCTGTGGTTCCTGGGCTATTGCCCGGCATTAGCAGGACTGGAGTTTGGCTGCAGAGGGAGGCGAGAGTACAAAAGATACTCGGGAAGCTGATTGAAAGCCATTAAATTGTTTTTAGAGCCAGGAAAGGAGACATTAAAATGTCTTAGGAGCTGTAGCCTGAGATGAATACCATAAGAGCATGTTGGATTTAATCAGTGACATACAAATAGGCTAAAGGAAGTTTTTGTTGTTGTTTTAGGCTTTTTTTTGAGACAGGGTCTTGTCCTGTCACTCAGGCTGAAGTGCAGTGGCGCAATCATGGCTCACTGCAGCCTTGACCTCCCAGGTTGAAGTGATCCTCCCAACCTCAGCCTCTGAGTAGCTGGGACTACAGGTGTGCACCTCGTCTGCCTGATCTTTTTGAATTTTTGTAGAGAGGGGTCTCGCTATGTTGTCCAGGCTGGTCTCAAACTTCTGGGCTCAAGCAACCCGCCTGCCTTGGCCTCCCAAAATGCTGGGATTATAGGCATGAGCCACTCCATCTGGCCTCAAGATGTTAAATGCAGTCTAGGTGGGATTCAGACTTCCCCCTACCCCAAGTGGATGAAAAAGTGGGTGCAGGCTGTGAGAGTTAAACTGACACTTTGAGGTGCTGCCATTGTAAATCAGAGAGTTAAGAAAAACAAATAGCTACATACTGTGATGAACCAGAAATAACCAGGTCATCCTGTGCAGTTCAGTTCCCCCAAATAAAAGAAACTTGAGCATTCCCATACTTTACTGATTCCCTAAGGAAAAACGGCATTATCTCTTATGACTGCAGTGCTTACCTATGTCAGGGGATATGATGTGACATTTGTGGGTTTGATAATCAAGTGACAACATTTCTAATTTCACACAGTGAGCAGCCTATCATAAACTTGGTAACCTTGGCAAATTTGTAGTTATTTCCCTTTGGTTTTTTTCCATCTTTCAATGGATTCGTTTTCTTTTTAAGTAGAGACAGGGTCTGGCTGTGTCACCCAGAATGCTGCAGTGCAGTGGCACGACCATAGCTCACTGCAGCCTTGAACTCCTGGGTTCAACTGATCCTTCCACCTTAGCCTACCAAGTAGCTAGGACTACAGGTGTGTGCCACCATGTCTGGCTAAGTTTTGTTTGATTTGTTTGCAGACATGGAGGCCTGCTGTGTTGCCCAGGCTGGTTTCAAACACCTGACCTCAGGTGATCCTCCTGCCTCAGCCTCCCAAAGTGCTGGGATCAGAGACTTGAGCCACTGTGGCCAGCCGGAATGTAAATTCCACTGAATTTTTTTGTGTGATTAGCCTTCTTGCCGAAGCCTTGACACTCTTGCAAGCCTTTGCGAGTACATTTCTTCTATTTCAGAAGACTCCTTGCTCTCCAAGACTTTTTTCTACAAGGTGTAACCAGAAGCCAGGAGGCCTGTTGCAAAACCAATCCCATTTGAAAGCAGAGAATGTGAACTCACCTATTGTCATAATGATTATAAAAGAGGCTTTGGCTCACTCCTGTAATCCCAGCACTTTGCAAGGCCAAGGCAGGCAGATCACCTGAGGTCAGGAGTTCAAGACCAGCCTGGCCTACATGGCGAAACCCCATCTCCACTAAAAATACAAAAATTAGCCAGGCATGGTGGTGCACGCCTGTAATCCCAGCCACTCTACTCAGGAGGCTGAGGCAGGAGAATTGCTTGAACCTGGGAGGTGGAGGCTGCAGTGAGCCAAGACGGCACCACTGCACTCCAGCCAGGCGACCGAGCAAGACTCTGTCTGAAAAAAAAAAAAAAATTATGAAAGAGGGTGGGTGCGGTGGCTCATGTCTGGAATCCCAGCGTTTTGAGAGGCAAAGGAGCGAGGATCACTTTAGTTCAGGAGTGCTAGACCAACCTGGGAAACATAGTGAGACCCTGTCTCTACCAAAAATTAAATTATTTGGGCATGATGGCACATGCCTGTAGTCCCAGCTACTTAGGAGGCTGAGGTGGGAGGATCACTTGAGGTTTTAGTCATGGAAGTCTCTTGCCCTGGAGGTCGAGGCTGCAGTAACCCATGATCGTGCCACTGCACTCTAGCCTGGGCAACAAAGCAAGACACTGTCTCAAATTAAAAAAAAAAAAAAAGGCTTAGGGAGTTACTGAAGAATCACCCTGGGCTGTAGTTCACAGGGAGTGTGCATAGGTTAAGGAGAAGACATCTGCATGAGTTTCAGTAAAGAGATACAGTTGCGGTGGCTGGGCAACCTCGTAAACATTCTGGGAAGGAATGCAGAATGCAAAACCCAGCTGAAAAATCTAGAAGAAATCATGTCCCAGTTAAAGAAGATATTCCTCCTGAGTCCTTCAAGCTCTGCTACTTTGTAAGTATAAGAACCAGCCGGGTGTGGTGGCTCATGCTTGTAATCCCAGCACTTTGTGAGGCTGGGGTGGGCGGATCACTTGAGGCCAGGAGTTTGAGACCAGCCTGGCCAACATGGTGAAACCCCATCTCTACTAAAAATACAAAATATTAGCTGGGCATGGTGGTGGGCGCCTGTAGTCCCAGCTATTTGGGAGGCTGAGGCAGAAGAATTGCTTGAACCCAGGAGGCAGAGGTTGCAGTGAGCTGAGATTGTGCCACTGCACTCTAGCCTGGGCGACAGAGTGAGATTCTGTCTCAAGCAAAAAAAAAGTAAAACAACCAATAAAAATATACTCAAAACAGAATGAGATGCAAAGAAAGCTTGCAGAGCTAAGGAAATAGAGGATAAAGCATCACCCTTACAGAATCAAAAAACTGGAAACAGCAAGGAACAGCTAGAAAATGGCTCCATAGTTCTGAAACCACTTGCTACACCAGTGGTTCTAAGTGCAGTCCCAGCACCAGCAGTGTCAGCACCACCTGAGAACTTGTTAGAAATGAAGTGAATTGGTGTGGGGAGTGGAACCGGCAATCTGGCTTAATCAGCCCTCCAGGTGGTCCCGATGCCCACTAAAATTTGAGACTATGTTCTTCTCCCTCTCAGGCTGAAGAGTTGGGCATAGCAATGTTGTTCAGCTCCAGATTCCAGAACTAGACACGTTTCTCCCAGGGAGATTCTTATGAACATTCCTTTTCAAGAACAGAAAGAGGCCAGGCGTGGTGGCTCATGCCTGTAATCCCAGCACTTTGGGAGGCTGAGGCGGGTGGATCACCTGAGGTCAGGAGTTCGAGACCAGCCTGACCAACATAGAGAAACCCCATCTCTACTAAAAATACAAAATTAGCCAGGTGTGGTGGCACATGCCTGTAATCCCAGCTGCTCAGGAGGCTGAGGCAGGAGAATCATTCAAACCTGGGAGGCGGAGGTTGCGGTGAGCCAAGATCATGCCATTGCACTCCAGCCTGGGCAACAAGAGCGAAACTCCATCTCAAAAAAAAAAAAAAGAGAGAGAGAGAGAGAAAAGAAAGAGAAAAAAAGGCCGGGTGCAGTGGCTCATGCCTGAAATCCCAGAACTTTGGGAGGCCAAGTTGGGCAGATCACCTGAGGTCAGGAGTTCGAGACCAGCCTGGCCAACATGGTGAAATACCGTCTCTACTAAAATTACAAAAATTAGCCAGGCATGATGGCAGATGCCTGGTAATCCCAGCTACTCAGGAGGCTGAGGCAGGAGAACAGCTTGAACCCAGGTGGCAGAGGTTGCAGTGAGCTGAGATCATGCCACTGCACTCCAGCCTGGGCAACAAGAGCGAGACTCCGTCTCAAAAAAAAAAAGAACAGAAATAATCAAACCACAGCATCAATTCATTCATTCATTCCACCAACATTTATTAAGCAGCAAGCTCCGAAGCAGACGTTTACCAGTTTTGCACAACTTTGTCATGGACCAACTGGCCTTGTGGCTCAGTGGCATCTGGAGGCAAGAGGGCCAAGTAGACAGGGGTCTCAGCCCCCTCCTCCACAGTCCTGATGCTGTCTTTCCCATCCATGTCTGTCTTCACTGGTCCTGGGCAGCACGCATTCACCAGAATCCTGTCAGCTTTCCTCTTCTCATCCAGACGCCTGGCCAGGATCCTCGATAAGACCGTGACCCCCAACTTGGACACCCCATAAGGTGAGTTGGGCCAGCCTTCCCTCTCATGCACCTCATTTTTTGTGTCCTCCACAAACTTTTTCATGAGATCCACCAGGTCTCCTTCTGTGAGTGTCTCACTGTGGAACCTTTCCTGCAGATCTTCACTGCAGTTTTCAAAAGCCCTTAAACACTGCAAACTACTGATATTCACCACTCTCCCTGAAACAGAATGATAAATATATGAAAGCATATCACAGAGGTACAACCACTGGTTGAATAATATACCAAACATATGATTGAGTCTTGGTGCAGGTTTTTTTTTTTTTTTTTTTTTGAGACAGAGTCTCGCCCTGTTGCCCAGGCTAGAGTGCACTGGTGCCATCTCGGCCCACTGCAAACTCCACCTCCCAGGTTCAAGCAATTCTCCTGCCTCAGCCTCCTGAGTAGCTGGAATTACAGGCGTGAGCCACCATATTCTGGCTAATTTTTGTATTTTTAGTAGAGACAGGGTCTCACCATGTTGGCCAGGCTGGTCTTGAACTCCTGACATCAAGTGATCTTCCTGCCTCAGCTTCCCAAAATGCTGAGATTACAGGTGTGAGCCACCGCACCTGGCCATTGTGTAGGTTTAATTGCTGATTAAAAACAAAAAAGTGGCTGGATGCTGTGGCTTATATCTGTAATCCCAGCACTTTGGGAGGCTGAGAGGAGTGGATCACTTGAACCCAGGAGTTCAAGACCAGCCTGGGCAACGTGGCAAAACTCTGTCTCTACTAACAATAGAAAAATTAGCTGGGTGTGGTGGCGTGTGCCTGTGGTCTCAGCTACTCAGGAAGCTGAGGTAAGAGGATCACCTGAATCCAGGAAGTAGAGATTGCAGTGAGCCATGATCACACCACTACACTCCACTACACTCCAGCCTGGGTGACACGAATGAGACCCTTTCTCAAAAAGTAATAATCAAATTTAAAAAAAGATTAAAAATGTGACTATAGAAGGCATAAAATCTATGCACCCATGGGATTTAATTTTTTTGGCCCTATTCTCCCAAGGGGAAGAACACACCTCCATCAGTGACAGGGGGGGCTCCCTTTCTCAGGGATTCGCTGAGAGATGGGTGAGGTAGTAAATTTGTAGATTCCCCAGGCAGTTTTATTTTTACTTTTACTTAAATTTATTTATTTATTTTTTAAGACGCAGTCTTGCTCTATCACGCAGGCTGGAGTGCAGTGGCACAATCTTGGCTCACTGCAACCTCCGACTTCCGGGTTCAAGCAATTCTCCTGCCTCAGCCTCCCAAGTAGCTGGGACTACAGGTGCCCACCACCACGCCCAGCTAATTTTTGTAATTTTAGTAGAGATGGGGTTTTGCCATGTTGGCCAGGCTGGTATTGAACTCCTGACCTGAAGTGATCTGCCCACCTCGGCCTCCCAAAGTGCTGGAATTACAGGCGTGAGCCACTACACCTGGCCTAAAATTTTTTTATTTTGTTTTGTGAGACAGAGTCTTGTTTTGTTGCCTAGGCTGCAGTGCAGTGGCACAATCTCGGCTCACTGCAACCTCCGCCTCCCAGGATCAAGTGATTCTACTGCTTCAGCCTCCCAAAGTGCTGGAATTACAGGCGTGAGCCACTACACCTGGCCTAAAATTTTTTTATTTTGTTTTGTGAGACAGAGTCTTGTTTTGTTGCCTAGGCTGCAGTGCAGTGGCACAATCTCGGCTCACTGCAACCTCCGCCTCCCAGGATCAAGTGATTCTACTGCTTCAGCCTCCCAAAGTGCTGGAATTACAGGCGTGAGCCACTACACCCGGCCTAAAAATTTTTTATTTTGTTTTGTGAGACAGTCTTGTTTTGTTGCCTAGGCTGCAGTGCAGTGGCACAATCTCGGCTCACTGCAACCTCCGCCTCCCAGGATCAAGTGATTCTACTGCTTCAGCCTCCCAAGTAGCTGGGATGAAGGTGTGTGCCACCATGCCCAGCTAATTTTTGTATTTTTTTAGTAGAGATGAGGTTTCACCATGTTGGCCATACTGGGCTTGAACTCCTGACCTCAAGAGATCCGCCCGCTTTGGCCTCCCAAAGTGCTAGGATTACAGGTGTGAGCCACCGTGTGCCCAGCCCGCTGGCAGTTTTATAAAACTGCTCCTCCCCAGCATACACACTCCAAGTACTTATAAACCTGCTTTCTGAGGGACAGTGCTCTCACCCTAAGGACTAAAGCTCTCAATTTCCTAGGCACACCCAATGTCCTAGGACAGTGGGCAGCCACCCCAATTCCTTAGTGCCACAACCAGCAGTAAGGAATCCCTGGGGATGACTCTGTCTGTCCTTCATTATGGACACTTCACGTGTGGAATGGGCTGTTTTTCCATCCTGGTTTTTATCTCATCACTTTTTTTTTTTTTTTTTTTTTGAGACAGAATCTCACTCTGCCAGCCAAGCTGGAGTGCAGTGGCATGATCTCGGCTCACTGTAGCCTCCACTTCCCAGACTCAAGTGATCCTCCTGTCTCAGCCCCACAAATAACTGGGCCCACAGGCACACACCACTGCACTCAAATAATTTTTGTATTTTTCGTAGAAACGGGGTTTCTCCATGTTGGCCGGGCTGGTCGCAAACTCCTGAGCTCAGGAGATCTGCCTGCCTTGGCCTCCCAAAGTGCTAGGATTATAGGCGTGAGCCACTGCATCCGGCCTGATTTCATTACTTTTTAGTCCCTATTTGATAATATTAATATTCATTAAATTATGAATTAATATTCATGTTGATCATGATTCACAGCTACTAAAGAGACAATTGTGCCCATAGAAACAAATATGTAGGCCAAAAATTTTACAATTTGAAGTACTGGTGGAAATCCAAAAACCAGTAAATGTGTTAATTTACACATTTCATCAGCATCAAACCCCACTAATTTTAGTGAGTTCTTTTATTATGTATTATTCTGAATGCATATTCTCTGTGTCCAATAGGGTCTTTTTTTTTTTCTTTGAGATGAGTCTTGCTCTGTTGTCCAGGCTGGAGTGCAGTGGCGCGATCTCAGCTCACTGCAACCTCTATCTCGGGTTTAAGTGATTCTCCTGCCTCAGCCTCCCAAGTAGCTGGGATTACAGGTGTGCGCCACCATGCCCAGCTAATTTTTGTATTTTTAGGAGAGATGGGGTTTCACCATGTTGGCCAGGCTGGTCTCAAACTCCTGACCTCAGGTGCTCTGCCTTCCTCGGCCTCCCAAAGTGCTGGGGTTGCACGCATGAGCCACCGCACCTGGCCGGATCTGTAGATTTTATTTCATTTTCTGAATGGCATTCCCCACAAGTTCCCATTGCAAGGGAGCTGCACATTCTTGTGGACCCCAATCCCACAAGAGATACCCTCACTCTGTCCTTGGAAACTAGCACCTCACTCATCCCCCCAGGTACCTAGTACTATTCAGTATTTCTTTCCTTCCTTCTCTCTCTCACTTTCAAAGATGAAGTGTATGTATGTATTTCTTTCCTGTTACAGAGAAGTTACAAGAATAGTTCGATAAATACCCTATGCCCATCACCTAAGTTCACTAATTGTTAACATTTTGCTGTGTTTGCTTTTTCCCTCTCTGTCCCTTTTTCTCTCCAAGTTGCTGATATCATAAACCTTCATCTTAAACACTTTAGTATTATATATGGTAGCAAGGGCATTCCCCTACATTACTACAGTTATGACCACATGCCAGGCATTTATCATTATACAACACTATTATCTAAAATACAGCCCATATTCAAATGTGTCCAAATTGTCCCAGTAATGTTCTTTTACAGTTTTTGTTTGCTTTAATCCAGGGTCCAAAGTAGGATCATGGATTGCGTTTTTTTTTTTTTTTTTGAGATGGAGTCTCGCTCTGTCACCTAGGCTGGAGTGCAGTGGCGTGATCTCGGCTCACTGCAAGCTCCACCTCCCGGGTTCATGCCATTCTCCTGCCTCAGTCTCCCAAGTAGCTGGGACTACAGGCGCCTGCCACCATGCCTGGCTAATTTCTTGTATTTTTAGTAGAGACGGGGTTTCACCGTGTTAGCGAGGATAGTCTCAATCTCCTGACCTCATGATCCGCCCGCCTTGGTCTCCCAAAGTGCTGGGATTACAGGCGTGAGTCACCGCACCTGGCCCATGGATTGCATTTAATTGTCACATCTCTTTCATATATTTTAATGTAAGGTAGTTGGCAATGACTTTTTTGAAGACTGTAGACCATTATTTTGTAGTATTTCTCTCAAAGTGAATTGGTCTGTTCTCATGAGGAGAGTCACATCAATATTTTGGCCAGGAATACTACATCAGTGATGTTGTGTTCTTCATTGCTTTCTAAACAGCTTTGTTCTCAGAAACTTGGCGGCTACAAGGAATTAAATGTGAATGGGAAAGGAAGAAAGAAAAACACAGATCATAGAAGCTGTGCCTTCGAGGAAATAAATCCTCTTAAGGGGAGGAGGTGTCCTCTTTGATCTGAGGGCACACCTCTGGGAGAGAGGCCAGAGGCTGACAGTCAGCCTCGTCAGCCAGATGCGTCATCAGCCCTGGGAAGGGCTGCACCCACACCACCCTCCACTGAGGTCCAGGTGGCCCCACCGGTCCCGAAACACCTGCTGCCTTACTCTAGAAAGAGTAGGCAAGTTGCGCCCTCTAGTGGCTTAGTAGTTGCTTGTCCTATTGACTCAGAACCTTGAACAAATAAGCAAGTCAAATACAGATAGATGGTCCCTGCCCTCTGATGGTTCCACTTAGGACTTACTGACTTCACTGATGGATGAGGAAGCGATATGCATTCTGCAGAATCTGTACTTGGAGGCCCCATACAACCATTCTGCATTTCACTTTCAGTACAGATTCAATAAATTACATAAGATACTCAACATTTTATGATAAAATAGGCTTTGTGTTAGATGACTTTGCCAGACTATAGGCTAATGTAAGCGTTCAAAGCACCTTGAAGCTAGACGAGGCTGACCTATGGTGTTTGGTAGGTCAGATGCGTTAAATGCATTTTTTTTTTTTTTTGAGACAAGGACTTGCTCTGTCGCCCAGGCTAGAGTACAGTGGCACAATCATAGCTCACTGCAGCCTCAACCTCCTGGGCCCAAGCGATCCTCCCACCTCAGTCTCTCGAGAAGCTGGAACATGCCACTATGCCCAGCTAATTTTTAATTTTCATTTTTTGTGTAGAGCTGGGGTCTCCATATGTTGCTCAGGATTAAGTCCATTCTTATGATATTTTCTTTTCTTTCTTTCTTTCTTTTTTTTTTTTTTTTTTTGAGATGGAGTGTGGCTCTGTCGCCCAGGCTGGAGTGCAGTGGCGCGATCTGGGCTCACTGCAAGTTCCGCCTCCCGGGTTCATGCCATTCTCCTGCCTCAGCCTCCCGACTAGCTGGGACTACAGGTGCCCACCACCATGCCTGGCTAATTTTTTTGTATTTTTAGTAGAGATGGGGTTTCACCGTGTTAGCCAGGATGGTCTCGATCTCCTGACCTCGTGGTCTGCCTGCCTTGGCCTCCCAAAGTGCTAGGATTACAGGTGTGAGCCACTGTGCCCGGCCACAAAAACTTCTTAACCTAAAAAGGTGAATGGTGAGAATTGCACTTGTACTCTTGTACTTGCTCAGTTTTTTAGTGGGATGGGATCAGAGAAAGCCTGCAGGGAGAACTGCAGGTGCTCTGGAAGGGGATGGAGTTTTAAAGGTGTCTTAATACCTTGCAGCTCTCAAGTTCCCATTCAAAAATTTATCGGGAGAAAACTTCCCAACACTGGGTAAAAGACATCCCTATAATGGCTGCGTCCCTATATAGCCACAAAAAAGATAAAAGCTTTCTGACCAAACCTGGAGAGAGCCCCAGACATAAGGAGTAAAAAAAGCAAAGTGGCAAACATTGTATGAAATGTTACCTTCTGTGTAAAAAGGAGAGTTTTTAAAATGTGCGTTTATATTGGCTCAGATTTGCATTTAGAAACTCCATCCCCTTCAAAGCACCTGCAGTTCTCCCTGCAGGCTTTCTATGATCTCATCCCACTCAGAAACTGACAGAGTACAAGTGCAACTCTCACCATTCACCTTCTTAGGTTAAGAACTTTTTGCGTCTGAGTGCGGTGGCTCAAGCCTGTAATCCTAGCATTTTGGGAGGCCAAGGCGGGTGGATCACCTGAGGTCAGGAATTCGAGATCAAGCTGGCCAACATGGTGAAACCCTGTCTCTACTAGAAATACAAAAAAATTAGCTGGGCGTGGTGGTGCTCGCCTGTAAACCCAGCTACTTGAGAGGCTGGGGCGGAGAATCTCTCGTACCTGAGAGGCGGAGGTTGCAGCGAGCTGAGCTCATGCCACTGCACTCCAGTCTGGGCGACGGAGGGAGACTCTGTCTCAGAAAAAAAAAAAAAAAAAAAAAAGGTTTTGCATCCAGAGATAATTTTGTTTGTTTGTTTAAAGTGATGAGGGTCTTGCCATATTTTTCAGCCTGGTCTTAAACTCGTGGGCTCAAGTGATCCTCCTGCCTCAACCTCCCAAAGTGCTGAGATTACAGGCATGAGCCACCACACCCGGCCAATAATCCATATTCGAAATGTTAAATTAAGAAAAGCACACTTCTGGCCAGGTGCAGTAGCTCACACCTGTAATCCCAGCACTTTGGGAGGCTGAGGCAGATGAATCACTTGAGGTCAGGAGTTCGAGACCAGCCTGGCCAACATGGCAAAGCCCTGTCTCTACTAAAAATATAAAAATTAGCCGGGCGTAGCGGCACACGCCTGTAGTCCCAGCTACTCAGGAGGCTAAGGCAGGAGAATCCCTTGAACCCAGAAGGTGGAGGTTGCAGTGAGCTGAGATCCTGTCACTGCACTCCAGCCTGGGCAACAGAGCGAAACTCTGTCAAAAAAAAAAAAAAAAAAAGAAAAAGCAAGCACATTTTTAATAAAAACCACAGTTCTAAGAATCCACAGTTAACTTCTTGGGGAATAAAATCCTCAAGGAAGCAAGCTTCCCTGTACCCCAGCACAGCTGTCATTTCACACTTCAGATTCTTTGCTAATGGATATCTCCCCCACTAGAGTTTCAGCTCCACCAATGAGATGGTCCCTGTCTATAATGCTCACCATTGCACACCCAGATCCCAGCATAATGCCTGGAATATGGCAGGCACTCCAATGTTTGTAGGAAAAGTATAATAGTAACATTTATTGAATACCTGCAGGTATAGGCAAGACATTTCCTAATAAAGAAAATTTCTCGTTCGGGCATGGTGGCTCACACCTGTAATCCCAGCATTTTGGGAGGCAGAGGTGGGTGGATCACTTGAGGTCAGGAGTTTGAGACCAGCCTGGCCAACATAGTGAAATCCCATCTGTACTAAAAATACAAAATGAGCTGGGCGTGGTGGTGCACACCTGTAATCCCAGCTACTCCAGAGGCTGAGACAGGAGAATCGCTTGAACCTGGGAGGCGGAGACTACAGTGAGCCGAAATTGTGCCACTGTACTCTAGCCTGGATGACAGAGCGAGACTCTGTCTCAAAAAAAAAAAAAAAAAAAGAAAAGAAAAAAAAAGAAAAGAAAATTTCTTTTGGGTTTTCTGAATCAACTTGAGAAAGTATGGTATAAGAAGAAAGGAATATAGGAAAAGTTGTAATGCTAAAACAGATACCAAGGTCCAGAGATGAGCTAGATGTGGGCCCATCACCTTGGAGGGCTGGAGGACTCATGAGATTGACCAGAGGCAAGCGGCCTTTGGGGACTCACAGCATTCTATCATTCTAGGATTGAGTTCATGACATGGATCCCAAAAGCATTGTGATATGTCACACTTATCTTTGGAACTTAAAGCTAAGGCTGGGCATAGTGGCTCACGCCTGTAATTCTAACACTTTGGGAGGCCAAGGTGGGTGGATCACCTGAAGGTCAGGAGTTCAGGACTAGCCTGGCCAACATGGTGAAACCACGTCTCTACTAAAAATATAAAAAATTAGCCGGGTGTGGTAGTGGGTGCCTGTAATCTCAGCTACTCGGGAGGCTGAGGCAGGAGAATTGCTTGACCCCGGGAGGTGGAGGTTGCAGTGAGCCAAGATCACACCATTGCACTACAGCCTGCACAACAAGAGCAAAATTTCTTCCCACCACCCACCCCACTGCCAAACAAAACAAAACTAAACTAAACTAAACTAAACTAAACTAAAATGTTGGAGTGAGAAGCCAAACACTGTGGGAAAATGAAGCAATTTTCTATTTTTCCCCCTTCAGAGAAATAGCACCCCTGAGTGATTTCTGCAGGGTAGCCCTGCTCCGGGAAGCCTGTAGCCCACTTCTTACTGAGGGATGCAACCCGACTGTCCACACGTTGGGCTTACCATGAGGTTTCATTATCGGCAGTAACTCGTTGCACATGTTTCTAGTGGCAAAAAAATTTGTCTTCAGTGTCATCTCAGCTTTAATGTCAAAGGGCATTGGATCATCACCTTTCAAAAAGAGAAAGAAACAAAAAGAAAGTCATATTTTTCCCCCTGAAACTCACATGACAAAGTGGATCCTAACTCCTAACAACTAAAGGAAAAACAAGTTAATTTTAAAACAATTTTTAAGAACGAGGTCGGTGATTCTCAAACTTTAGTCTGCATCCGAATCACTTGTAGAGCCTGTTAAAACACAGCTTCCTGGGCCTCACCATTGGAGTTTCTGATTGCAAAGGGCTGGAGTAAGGGCTCCAGAATTTGCATTTTCTTTCCTTCCTTCCTTCCTTCCTTCCTTCCTTCCTTCCTTCCTTCCTTCCTTCCTTCCTTTCTTTCTTTTCTTTTCTTTCTTTCTTTCTCTTTCTTTTCTTCCTCTGTCACCCAGGCTGGAGTGCAGTGGCGCGATCTCGGCTCACTGCAACCTCCACCTCCTGGGTTCAAGTGATTCTCCTGCCTCAGCCTCTGGAGTAGCTGGGATTACAGGCACATGCCACCACACCCAGCTAATTTTTTTACTTTTTGCAGAGACAGGGTTTCGCCATGTTGGCCAGGCTGGTCCCCAACTCCTGACCTCATGTGATCCACCCGCCTCGGCTTCCCAAAGTGCTGGGATTACAGGCGTGAGCCATCGCACCTGGCCTGAGTTTGCATTTCTAGGTTCCCAGATGATGTGACAGCTACTGGTCTCCAGCCACACCTTGAGAACACTTGGCTTTGACTACCACTTCTTAAACTTAAAGGTGCGTAGGAGGGAGCTGGGGATTCTGTTGAAATGCAGATTTTTTTTTTTTTTTTTTTTTTTTTTTGAGGCAGAGTCTCGCTCTGTCGCCCAGGCTGCAGTGCAGGGGTGCAATCTCCTCTTCCTGCAACCTCTGCCTCCTGGGTTCAAGCGGTTCTTGTGCCTGAGCCTCCCGAGTAGCTGGGATTACAGGAGTGAGCCACCATGCCCAGCTAATTTTTGTATTTTTAGTAGAGTTGGTGTTTCACCATGTTTCCCGGGCTGGTCTTGAACTCCTGACCTCAGGTTATCTGCCTGCCTCAGCCTCCCAAAGTGCTGGGATTACAGGCATGAGCCACCGCGCCCAGCGGAAACGCAGATTTTGATTCAGCAGGTGTGGGGCAAGGCGGGAGATTCTGCCTTGCCATGAGCGCCCAGGTTTGCAGCTGCTGGTGGTCCATTCCCCATACCTTGAAAGGCAAGGGGAAGTCCCTCCGCCTGTCGTCCAGGAAGCCGGGTATTTATCCACCAATCTCTCAGCCCATGGCTGAGGGCTGCATTAGGGGGTGTTAATCCCCACTCCTGCACCCCAGCTCTCAGAAAGCCGGCAGGCTGAGTTGCCCGTGCGGGTCAAAGAAAGTCTCAGGTCCCCATGCACAACAATGCGGAGTGCCTAGGGCCAAAGGGAGGGGTGGAGACTTCTGCTCCCCCATCCTTCATTTCACTCCCTCTTAGGCTTTTTTTCCCCACTAGGTTGGAGGTGAAGCCGGCCTGTTTATTTCTCCGTAGTAACTTTTTTTTTTTTTTCATACGGAGTCTCGCTCTGTCTCCCAGTCTGGAGTGCAGTGGCGCGATCTCGGCTCACTGCCTCCCAGGTTCAAGCGTTTCTCCTGCCTCGGCCTCCCAAAGTGCTGGCATTACAGGCGTGAGCCACTGCGCCCTCCTGTAATTTTCTTCAGTAGTAGTTAGAATAAGCAATCTCTTGATCCCCGCCCCTCTCCTTAAGGAAGATGCTTTTAAGACCACACGCACGTATTTTATAACAAACATAAGCTCCCCGGGCGGGGGTGGGGGAACGAGAAGGCTCGCTTCCTTTTTGCCAGAGCCTATCAAAGCTCTGCATTACACAAATTGTCAAGTCCACCAAGGGCAAGCGCGCGCTAATCCTGTTTTAGCGATTCATTTCCTTTCCCGAGCAAATGCCTCCGGGCATCTATGAATGCGCCCTTTCAAGGAAAGCGAAAGCCCAAAGCGAGCGGAGACCGTTTCTTTGCAGAGAAAATGTTTCTCGCGTTGGAAGGAAAGCTGATGAACTCTAGCAGGGCGTTGCCCCCTCCCAGGAGGCCAGTTTTCCTGCACACAACAGCGGCTGACAGTTCGGGGAGGGCCCCGGGCCGCGCACAGGCCCTCACAGGCCGGCGGGCGGGGCGCGCTGTTTGTCGCCCGGGCCCGCCTGGGGCTCAGCGAATCACGGAAAGCGAAAACCGCCTCGCGGGAGGCGTGGGCTGAGCGCATCCCTAGGGGTCGGCGCCACCCTCCTCGGTCACTCAAGTGGACGGGTGGGGAGCCTGCGGCTGGCCACCTCCGCACCCTCGGAGCGCTCCAGGGGGCCCCAACCCAAGCCCTGCACCTACTCTTGAAGGCGACGGCCGCGTTGTTGACCAGTACGTTGAGCCCCCCGTACTCCTTGCGCAGGAAGTCGCGCAGGGCGCGGATGCTCTGCAAGTCGTCGATGTCCAGTTGGTGGAAGCGCGGGCTCAGGCCCTCCGCCTGCAGCTGCTGCACGGCCGCCTGGCCCCGCGCCACGTCCCGCGCGGTGAGCACCACATCCCCAGAGAACTGTCGGCACAGTTCGCGCGCGATGGCCAAGCCGATGCCCCTGTTGGCCCCGGTCACCAGCGCCACGCGGCTGCAGGACGACATGGCTGAGCGGGGAGCGCGGGGCACCTGCGTGGAGGGCGGACCGGGCTTCGGACCACCTGGGGCGCGCCCCGAGGAGCCCAGCTAGTGTCAATGCCGCCGCGCAGACTAAGTTCTGGGATCCAGTGCTGCGAGTCTTAAAGAAAAAGGCCCCGGCTCCGGTCCCTCCCCTCCGAGGAGGGGCCGTCTGTGCCCTCTGTTCCAACTCCCGGGCCCGCCCCCTGCCCACGCTGCGCCCTTCAGGATCCGGGCTCTGAGCCGCGGGGTGATCTGCGAGGTGTCCGAAGCCAAATCGGACCTTGATGGGTCAGTCGGGGGCTCCAGATTCTTGGCAACTGGACTGAAGAAATTATTTTGGGAAAACCCCAAAGTGAGAAAAACAAGTGCTGAGTAATTTTCTTGGGTGTGCGCCCATCATGCACTGCAAAATGCGAATGTTTGCTTTTTCCTAAGATGCAGTGACTTACTTAGACACAGTAACTGCTTCTCTGGACATAGGTTGCCTTGCTTGCTTAAAAGGAACTCAAGAGAGGGAACTAGATGCCCTGTGAGCGCACTTAGCAGGTGTGGGCAGGCGACATCGCTCTGGGATTCCCAGTGAATGTGCCCCCAAGTGGGAGGGAATGTTTTTATTTAATCCTACCTAACTCCTACGGGTGCTAAAAGTGTCTGCATTTAGGTTTGTCCAGGGAGGATATAGATCTATAAAGATCTGGATTGATCATATGTTCTCACAGATCTGTGTACCGGCAAAGAAAGTTAAACCAAATTCCCAAAGGTGTGTCAAGCTGTGGGCACAAAATTAGAGTCTCATCCATCGTCTTCAGTGTAAACTGAGTTGTTTGATCAGTGACTTTGAGATTTGGGGAGAACCATGACATCATCACGACTCAGCCTTTTCCATGCAGAGCTGGCTAACCCGCCTGTGTCTCTGTTACTCTGACTCTACCTTCTCTCTCAAGTCCTTACTTGAGGTTCCGGAGGTGGGCCCCTGCTGTGATCTCCTACTGTGCCTCCCCCAGTATTTCCTTCTTTTTTCTCCTAAAGATCATTTGGTCCGGGCGCGGTGGCTCACACCTGTAATCCCAGCACTTTGGGAGGCTGAGGCGGGTGGATTACGCGGTCAGGAGTTCAAGACCAGCCTGACCAACATGGTGAAACCCCCATCTCTACTAAAAATACAAAAATTACCTGGGTGTGGTGGCACGTGCCTGTAATCCCAGCTACTTAGGAGGCTGAGGCAGGAGAACTGCTTGAACCCGGGAGGCGGAGGTTGCAGTAAACCGAGATTGCACCACTGCACTCCAACCTGTGCAACAGAGTGAGACTTTTCAAAAAAAAAAAAAAAGATCATTTGGAACCTTGTTTTAAGGATATGGGGCTATTTAGGCTTTCTATTTCTGTTTTTTTTTTTTTTTTTTTTTTTTTTAATAGGGTCTTCTCTGTCGCCCAGGCTGGAGTGCAGTGCTGCAGTCGTGGCTCACTGTAGCGTCAGTCTCCTGAGCTCAGGTGATCCTCCCCTTTAGCCTCCCTAGTAGCTGGGACTACAAGTGTGCCACAGTCATGCCTGGATAATTTTTTTTTTTTTTTTTTTTTTGAGACGGAGTTTTGCTCTGTCACCCAGGCTGGAGTGCAGTGGCACGATCTTGGCTCACTGCAACCTCCGAATCCTGGGTTCCAACGATTCTCCTGCCTCAGGCTCCTGAGTAGCTGGGATTACAGGCGCTGCCACTACACCCAGCTAATTTTTGTATTTTTAGTAGATACAGGGTTTCACCATGTTGGCCAGGCTGGTCTCGAACTCCTGACCTCGTGATCCACCCGCCTTGGCCTCCCAAAGTGCTGGGATTACAGGCGTGAGCCACCACACCCGGCCTGCCTGGATAATTTTTTATTTTATTTTATTTTTATTTGTTTTTAGAGATGGGAGTCTCACTGTGTTGCTCAGACTGGTTGAACTCCTGGGCTACATCGATTCTCCCTCCTTGGCCTCTCAAAGTGCTGGTATTACAGGCTTGTGTCACCGTGCCTGGCCTAGTTCTTCTTGAGTGACCTTAATTTCTGTTTTTCATAATTTTATTTTTTTAAATAAAGCATTGATCCTGTTTTATCATTTGGCAGGAAAACTAGACAATCCACCAGCCCAGGAGGGGACAAGCAGGCTTATTCCTCCTCCTCGTCATCTCTGGCTCCAGCCCCACCCTGGCCCTTGCTGGCATTCTTCCTCTTCACGTGGCTGGGGTTGGCCACCCCAATAGGGAAGCAGAGGGAGAAGTCAATGTGCTTCTGGGAATCCAGGCGGACAGTGAAGAACAGGATATTTACCACCTGCTCACGGACACGGATATGACACTGTTGAATCAGCACATGAGCGTGGCGGATGGACTTAGCCAAGCCAAGCTTGAAGACCTGGGTCTGTAGGAATCTCTAAGAAATCATTGATCTTCAGGCCCAGGATGTAATCCAGCTTCATCTTGCCCTCATCCAGCACCCCAGTGCGGACCAGCCACTGCAGCAGGGCAATGCCTTCGAACAGACGCCGTGGGTCCTTCTCATCAAGCGTCAGCAGCTCCCGGGCGGCCTTATGGATCTTGACCAGGGTAAATTTGACCCTCCAGACCTCACATTTGTTCTGGAGCCCATACTCACCAATCAGCTTTAGCTTTTGGTCGAGATGAGGTTTCTCGAAGGGTCTCTGCAGGGTCACATAAGTTTGGCAACAAACCCAGCTCTGGGCCGCTGGCATGTTGGCTCCACTTGCCCGTCTATGCCTAAGCACAGGCCCTGGTCACTGAGAAAGAGCTCAAATTTTTTATATATTTCATCTAAGGTGTTGATTCTATTGATACCCTTATCCTTTTAACATGCCCTTATCCTTTTAATGTTGGTAATGATGCTACCTGTCATTTCTGAGACTGGTTTGTGTCTTTCGTGTTTTTTTCTGATCTGTCTGGCTAGAGGTTTACCAATTGATTTGATTTTCCTCAAACTTCTGGTTACAATGATTCTCTCTCTCTCTCTTTTCCTGATTATATTAATTTCTGTTCTGATCTTTGTTTCCTTTCTTCTGCTTACTGGATTTTATTTGCTCTTTTTCTGGTTTCTTACTGTAAAGGCAGAAGTCATTGATTTGCATTGATTTGAGACTTCTTTTCTAATGTAGGCAGTAAGTGGTGTAAATTCCCTTTTAGTATGACTTTAGTGGCATCTCACATTGATATGTTTTCAATTTCATTCAGTTTATTTTTATTTATTTTTTAAATTATTTATTTATTTATTTATTTTGAGTTGTGTAGCCCTTTATTAGCAACTAAAATAGAAGGTATCTGTTGTACAACATGGGTAGTAATTGACTATAACTGGAGATTTATTATATTCTAATACAGATCATTTATAAATGCAATTTCTTTATTAAAAAGCTTCCACCTTTTTGTTTGTTTGTGTACAATTTGCAAAACTATTCTGAAAGCGGAATATATGTGCACAAGTCTGCAAAGAGTGCAAATTTAGGATATGGTAAATGCTTTACAAGTTACTTTCAAAAAACTGTCTGCCATAACTGAGCCTTTACATTGTCATCTTTTTTGATCAAAATATTTTGATGCCAGCCTTCCTTCCACTGCCCTAAACTATAAAGCATTTTTTAATGAGTTGAAATTAAGGAAGGACTACACCTACTAGAAAAAAAGAGAAGAAAGTTCTATTAGTTTGAGGTTTCAGAATCCCCCCAAACCAGGACCAGTATCGTGGTAAAGGCTAGGCTGGGAGCCCGGACAGAGTATGAGAATGTGCAGGTGGCATCCCTGAGGATTCAGAGCTTCAGTGGACCGTGAGTGCTCCAGCTGCATAACTCACTGAACTGTCTTGCCAGTTTCTACACTGGCTCGACTGGGCATAATTCAAAAACGAAAAACTCATATTCATTCCATTCTTCTGGAGCTCTGTGATAGCATTTAATAACACCCCAATGGGATGTCTTCCACATATAGTATTATGGTATTTCTTCAAGTAATTGCTAAAAGATACAGGGTCTAATTGTTCTATAATACTCATACCCATTTTATCTAGATGTTCAATGGATCTACAAATCTCCCCCTGGGATTCATCATAGTAACTGTGACGGAACCTTTGACCCCAATGGCAGAAATCAGAAGAAACCACAAAGAGATTACTAGGATCCGCTAGATATTTACTGAAAAGTTCCGAATTCCTGTTCTTTTGACTCAGAGCTCCAACCAGTAAAGGAATAATGGTAAACTCATCCTTATGGCTTTCCATGGCTTTAGCTGTATAAGGCAAATGCATTTCAATACTGCGTTCATCTTCATCTGTCTGCAGAGACATGCGTTCAAACATTCCTGTCTTCCATAGTTCTCCGTAAATCTTTTGGTCAATACGAAGGTCATACAGGGGTGTCCTATATATATCCACACTGGAAAGTGCACATCGAGAGAGGGGCACATGATGAGAAGGCCCAAGGATGAAAATTCTCCGGGTAATAGACGGATCCACTTGTTTATAAGCATGGGCAGCACAAGACCCACAGTACGTATATCCTGCATGGGGGGCAATAATGGCTCTAGCAGGTCTTTTTGTAGACTGTACTTGTGAAAGCCAACCTTCTAGCTGTGCATTCAGCTGCGGTCCTGAGGCTGTGTACCAGCTCCCGGCGTGACTGGCTTCTCGGCAGACCACTCGGTTGGACATCTTGGTGCCTGTGCCGCCTATGGTGCACGAGGATGAATGAGGAGGCGGCGGCGGCGGCGGCAGGAGCGGCTCCGCGAGGGGACGAGACACCGCGGGCCCAGCCCAGGAGGAGGCGGCAGCGGGGAGGGGATCAGCCCGGCCCAGGAGGAGGAGGAAGAGGAGGAGGCGGCGGCCCAGGAGGAGGAGATGGCAGCCGGGGGGGTGGCGGCGGCAGCAACAATCACCACAAACTCCGGCGACCGCCGGAAGATGGGGCCCACGGCGGCCTCACCTAAGCCCGGAAAGCCCTGGCCCCGGCCCCCGGCGTCCCCGCTGCTGCCCAGCCGGGGCTGGTTCAGCCGAGCCGCCCCCACGGCCCCCTCCCCTCCCAGCTGGCCTCCCCGAGCCACCGCGAGTGACCCCACCCCCGTGACTCCGCGCCCGCCCCCGCCGCGGGGCTCCCCGCACCCACCCCCACCCCCACCCCTGGCAGGGCCCTCCAGCCCGGCCGCCTATTTTTATTTTTATTCTTATTTATTTATTTTTTGAGACAGAGTCTTGCTCTATCACTGAGGCTGGAATGTAGTGGTGCCATCTCAGTTCACTGCAGCCTCCACCTCCTGGATTTAAGCGATTCTTGTGCCTCAGCCTCCTGAGTAACTGGGATGCACCCGCCACCAAGCCCAGCTAATTTTTGTATTTTTAGTAGAGATGGGGTTTCACCATGTTGACCAGGCTGGTCTCGAAGTCCTGACCTCAAGCACTCTGCCTGCCTTGGCCTTCCAAAATGCTGGGATTACAGGCGTGAGCCACTGCCCCTGGCTAGAAGTGTATTTTTTAAGTTTCCAACTTACTTGGGGATTTTTCCGGCTATCTTGCGATTGATTTCTAACTTAAATCCATTGTGGTCAATGAACTCACATTGCACAACTTAACTCCTTTTTAAAGAATTTCAAAAGCCGAGAGAGATATTAAAGCATGTTTTTATGTAATGACAATAATCTCAGAGAGAGAACAGTTGAAGAACAGGAAGAATTGCAAGAACAAAATGTGTGGGAAGACCAAGCACGGGTGGATCCAGGAATCAGGTGGGGGTGTGGAGGGGGAAACAGCACACCTCTTCTCTTGTAACAGAAGGAAAGGCAGAGTGTGTGGGTTTAGACCCAAGCATGTTGGGGAAACTAAGGCCTTCCTGAGGGCATCTGTTATCTCTTTGGAGGGTGAGAGATTTGAGGTCATCATTGAGAGGGATTAGTTTGGGGAAATTGAGGACAGTAGCCATTTTGCAGATTGGGAAAGTGATTTTTTTTTCCTGTGGCTCATACCTGTAATCCCAGCATTTTGGGAGGCCAAGGCAGGCAGATCACTTGAAACCAGGAGTTCAAGACTATCCTGGCTAACACGGTGAAACCCTATCTCTACTAAAAATACGAAAAAATAACTGGCCGGGCATGGTGGCGGTCGCCTGTAGTCCCAGCTACTCGGGAGGGCTGAGGCAGGAGAATGGTGTGAACCTGGGAGGCAGAGCTTGCAGTGAGCTGAGATCAGGCCACTGCATTCCAGCCTGGGTGACAGAGACAGAGTGAGACTCTGTCTCAAAAACAAAAAAACAAAACAAAACAAAACAAAAAAAAACCAGGTGTGGTGGCGTCCATCTGTAGTCTCAGCTACTCAGGAGGCTGAGGCAGGAGAATTGCTTGAACCCAGGGGGTGGAGGTTGCAGTGAGCCAAGATCACACCACAGCACTGGAGCCTGGCAATAGAGTGAGACTTTGTCTCAAAAAAAAAAAAAAGAAAAAGAAAGAAAGAAAGAAAGAAATGGCTCCGGTTATTGCCGTCGACAGAATAATGCCCCTCCCCCAAGAGGTCTGCATTAGAATCTGCAGAGCCTGTGAATTTGCTTTCCTTCACAAGAGGGACTTTGCAGAAGTGATTACGGATCTTGATGTGGGGAGATTAGCCTGGGTTACCAAGGTGGGTCCAGTGTAGACCCAAGGGTCTTTATGAGAGGGAGGCAGAAGGGTCCAAGACGAAGATGTGGTAGAAGCAGAGGTCAGGAGAGATTTGGAGATGGAGGAAGGGCATGTGCCAAGGAACACAGACAGCCTCCAGAAGTTGACAGGACAGCAGAGGGGTTCCTCCCTCAGGGATTCTGGAAGGAGCACGGCTCTGATACCTTGACTTTAGGACTTCTAACCTCCAGAATGATAAGATCATAAACATGTGTTATCTCACGCCCCTCAGTTTGTGGTAATTTGTTTTAGTGGCCATAGAAAGGACTGCAGTTACAGGAAGATTCCTACCTTCTGTCCTGGCTGAGAGGAAACACCTTTCTCTTGTACTTAGTACAGCATTGCGCAAATAATTGGAATTGTGAGCAGATTTTTTAAGAAAAAGACTGGGCCGGGCTCAGTGGCTCGTGCCTGTAATCCCAACAGGCTGAGGAGGGTGGATCACAAGGTCAAGAGATTGAGAACAATCTGGCCAACATGCTGAAACCTCATCTCTACTACAAATACAAAAATCAGCTGGGTGTGGTGGTGCGTGCCTGTAGTCCCAGCTACTCAGGGAGGCTGAGGCAGAAGAATTGCTTGAACTCGGGAGGCGGAGGTTGCAGTGAGCCGAGATTGTGCCACTGCACTCCAGCCTGGCAAAATACTGGTGGCCAGGCATGGTGGCTCATGCCTGTAATTCTAGCACTTTGGGAGGCTGAGGTAGGTGGGTAGCTTGAGTCCAGCCTGGGCAACATAGTGAAACCCTGTCTCTACCAAAAATACAAAAATTAGCTGGGTGTGGTGGTGTGTGCGGTAGTTCCAGCTGGGAGGATTGGGTGAGCCCGGGAGGTGGAGGTTGTGGCGAGCCGAGATGGCGCCATTGCATTCCAGCGTGGGCAACAAGAGCAAAACTCTGTCTCAAAAAAAAAAAAAAAAAAAAAGTTGTGGGTTCTGGTGGTTTACTGCTGTGATTCTGTTTAGATTGGCTTTGCTATCACTTAATGCCATTGTCCCTTTGTGTTTACCAAATCACTGGGTAAGAACCCAAACCTTTGCCAGTAACATGGCATTCTTCCAGGGTTCTTCTCCTTCCAAAGTCCTTTTGTGGTCTGAAGGACTGAATGTCCACAGCCGTTCCCTCATCTGCATCCAGCGACTGTCTGAGCACCTGTTAGGTACCAGTCATGCTCAGGAGTGAACAGAGGCCTGGGAAGGGCAGGAGTGGAGCTCCCTGCCTTCATGGCTCCTTATTGTAGCTCCTACTTACTCACTGTGTGATCGTGGGCAAGGTTCCCAATCTCTCAGTGTCTCAGTTTGCTCATCTGTACAATGGGAATAGTTTTAGTGCCTAGCTCTTACGATTGCTGTAAGGAGTACAGCATGAATGTTTAATATTATAAAAGTGCTTAGAGCAGTACTGACAAACGGTAATACATAAATGTTTGCTGTTCTTACATTTTTTCAGCAAAGGCAGGCAGACACCATCTAAAACCATACATTCATGTCTTTACAGCCATTGATTGGTGTTCTCCTGGGTAACAGGCACAGTCATGACTACCATTATTTGCTAGAGGCAGATAATGTGGGCAGAGGTGGGAGGTGAGGGGAACCTGTCTACAGCTTCGCCTTAAAGAAAGCGCTCTTGACTCCCATCGCGTTCTAAGAAAGTCTGGGTTGCAGAAGGCAAGCTTGGGCAGGAATGGGGCCCATTGTTTTTCTGGAAGCAAGATTAAGGTCAGGTTCTGAGTCAAATGAAGAGGTCAGCAAACAGCTTGGTAACTCCCCACCTCCTCTTCTCTATGCCTAGTTCTTCACTGCCTGCCCTTCCCAGGGGTGGGTCACAAAGTGGCTTAGGGTCAGGACAGTGAGGCTGTTGAGTGCCATGGGGGGTGTCAGGGAGAAGACAATTCCTACAATGCCACCTCATGTAGCTGAAACCTCGCCTTCCTCTCCTAAGTGTTCTGTGCCTGAGTGCTGGGGTCAGGATTATGCATGGTCCCAACAGGGCTTGACCAGGCAGGACAAGCAGGTGTGTGATTTGTATGCTTGAGGTCACCATGGTGGCTGTCCCTTTGCTACCCTGGAATTGGTTTCTGGTCTCTATATTCAGAGTGACTCAGGGAAAAGCATACTGCTTATTGTAAACACTGCTGACTTGGAAGAAGAGATTCTCCTTGCAAATGTGGTAGGAACCAGTTTAAGTGTGATGTCTGGAAGGCTGGGCTCTGTGCCTGAAAGGAAATCTGCCACACCCTTGCTAAACTGGACAGAGAAGGGGCCATGGCAGGCTGGTGAAGCACCTGTGCTGGGAAATGTGGGTCCGAAGGCCCCAGTCCTCTCCTTGGGAGCTGGATCAGGGTTTATTTTAAAGCCCATTCTTACCTCTTAGCTTGGCAAAGTATTGCCAAGCCTGGGGAAAACCAGCCATTCATGTATATTTCTGGCGAGTGTAATGTACCTCCTCTTTGGAGGGCAATTTGGCTGTTGTCTATTGAAATTAAAAATATGCGTCTCTTCCTGGAAAGGGAATTGTTGGGGGAATTTATCCTACAGATACCCTCCCGTGTGTGTAATGATAGCCGGACCAGGATGTTCTTTAAAAGTGGTTCTCAGCCAGTTTGTTACAAAGGTCATGAATTATTCAGCAAGATGATAATGGTTTTATGTTTTTAAAAATGATAAATTGTAGCCTGTTGATCATCGTTAAAAATATTTGAATGCTATTTGTATGGCTTTCTCTGTGAACTTCAGTGATTATTTTGGACAGTTTGTGTTTGTAGAACTTGCTGCCAGACAGTGCCCCTTGTGGTTGAGTGGCTGCACTACATGGCATATGTATCAGTTTCCTGCGGTCACCATAACTAAACACCAAATACAGGTGCAGAGCTTCATTCTCTCATAGTTCTGGAAGCCAGAAGTCCGAGATCAAAATGTTGTCAGGACCATGCTCTCTCTCCAAGCGCTGGGAAAGAATCCTTCCCTGCCTCTTCCACTTGCTGGTGGTTGCTAGCAATCTTTGGCATTCCTTGTCTTGGGGCAGCATCACACCAATGTCTGCCTCTGTCTTCATATGGCTGCTGTCTCTGCTGAGCATCTGTGTATGTCTTCTCCTCTCCTGTTCCTTTTTTTTTTAATTTTTTTTCCTGAGACAGTCTCACTCTGTCGCCTAGGCTGGAGTGCAGTGGCATGATCTTGGCTCACTGCAACCTCCGTCTCCTGTGTTCAAGCGATTCTCAAGCCTCAGCCTCCCGAGTAGCCAGGATTACAGGCGCCTGCCACTACACCTAGCTAATTTGTGTATTTTTAGTAGAGACACGGTTTCACCATGTTGGCCAGGCTGGTCTCGAACTCCTGACCTCAAGTGATCCACCCGCCTCAGCCTCCCAAAGTGCTGGGATTACAGGCATAAGCCACCATGCCTGACCCTTCTCCTCTTCTTATAAGGACATTAGTCTTCCAGCATAATCTCATCTTAACTAATTACATCTGTAAAGACCCTATTACCAAAAGGGCACATTCTGAGATGGCAGGTGGACATGAATTTTGAGGGGACACTGCAGAACTAACCCACTATAGAATCTTTCTTTAATGTTTCTATTGATCCCTTTCAACTGGTCTAATATATTATTTAGCCTGAATTTTTTTTTTCTTTTTTGAGACAGTGTCTTGCTCTGTTGCCCAGGATGGAATGCAGTGGCATGATAATGGCTCACTGCAGCCTTGACCTCCCAGGCTCAAGCGATCCTTTGTAGCTGAGACTACAGGTCTGTGCCACCATGCCTGGACAATTTTTTATTTTTATATATGTTTTTAAGAGGTGGGGTCTTGCTATGTTGCCCAAGGTGGTCTTGAACTCCTGGGCTAGAGCAATCCTCCTACCTTGGCCTCCTAAAGTCCTGGAATTACAGGCATGAGCCCTTGCATCTGGATAGCCTGACTTGTTTATCATAAATTCTTTTTTGAGATGGAGTCTTGCTCTGTTGCCCAGGCTGGAGTACAGTGGCACGATCTCAGCTCACTGCAACCTCTGCTTCCTGAATTGCAGAAGAATTCTGCAATTCTCCTGTCTTAGCCTCCTGAGT